>NC_000014.9:56581409-56884440 GCF_000001405.40 Homo sapiens
CGTGTAGTAGGGAGTTTCTGTACAGTGTTACCAAGATTGGTATTTCATAATGGAAGTAACTTTATAGTTGTGAGTTTTGGTGCTGGAGAGCATTATTCAGAGGTTAGGTAGTTCTGTTACTTGTAAAAAAATAAAAAGATTGACAGCTACTTATGGTTGGTTGAGTGTGAAGGATGGGAGTGAGATTTATAATAACTGACGTTTGTTGGGCACTTACTATGTGCCAGGCACTGTTCCAAGTGCTTTATATGGGTTGTTGTTTTAACCCTCCCAGCTACCCTTAAAAGTAGGTGCAATTATTATTTTCCTTTTATAAATGGGAAAACTAAGGCTAAGCTATGCCCAAAGTCACACAAAGTAGAGAAATCAGGAAAAGAAAAGTATATTGACTTCAGAATATGCCCCCTTAACCTCTACTTTTCGTCAAAACATTTCATGAAATTCTTTTCTAAATCCACCATCACATATGTAGTGATGTTTAAAATTTATTTAAAATCATGATTATTGCCTTGCCTTTATTAATACTGTATTTTATTTTTTCCTAAAAGAATAAAGTTGTGTATTCACCTTGAGTTACCAAACTTTAGGTGCTTTAATTTTGTTTGGTTTGATGTTAAATAGTGGTTGCTTCTAATATTTTTATGTTCATTTTTGGGAATGATAAACTGTTTTCCAAGTATATGCCAATATGGAAAATTTGCTTTATCGTATATTTGATAATTGTGTTTACATGTTGAATGCACTATTCTTGAATGTTTATGAATTATATTTTCATCAATAAACAGAACACATCTCAAAACCAGTATAAAGCATGTATTCTTCTTCCTGATAAGTCTTACATTTTACTCCATAGATTCATCACATTGTGTCGTCTTGCCAAAATTATTTTTTGTACCACTTGACACACACAGTTCATTTATGGGCAGGGTGCTTGTGGTGCTTTTCGGGGAGGGGGTAGGAATCTGGCCTTCACTAAATTAGTTTGTACGTGAGTTTATTTCAAAGATACTGTCTTTAACAGATGTGATGTGTGACAGTCTAGTCTAATTAATATTGAGAAGTATGATATAAAGGGAGCTGGTTTTTGTAAAGGTTAAGCATCTGCTGACAACTCTGGGCTTGCCATTAGTTTGTATTGCAGACAACAAAGCCGTGGTTCTCAGACAGGAACGTACTTCAGAATTACCTGGGAAACTTGAGCCCCCAGTGCAAGTGGGTCTTAGTAGATTATGGAATTTGGAGGTGTGGGCAAGGAATCTTCATTTTTAAAAAGCAGGTTAATTCTGATGCAGGTAGACACAACTGAGGAACCTTTCATGTAAAGGGTTGGGAGAAAGCCAAGACTCGGGAAGCTCGAGGTTTTTTTACTATTCCCTTCCTCTTTATCACAATCAATTTAAGAGTAGTATTTCCCTTTAGATCTTTATCAAGGTTACATTTAGAGACGTTGAATGGGGACATCTTTTCTATTTCGATTTTAGTTTAACATTTGATAAGAATTGATGAAAGTTTGTCACATTCCAGATTTATCTTTATAGCAGCAGAAGTCTGGCAAATAATAACAGCACACTGACTTTTCCATGGTAAAAAGAAGTTAGAGAAAAACAGCCTATTTTTCTTAATGTTAAATGTAATTCTGAATACATTTTAAATGGAGGAGAATGAATAGTGACCTTTGAAATTTTGAATTTATGGTGGCTTCGTTACAAAAAGATTACAGGAACAAAAAAATCGAAAATAGTTTGGAGCTAAAGACTTAAGAGCTAATCCATTATGGAGTAAACTATAAAATCATATCCTTTACAGTAGTTAACAAAGGGAACAGTTGTTTGAGACATTGTGAGACCATAAACTATTTAAAAAGAAGCATTTAGGATATAAAATGTGCTGGTTTCTCAGGTGCTCTTGAATATCTCTTAACAAATGTCCTTAAGTAATTGACTTAATCTGTCTTCAGGTGCCCTTATAAGGCTTCCATGATGCAGTCACCTAAGACTGGGGTGTCTTAGTAGCAAGGATGACAATGTGATGTGTATTTTTGTTAACCTCTGTGTGTATGGCTTGAATTGATGCTTTGTGTGTGGCCAGAGGGGAGAGGTGGTGGTATCCTGGCACGATCGTGAAATGGATAGGATAATGTTTTTAAACTTAGTGGGAGAGAGAAATGAAAACCAACCAGAATATAAGGCCATCTAAAGTGCTAAATAGACTCAAGCAGGTTCTATGGAGGAGGAAGAAGTGATTAATTCTGATGGGGAGGCTGGGGAAGCAGGTGTCTAAGGAAAGGTTACCAAGAAGGTGGCAATTGAACTTGGCCTTGAAGGATTTAGGGGGAGAATGCTAGGGAAAATATTCCAGGGTGAGAAAATGAGTGAGAAGAGGTGCAAAAGAGGACCACTCCAGAGAAACAGTGGGTAATAAGATTTGACTGGAGGGAACATAGGTTTCATGGATATAAGCCTAGAAAAGGGACCTTGAAACCATAGAAAGCTTGAACGTCATGCTGAGGAATCTGAACTTCGTTCAGTAAGCAGAGAGCAGCCATTGAGAAATTTTAGACTAGGGATGCAATCCAGCCTTTTGTGTGTGTGTGTGTGTGTGTGTGTGTGTGTGTGTGTATGTGTTTAGGGGCATGGGGGAAGGCAGGTGTTGATTATAAGTGATTTCAGTATGAAGATGAATTGAAGTAGGATTGGTCAAGTCTGTTGCCATAGTCCAGGCCAGAGAGAGTAAAGGTCTAAATTGTAGCTGGGACAGAAATTAAATGCAGAGTATTGCTATCTATGAAAGGATAGGAAGTGGACAGTAGTACATTTCCTAATAGGTACTAGTAACTTTCATGAGTCATTCATCAATATTGATTCCTTACATTGTACGGTACTACAATGTACAGGGATGAGTCAGAAATAGTCCCTGTGCTCTGAATACGTAAAAGGTTAACAAATAGGCATCAAATTACTGCATCATAATTTTAGAAATAGTCACTAATGGTGAGGAACTATAAAGGACTATGTAAAGAATATTATTTAATGGTTTGAAAAAATGTCTTACAGTGAACCTTACCGAAATAACGTGGAGTTAATAAACACTTGGAAATCATTTAAAGATATCCAGTGCAATTAATGTGGAGAAGATACCCAAATGCCAGTTTTAGGGTAGTATGGGACATTTTATGGAGTGTCCAAACCTCAGATGTCTGCGCATTTTACCTTACTATAAGGTTGTATCTTTATAGACTTTCGTGCTAATTTCTTGAGGGATAATAAAGCATATTACACTAATGCTCCAACAGTATTTGTATATTTGCAAGTGGATACAACTTTCAAGAGGGAAAATAAGCATTTTTTAAAGACCAGAATGTACCTATATTTCCACTGACCACTTCTTAAAGACTATCAAAGATAGTTTGTTCAATAAGACCTAAAGGAGAAAATATTCTTAGACTATTTCATGCTGTTAAATCTCTACAGATTTACAGTTTTATCCAGTCAAATTAATGCAAAACCCCAATGCAAGCATTTGGATTTTGAAAACTTTGGAGGAGTGTCATTCTCTAATAGTAATTATTGGTTTTACATTATTTTTTCACAGGGGAACTGATCACAGCCGCACATGAGCTTGGAGTAAGTATTAGTTTTATTGTTTAATCAATGCTCTCATTAACAGTTTTAGGAATTAAGAAAGTTTAATTAAGCATGGAGTAAAGTAGATTAATTTATTTTCAAACCCCCGTTTTTAGTAACTTATAAGTACAGTACGTGACAATTTACTTTAAGTTTTAAATCCAATTAAACTAAATTATAAAGCAAAGCCTTTACTATATATACAGTAGCTGCCTTATTATCACCCCAAATTTTGTATAAGCTGTGGGGAATAAAATAAATCGGGTTAACAGTTTTAATAAGTTTATTATTTAATAAACTTTATTATGGTGCATGATCCCTTCAGGCAAGACCTTACGACTGTCAGCATGGTGGTAATCCGATAGCAGTGTGGTCTTTCAACTTTCTAACCAATACGATATTTCAGAACCTGCTTTTTTTCAATAGCCTTTTAAATGACCCTAATGTACTGTGAACCCAGAGAACAAACTGCTTAAGAACTGACAATGAAATATGTCACCCTTTCTCTGGGTGACGCACCATGTGATAGACGCTGCCAAATCCACTAAAGAAAATATTTATTTGTATTGCCTCAAGAGGATTACAATAGAAAACCACTATTCAAACATTTAGTCATTGGTGCCTAATCTTTATAGCTGCTTGAGAAAAGGGCTACTTTTCAATTAAGGCCTGTGGGACTCTTCCTTTCCTAGATGAAAACCTTCTAACTGTTGCTAATTTTTCCGTAGGTTGCCCATCCTCCTGGCTATCCTTTGTTCACGCTGGTGGCTAAACTGGCAATTACACTGTTTCCTTTTGGTTCAATTGCCTACCGCGTCAATCTTCTCTGTGGCTTATTTGGAGCAGTAGCTGCATCATTACTTTTTTTCACCGTTTTCAGGTAAAGTAGTTGATTAGTTAAAATTAATTTTGAGCAGTTGGAGATGTAGATTTCTTATGGCTCAAGTACATACATTAAAAAAATCTTTTGTTGCTTGGTTTCCCTAACACATGTGATTTCACTTTCTTAATTTATAATACTTTCATATGCATTTGACCCCTCAAATGATTACACAGTTGGTTTTGTTTCCTACAGTGGAGTGAAGGTGTCACCAGTTCATTATCACAGTTCTCTGATTAGGCAGAACTAATGAGGTTTGTCATTTTGTGAAGATGCAGATGGGCCAGTTTAATTCAACAATATGAGGTTCATCTTTTGGTAAATGGTAAATATCATTTAATTATTCACAGTATTGCTGACGAGCAGCTGCCTATCAGGTCCAGGGCTAATACCTAATTATATTGTATTCTAAATATGAACATGTTGTATACTTTCTGAAATAAGGATATTAACTAAGGAAATCAATTTGGGATGTGGTTTTAGTAAGGTTTCACTCTGCTCCGTTATGGCTGTAGTAAAGGTAGGCAAATTAGATCCCAAGTAATTCATTGATAGAAGACTTTCTTAGGTTGGAAGTCTACCCTGCTTTTAAAACATTGGTCATTAGTTTAGAATGCTGGTAACCCATTGTCTTTGATGTTCTGTCTCCTTCATTCTTAACTCAGTGCATCCTATACCTAAGAGGATTATAGTGAAAAATACAAATTACACTTTCTGCAAAAGGAAAAACCAAATTAAAACACTTCTTCTAAAAACTTTTGCATGTCTTACTATAAAACAAATGATTTCTGTAGGTAAATATAATTTGAATAGGTACAATTTCAAATGTCTTTTTTGGAGACCAATATTTTTATTTGTGTCAAAGTCATAATACTGCCCTTTAGCCAAATTCTAAATTCTCTTTTAATTATTTATAGAAAGATAAGAGTTAGTATAATTATAACTCTGAAGTTTACTTTTGATCTGTATGTGAAAAAACTTTCAGATTCAAGTATTGTAACTGTTGATCTTTTCCCAAATTGTTATATTATTAAATTTGTTATTTTAGTCTTTATGAAATATTTAAAATAATGTTTCTGCTTAGATTCATTAGTACTATTAATATTTTTCTTTTTCTCAATGGTTAGGATAATTTTTATTAGAATTGTTCCTTCTGAGTCTTTTGTAATTAATAATCTGTCAGTATTTCCACTGAGAGAAAAAGTGTTTTTTGTTTTTAAATATCTAGGTTGAATGGGAACTTCCTTGTTCTGTATTGAATGAGTATATTATTAATTTTCACAAGATACTTTAGAACAAAAACATTTAAAGAAGACTAATATATTCATTTTGATAGTCTGTATTTTAGATCATTTATGTAACATAGACATATATTTAAATGTTATATAGCTATAAATAGCTCTTTGTGCAAGTAAAGGGATTCATTTTCTAAAACTTTTCCATGTTTTTCAACATTATTAATTGTTGATACCATTCCATATGAGAACTACTGTAAGAATCGTAAATAAAAGTCTTAAAAATTTACAGAATCTGGATAGCTCTGGACAGTACTTTTCTTTAAAAATAGCTTTTATTAATTATTATGATTAATTATAATGGTTTAGATTAGCACACTAGCCTGTAACGCTTTTCTTTTAATATGCATGGCTAATGATATATTTTATACTTGCTGACATGTGCTTTAAATTGAATCTCTTAATATGACTAAATTAGGTATTTGAGTAGTTTTAATAATATAGTATGTGCTTTGGAAAAGTTGCTTTCTTTCAGAAAAGGGATCTAACAATATTATCTCTTACATAATTTTAATATGAAAATACTTCATTATTTTGAATACAAATAATTGACAAGGTACACGTCCTTTGGGAATAACCTAGTTCAAGTGGCAAATCTGTTTTGTCAAACAATAGACACCCTTCAAAAAGGAGAAGCCATCTCTATGGTAATAGGACTAACAGTAGCCTATTGATTGAGTGGAAGAAGACATTATACAATGTCAGCTGGCTTGTTACAATTTCATTTGTTGTATGACCTGAACTTAACCTTTAAAACCTTTCTTCTGTGAATATAAACCCAACAGCAGGACACAGTTTTTGTACAACCATTACAGTGATGGCTTTTTCCTGTTCCAGTGTACAATAAATGTGTTTCTTTGCAGCTTGACTCCCTTATCAGAATTTGTTTAGGAGACGTTTCACTACTTTATTCATTTACAAACCAAATCATCATTCCATTTTGTTGTTGAATATTGAAGGGTTTTGATCCAGGAAACAGTTTTATTCTTTCTTTCCCCCATCACTTAAGAGACCATTACTGTACACGTAGGATTAGTGCTGACTGGTGTGCAGTAAATTAATTCTTTTAACAGGTTTAGGTTTTTTTCAGGTAATTGTTCACATAGCATTCACTATATTTAGCTCTTGGGGTGGACATAAAGACCTTCTGTACCTTTTAAACAAAGATTTTATTTCAAAAGCAAATTTATGTTTAAATGTGTTGATGTAAAAAGCTCCATTTTTTTCAGTAAACATGACTTAGATTGAAAGACCAATTTATTCGTTGTTTCCAATTACTATGTAATTTTTGCTTTTCTTGCATCTTTCTCTTGCTTTTAAAAGCTGTAAGATGTCATTAACACTGCATTTTTTTGTCAATCTTTCCTAATGGTTGGCAAGAACTCATTTATATTTGCTTTGCTCTAATGTAGAAAGCATATGAGTAAAACAGCACATTGAAAGCCGTGTCACTGTAGTTTATTGAATTAAAAATAGTAAGATTGTGGCAGTTGTTTCTGTAAGTATTTATGTATTGTCCCCTTAAGGAGTATTTTTAAGCATGCATTATGTTAGGGGAGTTTAATCTAGTACATTTCATTTATATGAAATAGTATTCATTTTATTAATGTGTACATCTGTGTTTCTAAGGCTGTAATATAGTTAGTGGTTTCTGGGAACTGGGGTTTTCTTTTTTAAGGCTATTAAAGTAAATGATTTTTAGATTTAATAGCATAATATTTAAAATGCCCTATTCTATTTGAAATTCACAAATCCTATTAATATAAAATTTTAAAGTTATAGGTAATATAAATCATTAACATGAACACCATTTAACATTATTTAATGCTTGAATTTCAAAATTATTTTCTAGGAAATGTCAAACTAGGTCTTATTTACTGAATAAAGAAGGAGTACTGAAGTCACTATCATTAAACATCTATATTCTCATCCTTCATATGTTCCGGTATCACTAAAAGAGAAGGGAGCATGTTGATAGCATTGTATAAAAATTCTTTACCTCGGGGAAGATTTACATTGCTTATGATATCAGAGGAGGGTATATGTCGTGTCATTTATTTTGGTAGTTACAGTGCAGGGGATGTATTTTCAACAGGCCTGAGAGTCAGCCTATCCTTTTCAAACTATTGCCGGCCAAATGGAACTATAGAATTCATTCCACAATATTTGTTGAAGACTCATGTGAATTGAAAGTAAAGCTCTTATTTTTTATAATCAAAATTCAGTGCTTATTTTAAAGAAAGTAATACAAAGTTACTATTAAATAGGCAGTTTTTCAAATATTTTTTCAAAAAGGTGTAGTTTCAGGAAACTCACATAAAAATACTTCCTAACATCATTAATATTGTGCAGTAAGACATCAGCTCTCTTAACGTCAAGTAGATTACCTAGAATATAGGAATATTAATAATATTAAAGGTATATTGAAACTTTGCTTACTACAAAGAACGTACGATCAATTTCAGTAATCCTTAAATATCTTCTGGCAGATTGTTTTGTGCCAGTATTTAACTCATGGATTTTGTAATTTTATAACTTATATATTTTTAAACATCGTGTTGCTGCTAAAAATTAATTTGATTAAATTTTAGAAGGCGAAGACTTGATTCTGAGCACTGTGTCTGCTATTCTTAGAGCTTCAGCTAAGATTCCATTCAATAAAGAATAGAAAATTAAAATACCATACCTTAGAGAATGCGGAATCTCTTGCTTAAGGGACATTTGGATTTTCCAGCTCAAAGAGTATTTTAGATTATTGCCATAGAGAATAATGTGAAGCTCTTCCTAATTTCAGAAGTAACTATGCATAAGTAACAAATAGTTACCAAGTTTTTGTAGTTGAAGAAGAATGGAAAGTACTGGAGCGTTAATTTCCATTCAGGAGAATATCTGTCTTGATCCGTGGTTAATTGATCATATATTTCTCTCATACTTGTATTAAAATTGCATTGACTTAGACTGCTTAAGCATATTAAGAGCTTGGTTCATTTGCATTTTCTTATAAGTAGAGGGACATATTAGGCTCAAATAGCAGCGCTTCATTTTGAAGGGAAAAAAAGCAGGGCAAAAACTCTTTTTTAAGACTGTAGAGTCTTTTCTGACAGCTAGTCAGAGTTAGAATTAGTTCAAGGAAATGTTAATAATGCACTGCCTGGCCTAATCCCTTTGATATCACCAGGTATCCTCCTGTTCATGGGTTAATTGCTTTAAAAGCTAAGGCAATATTCTGAGCGGTGGGCCGCTTCACCTTTTCACAGCTGTTACCATTGAGTGACAACTAAATCCCATGTGTAAGATGAGGAAGAGCTCAATCTCCAATTGGGAGAAAATTTATGTAAACCACAATCCCTTCAGAATGTGCGGAAGTCATAGACTTTCTTGATTTACTCTGCTTTTCCCAGAAAGCTCTATTGTTCACTTTCCTAAGTCCCATCAACCCTTTGTAGCAGAATATCACAGCGGCAGCAGATAGCTTGAAATATATAAATGCTATCATAGCTCTGATTAATAGCAGTGCTTATGAGTCAAGTCTGATAACAGTGCAGCTCTCCACTCAATTTCAGATACTGCTAATGGAATCTGTCTTCTCCAATTGTAATATGAGAAGGCCTAATTTGCCATGGAGCTTGGAGCTGTCACCAGTAGGGGATTGTGGGGTCAGATGGGAGCTGCCAGGTTTTTGCCCTGCAGCTTGTATCTCTCACTTTGAATAGAGCAGCCCCCGCCTGCCAGTTAGCTGATAGGCCGCCGTGGGGTTTATGCCACTATATACAATAGGAAAGGGCTACATAGGCTGACTTTATAATTGTGAAGCTAGCTCATATTTGCACAGCTACTGTGCTGCATAATTTCTAATAAGTGGTTTTAACAAATGTCAGATTATGAAAAGTTTCCTCAATTACAAAAACTTAAAAAACATTTAAATTGCTAAATCTGTTTCCTGCCGAGATTTTGCCACTGGAACTAGTCATCAGTTATTATGGTTGTGATAATAAATGCACATATTTCTTTAAATTACAAATAAAATTATAGATCATAACTCATATAGATTTGGTGCTTTTCAGAGCCATAAAAATAGAAAATAGTCTTAATGAATTGAGATATTAAGATACACTAAATAACTTTGCATAAGACTACTTAATATTAAATCTGTATTGTTTATTAAGTTGGTTAGTATTGCTGATGAAAGTAGTTTAATACCCTCATTCTGTTGACTTTAGTTATTTGGATGTTCTGCCTTGACTTCCTATACTTTTAGTATCTTAACATTCTAAGAATTACGTAGCATCTTCTAAGTTTTCAGTTAGAAAGGACTTAGCGTGATGATATGCCTTGGCCGGTGCCTTTGAGAATACTCTGATGGAATATCCTTTTAACCAATTTCAGTCTTGCTCCTGAATGCAAAATACATTTTGAAGATTGAGTAACAAACTAATCTTGAGGTTTTATATGTTTTTATACATTTTAAACAAAATCGACTAAAATATGTAATTGGGGAGTTATTTTAAACCAGGCTGTACCATTGTGCAAGTTACCTGGCATACTGTGAAAACTTAGTAAAACGTGAAGTAAATTGCGGTTGTTCCTATAAAGCCTAGTTGAATGTTTTCTTCCACATATTCAGGAATAAGTTGATGGAGTATAATAAAATGAATTGTTTTAAACTTTAAATAGCTTTATCATTTAATAGCTAATGCACAACTCTTAATTCTAATGGAAATTTTGTGATTACATTTTATTTATGGGAGCTATTCCTAACCTTACTCCCTGCATTTTAGTTGTGCTTTTTT
Source organism: Homo sapiens (assembly GCF_000001405.40). Taxonomy (NCBI): domain Eukaryota; kingdom Metazoa; phylum Chordata; class Mammalia; order Primates; family Hominidae; genus Homo; species Homo sapiens. Next base: position 56,591,998 of record NC_000014.9, read on the forward strand.
CCTTTTTGAAGGCTTTAAATTTTTTACTCTAATTTTATGTAGTGGTTTTGAATCAGGAATAATACTTTATACTTTCCTTTTAGAGTACTGGTAGTGAATATTTATATAGCTGAAAATTCTGGGTAAAACAGTTCTCCTTTTGATCAAACCTCATGAAGTAGAACTAACCTTAGTAAGTTTTTATCTGGAATGACAGTAAATTTTTCTAAAATGTGGAAGAAAGGACTTATTTGCAAATTCATTAAAGATGGAAATATTTTAAATTTTTTTAGGTTCAGTGGTGATGGCTTCACAGATGTACCTTTTATATCATGTCCTAAATTATTGATTTATGTTCTTAGGTCTAAACTTGACAATGAAAAGATTTATAATCTACTGCTCTTTCAGTGGCCTCATTATAATTTTCCCACAGAGTACCTGGCACGTGTTAGATACCCAGAACATGTTTGTTGAAAGAATGTTGAGTGAGCTGCCACCAAAAGAAGGAGGCTTAGCAGAACTTAGGTTTTCAGTAACTTAGCTCCCTAGTTTCACCATTCTCCAGGTAGACTGGAGAGAGAAATACATGGTGTTGATTATATGAATAAGCCTGAAGGGAACTTTTATATCATTTTCATGACTAGGACCCAGAAAGATAAGAACATGGAAGGATAAGGGTGGTAGATTTGCTGTTTATTTTATCCTCCTTTATCATACTTCTTCCCTGTAGTCAGCTGCACTATTTTAGTAGTCACTATGAATTGACACTAATAGTAATTTATTAAACAATAACGTTCAGATGCTGCACTGTGGTCTGCCCAGTCAAATTCCACTTCAAGTAGGAATTCTCAGTACACTCAGTATAGACGTAGGGCAGTGTACCTTCCGTGTTGGGTTCTTTGCATGCAAGTAGCACTGAAGACAAATATATTCATGAATTTTATGAGGCATGTCAAATGTGTGTTCGGAAAGAATTTCAGGTTTCTGTTATTTGCCTTTTGATTAAGGGTTAGACAAACATGTGACTACACATGAAAATCAAATACTGTGTAGTGGAAAGAAAAATATACCTTATCAATAGCAAACCTGTGTCAATGGTGTAAATTGTAACCTTGTGATTTATCCATTGTGTCAACAGATGAATAGTATTCCATCAGTGAGAAAACTACTATGCAATCAGTACCTTTCTTAGGAATCTTATCTGGGTCTCATGAATTTTGTGGACCAAGAAAAGAAGACAGTTATGGTTTAAGCAGAGAATTCTGTTGCTCACATTTGATGCTTAATAGCATCACATCATCCTTACTCCAGTGGAGAATTTCTGTCATTTGCATGATCTGGGTGAGATTTTAAACACTTGACTGCCCTTCCCATACTATCTGTCATACTCTTGGTGTGTCTTTTTTTGTTGACTAAACACTGTGCTCTCCTGGAATGTGAATTACGTGGTTTTATTATTAACCTAAGTAAAAAGCAATCAGGAAGATTTATCTACTTCAAACATACTGTAAAGTATATTTTTTATATAAAGTATAAAATTATTTATATAAAACAAAATGTACTTAAATGACTTTTGGATTTGATATTTTGAATAATCTATATCAGTGCTTTCCTCCGTTATTATGAGATCTTAGAATTAAGTTTACCTCTCTAACAGTGTCAAAACTTGATTTTGATTATTGGTATTGACAGGTGAGTGTCTTTTTTTTTTTTTTTTTTTTTTTTTTTTGAGACTGAGTCTCGGTCTGTCGCCCAGGCTGGAGTGCAGTGGCGGAATCTCGGCTCACTGCAAGCTCCGCTTCCCGGGTTCACGCCATTCTCCTGCCTCAGCCTCCCGAGTAGCTGGGACTACAGGCGCCCGCCACCGCGCCCGGCTAATTTTTTGTATTTTTAGTAGAGACGGGGTTTCACCTTGTTAGCCAGGATGGTCTCGATCTCCTGACCTCATGATCCACCCGCCTCGGCCTCCCAAAGTGCTGGTATTACAGGCGTGAGCCACCGCGCCCGGCCGTGAGTGTCTTTTATAATACAAGGGCTGTGTTATTAAAATTATCATAGTGGTGGTGGTTGAAGATTGTGATCTTTTCCTCATATGACCTAATATGATTTTTATCTTTCTGTAAGTCAGATTAGATGATTAAAATATGTATTTCATTTGAAGGAATACCTCATTTGACCTTGCTCTGTTTAGGCTTTGTAAGAATTAGATTGAGAATGGAAAACATTTTTTTCTCATATCTAATTTATCATAAAGTGTTCTCAAGTTAAAATAGAAAATAGTTTAAACTATTAGCGATATATCTGTGAGTTCTGGTGAAAAGAGTTCTCATTTATTCACAACCTCATTTGAATTTCTCTTTTGCTTTTAGTTTGGTTGAAGTAATAATCAATTTCAGTGGGAACAAAATGTCTTTTCACTTTAATGGGCTGATTTTAAGATTCTACTTTAGCATGTTATTAACTCCTTAGTTGCTTTTTTAAAATAATAAGCATATTTGTTCAAAAGAATAAAATGGAAATTGAAAACAGGTCTCCTGGATTGCCAAGTGAAAATACAATCATGTTTTTGATTATGTCATTTTTATTTGAAAAAATCATCAGACTTACTCTACGGGTAGATGACAATGGTTTGTCTGTCTTATTTTGGGTGTAGTTTTATTTACAGTTCATCTGCACTTTAGACTTTATGGATTATACAAGATAGCTTGTTTTGTGAGCTCAGATTAACAATTTCATTTAAATCTCCTATTTAAATAATGTCAGGTTGGACATTCCTTCCATTTATTTTTAAAAGAAAGATTACTTAAATCAGAAATTTGGACTACCAATTCATTTAATAGTATTGTATGCAAAAGATTTATGAATAATATTTTGCTCTACATATATAACTCTGCCAAAAAAATTTTAAATATATGTTGTAGTCTTTCCAGGGGAAAAATTTTTTATAGAGTATGTCTCCTGATTAGAGTTATTCCCAAAAAGAGATTGCAACTAACTTGCCTGATCACTCACTCACAGGTTCCCTTCATTGATAGCGATGATAATTGGCCAGGATCATAAGATAATAAAGGCCCCAGTGATCAAAAAGGATAGTGGATTAATTGGAAGCTCTAGGAATTCTGTAAACTCATAGGAAAATTGCTTTCTTTTAAACTCATAATAAACAGATGATAAAAGTGCTTCTCAGTAATCTCTCTTAGCAAGTGTAAGACTAGATATGCCTTCAGATATATTTGTAGTTATGATTTTTGTAGCATCGCAACCTCATTTGAATTTCTGCACAGGTAAAAAAGCCTTCTGCACGTTCAACTTTTTTTTTCTAGCTCCAATATGTAGTGTCTTATTGATATGGAGGGTTCATTGTTGTTTGGCTCAATAAAATATAAAATGGGAAATTTGATGTGTTTTGTTTGAAATTTCACAAAAGTTTGAGAAAATTAAGGAACCTTCTTTACAAATCAATGTGTGAAAGGCAATATGAGTAACTGTGAACCTATATTTTATTTTATTTTCTTTTTTGGAGTCAAGGATATCACTCTGTCACCCAGGCCAGAGTACAGTGATGCTATCATAGCTCACTGCAGCCTCAACCTCCTGGGCTCAAGCCATCCTCCTGCTTCAGCCTCCCACAGACCTGGGACTACAGGCATGTGCACCACGCCCAGCTAATTTTTATTTATTTTTATTTTTTAGTAGAGATGAAATCTCACTATGTTGCCCAGGCTAGTTATGAACCCCCAAGCACAAGCGATCCTCTGCCTCAGCCTTGCAAAGTGCTGGGATTACAGGGATGAGCCACCATGCCCAGTCTATATTTTATTATTCTCTTTGAAATATTTATTTTATAGACAAGGAATAAAGTAATATGAAAATAAAAGTTTTTAAAAATAAATTATTACTTCTATACCCTTGCCAAAAGAATATTTAAACACTTGAATTAAGGTACAGAATGATAAAATAATATCCCTTAGTTTCTGGAAGATCTATCCATACAAACATCATTTTATTTAAGAAAAAAAATCAATGTAACAAGTTTAAAATGAATTCTTTAATTTTTCCCTTAATAGCATTTGTTACCAAGACACCATTTATATAGTAGTAAAAGACAGCAATAATAAAGGACATGGCTCTTAAACAAAATTTACCCCAAGACCAAAACATCTTTTGTCTTAATTTTTTGCAGTTTAAAAAAATATTTCTTTCCAAATAATGGTGTAAGTAATTTTATCAAGCATTATTTGAAAATGTTTGGACCTACATTGAGGTCATTAGAAACCATTTCTACTTGGAGGGCATTAAAAACTATAAATAAAGTATGTCTTAAATAATATATATATGGGAAACAATTAGTTTTTCAAAAAATCAAATAGTTTTTCTAGGGACACACACACATATATATGTGAGAGTGTGTGTGTGTGTGTGTGTGTGTGTATATATATATATATATATACATACACACACATATACATATATATAGAGAGATATATTTTTAATTAAAAAATATATCAGGCCGGGCATGGTGGCTCACGCCTGTAATCCCAGCACTTTGGGAAGCCGAGGCGGGTGGATCACCTGAGGTCAGGAGTTCAAGACTAGCCTCAACATGGAGAAACCCCGTCTCTACTAAAAATACAAAATTAGCCAGGCGTGGTGGTGCATGCCTGTAATCCCAGCCACTTGGGAGGCTGAGGCAGGAGAATTGCCTGAACCTGAGAGGCGGAGGTTGTGGTGAGCCGAGATCGTGCCATTGCACTCCAGCCTGGGCAATGAACAAAACTCTGTCTCTGTCTCAAAAAAAAAAAAAAATTAAAAAAAAAAATATATATATATACACACACACACCAATATGCTGATAGGTTATCCAATATTATCAATAGTCCAAAAATAATTTTTTGACTTTGTAATACATTATATAGAAGATTTTAAGTTCTTAAAATCTGGTTTCTTCATAGTGTTTTGATTAGGTTACAGTTAAAAATTTATATTCCTCTGGGTCTTTTTTTAATAAATATAGAAAGATCTATTTCATACCTATTTATTGCGTTTAATTGGATGAGAACCTAGAGAAGGGGCAAGTATCCTAGTCTTAGAGAAAATATTTCAGGGAATACTTGCAAAAGACGATGCTTATACTGAGTTGTAAACAGTTACGTGGGAGTTAGCAAAGTGAAGGCAAAACAGTGTTCCACATACAGGTTAAACATCCCTAATCAAAAAATCCGAAATCTAGAATGTTCCAAAATCTGAAACTTTTTGAATACTGACATGATGCCCAAAGGAAGTGCTCATTGGAGCATATTGGATTTCAGATTTTCTAATTAGAAATGTTCAACTGATATGTGTTCTTCAAATATTCCAAAATCTGAAAAAATCCAAAATTTGAAACACTTCTGGTCCCAGGCATTTCAGATAAGGGATCCTCAACCTGTAATAGAGAACCTCATTTGCAAAGAAACCCCGAAGTGGAGAAACAGCTTTTAAGTATAGGGACTTGCAAGTCATTTAGTGTTGATGAAACATAAAGTTTGATGTGTTACGTTAAAAGACCAGATCATGAAAGGTTTTTTATGTCATGATGAGGGGCTTATATTATGTTTTATCATTAAAGGAGAGGTCATTAAAGGGTTGGAGTCAGAAATGTGAGGTCAGATGTTTTGAATCTCTTACTCTGTTGGCAATGGCGGGCATAGGACTGGGGGCAGATGGCTTACCATGTTGTTGGATTGGTTTGAGTCTGAGGTGATGATAATAGCTAAAATGGGATGGTGGTGGTATGGATGGAGGGAAGATTAGCTTTAAAAATTATTATGAAATGAAATTGGCAGGATGTGTTATTTTCAACAGAGAGAGAGAGAGGGAAAAGAAGCTTTGATGATCACTACCAGGTCTCTTAATTAACTAGGTAGATAATGAAAGTCACTAAGATAGAGAATACAGGAGTAGGAAATCATTTTTAGAAAAGAGAATGAGAAATTAATTTTGTACATGTTGACATTGAGGTTCTATGGGGCATCCAGAGTTGTACTGGCATTGGGGTGTACCATAGTTGGTTGGAGATATTTAAGTCCAACAGTACAGGAGAGTGCAGTGCTGGGAACAGATCTGTTTTTTTCAGTTTGTGGTTAGCAGTTGAAATCAAGATGGTGGATAAAGTGACTCTAGCCACCTAGAGTGTGTAGAGTGAGAAAAGCAATTGTCTGAGAATGAAATCTGGGGAAATAACCAGCTTTAAAGAAATTAATGGAAAAAGAGGAGACATTCAGAAAAAAAACACAGAAGGAAGATCAAGAGCCAAAAAAGGAAAACCAGGGGGATATGCGGTCCCAGACATCAACTCGGTAAAGTGTGTCAAGGGGAGTGGTCATCAACAGGGATCAACACAGCAGAGAGGTCCAGAAAGCCTGTTGCCACTGGAGACCTCAGCAAGAGCAATTTCACTAGAAGGCTGCAATGAGAAGAGAGGTAGATGCTGCAGATGTGGACTTGTGAGGCTGATACTGAGCCTAGCCCTCACCCTGAAATGTGTCTTCATGAAATCATCCCTAATGCCAACCTGCTTTGTAGTCATTTATCTTTGTCTCACTAAGGTGAAATGAAGCATGCTCAGATAATGCATAGGAAATATGACTTGAGCAATATAATGAGACTATCTTCTTACAGAATCAATGAATTAACTGAAGACTTTCAAAGTCTTCAGAAAATCATCATCCTTATCACTACTAGCATCATCCTTTGATGTGTCAGCACAAATCACAGACATAACTTGCTGTGTCCTGATGGGGTCACGGCTCCTTAGTAGCATGCATGTGAAGCCATGGCACTGGGCCACAGACCTGTATTTCTACATTGCACTCAGCCTGCAGACTTACTAGTGCACATGTACCAACTACTGGCAGACTTTCAGGACAAATACTTAGTTTTATTGAAAATCTTAGGATTTTGAGAAAAGCTTTTTAAAACTCTGTTCCATCATTGGCTGCTTTCAACAGTAGAGTCTAATCTTGCTTAACTGGCCTGTTCCATCCACTAACAATTTGATGTTCCCTTCCCCAACCCACTTTTCACTCCCTGGTATGACTTTAGCTTTCATTTCATTCATTTCATTAATGGCTCACACTGTCTGCGGTGTAATTGGCACCCACAACCCTTTGCTCATCCTTCTTACCTCCTCCATTAGCTCCCTACTGGCTTTACTTCCTTTTCTATTCAGTCTAGGCCCCATGATTCATTACTTTAACTCCCACTCTTGTCCTTCTGTCCTTTTGCCCTCCTGTCCCTCTGACCTAGTAAAGCCTCAAAGGATGGCTCCATCCAGCTTCTCCAGGATAAAATAATATTTTATTTTATTATTATAATAAAGCCTGGTTCAGGCTACTGCAGACCTATCCACAGCCATGTGTACTGACGCTCCTGCTCCATCTCCACAGTCTCTGTAGTCTTCAAACTCAGCTGAGCATTAATTGCTACCTACAAAGCCTTGTGTGTATCCTTCTTGAGCTGTGGAATTTTTCCATAACAGATGTTTCAAGTTATCTCAACTTCTTCATCCACTAGTTTGTATATGTTACATGGCAAGTAACTGTTGATTGATTCTGAGTCTTAGCATAAGGTAAACTTTAAAAAAAATTTGTATTAGCAGAGGAGTCTTCTTATACATGTAGCTCTGATAAACTGGCTCATGATCTTCATGATCTTCAGTATGTTTTCGTTGCTGCATAACTGGATAAGGTGTGAAGGGAAAACAAAAACAAACAACCTCCTGATTTGGAAGACTTAGCTGAACCTATCTTTGGAAACAGAATCAATTAAACATGTATGTGTTACTTGGACTAAATCCAACATAAGCCCATACAAAATGGTAGTTCAAGCATCTCAAGTTTTTTAGAGAATGTTAGAATCTATTGTTTAAACTGTCTGTCATCCTCTTTGCAAAAATCCAAAGTCATTTGGGTCTTAAAAATTATTTGAATAATTTTTCTTCCAAAATGAAAAGAGATGATGATTAGTCAGATACAGTAGACAATTTGGTCAACATTTAAATAAGCAGTAAATAGCCCACATATTAACTGTCATAAACTTTTAAAGGCAGTGTGTTGAAATATGTGCATTTTAAGGAGCATTCAGAGTTTGACTTATAAAAATCCTATTGAAATCAAAGAAATTCATACAGGCTTATCACATATAGATTATTGTACGAAAACATGAATACTGGGCCCTCCAAAACATTTCATATTCCGTATATCCTATGTATGGACGTACACATGACTTTCTGCTCTTAGAGGCGTACGTCCTCTCTTCTGTTTTGCGCAAGACTAGGAGAACAGGAGCATTTTATTTTCAGAATTTTTACACAGTTTTCCTTGAAAAAATAATGAGAAGTATAATAAAGAGGGAAGACAGTGTGTTTCAGTCAGGGTTCTTGGTTGCAAGCAGGTGACTCTAGCTGTGGTTAGCCGAAAAGAAACATAGTAAAATGAAGTCGGAAAGAACTCTACAATTCAATAATAAAAAAGCAAATAATCCAATTTAAGAAATGAGCAAAGGGTCTGAATAGACATTTCTTTAAGGGAGATACACAAATGGCCAATAAACACAGAAAAAGATGCTCAGCAGCATTAGCCATTAGGAAAATGCAAATCCAAACTTCAGTGAGATGCCACTTCACACTGACTAGGATGGCTAGAATTAAAAAGCTAAATAGTACGTGCTCACTAGGATGTGGAAAAATCAGACTCTCATACACTGCTGTTGGGAAACAAACATTGAAAGATCCACTACGCTTTTGTGTGCAGTACATTAGGACACCAAGGCAAATTCCTGTAGACTTAGTTTGATTTCCAGGCAAGTTCATCTGATGCTAAAAAGGTTGAGATTTTAGATTTGATTTCCATTACTGGTTTCATAATCAGTTACCTTGTCTTCTACTATTTTACTCAGTGGTTTCACAAATTATTTCTGTAATGCCAAGGAAAATCAGGTGAAACAGTACATGGATTGCAACATCATCTTGACCTTAGTGGGGAGATGGAGAGAGAAAATTCAGATTATAGACCTTGCTGCTATGGGATTAGTCTTCAGTAAAATACTCATGTACCTAACTTTGTGTAACAATCTAAGGTAACCAGATAAATGTTATCATCGAAGTCAAAAATTTTACTTTACATTCTTCAATTTTTAAAACCTTATGAAATATTTGAAAAGGCAGTTAATGGAGTTCATAATTCTAATATTTAATGTCAACAGTTCAAATGCTTTAAGATGCCTTTCTGAGTGTAAGAATATGTGTTAATCATTATAGATTAGTGAATGTTGAGTTTTCTTCCTGAGGATTCATTTATATCAGGATTTTATTCTGCTTAGCTTCAGGTAACACATTTCTGCAGGAATGTTATAGAAATGATGCTGTATTCTTTTCACTAGAATAGATTGGGAAGCATATGATGTTTGTCCTATTACTAATGCTGTTAATTTTGGTCCTGTGGTTAAGATTGTGTCTGACAGTTTTCACCACCGTAAAGTTACCATTTTTCCCTTGGTAATTCATCTATTTATAGGAGGTACCTTGAGAGACTATACATATTCTGTTACTCCAAAACTTTTACCCACTAGTTTTGGTATTCATTGATTATTATTAAGATGGCTGCCAAATGGTAATTTCTAATTCCATCATTTCTTCTACAATTATTAGTGACTTTCTATGGAAAGGCCAATGATGTCCTTCTCACCTATTTATTTATATCACTGGATTCATGGTTTCTTATGAATTAAGTGATTTACAAGCTGTTACTATAATTATTTTTGATGCTTAAATTATCCCAGATTTGCCCAGTGGGAGCCTCTTTAAGCTGGCTCCTGTGTCCTTCTGTCATGCCCCCATCATTCTTTGAGCACTTACTTACTTTCTGGCACAAGATGTTTCAGACTAATTTTGTGCTAGAGCTACCCTGGCTCTAGAATCAGCCATTTCTCCAAGGATGCTAATTTCGGTTTTAAATAGAGGAAGGAATATTGTATCTTATGCTGACTTTCCTGAATAATATTGATATATGAAACATAGAAGTTCCTTTATAAATGTTAGAAATACTTTAATTTGTTCTTTCATTCAGTAAGTTTCCTTTGTGTGTTTGGGGCTAGATACTTCCAATATAAATGAAATTTAACTCCAATTCACATTTCAAAAACAATGGTAAAGTAATTGTTACAGACAATTAAATACTATAGATGTACAGAATGGGCTAAAAACCTAGGAATTGAAGAAACATTTGAGAAAGAAGTAGGATTTAAATAAATAGAAAGGAGCAGGGAGGACTTTAGATTCAGGGGTACAGAATGAGCAAAGGTATAGTGCTAGGCATAGGCATGTCTTATTAGGAAATTTTGATGAGCCTGACTAATTGGTGGAGAGAATAATGTTGATCATTAGTGAATGAGTGGGATCCAGTTTATTGGAAGCCTGGATTCTAGGCTGACTGATTTAGAACTTATCCCTCAAGCAGCGGAGAGTCCTTAAGTTTTTGGGCTGGGTAGTCATAAAGGATATGTTTTAGGAAACTTGATGTGATGTTATATTGCAGAATAGATTGAAAAACAGAAGACAAATTAGGGAACTCTTAAAATAATTAAGTGTAAGGCAGTAAAAATACAAATAGGAATGAGTAGACAGGAAAGTAATTTGGAAGGAAGAAATAATAATGTGTTGAATCAGGATCGCTGGAAGAACGGGAAGCTGAAAGAAATGGGAAACTGCTGATTTTTTAAGAGAAAGAAAACAAATAAATTGCAAACAGAAAATCAAAGTAAAAACAGGTTTACTGATATTGAGATTTTTATTTAATCATTTAAAAATAATGATTGACTAAAGCCATAGAACTACCCTGTAACTTTTTATACAAAAGGATACAGTTGAAAATCAATGGTTTGGAGCTATAGAATATGATAATTGTTGGACGCAGTAATGCTTGCTGAATTTTCTAACACTATTAGAAATAGGCATTTCATAATAGCTTTCATTTTCATAGTTTTAGATTAATAAGGAAATAGAAAGTTGTTTTGGTTTGATATGCACTAGTAAATTCATCCACACTACCAGTCTCAAAACAAATCTCTGAACCGAGATCCAGATTCCTGATTGTTTTAAATGGTATGGGTTTTGTTGGCATTTGTGGGTGAGAAATTTGTTTCTGAGTGTAGCATCTGATTCTTCTGGTGTTATTGAAATTCACATTCCCATCTTCTTCTTTAGAAAAAAAATTAGTTTTAACTTCACCGTTGTCTAAAGAAAAAAAACCCTTGCAAAGTAAGAAATGCACTGTATAAGATATTGAAATCATCAGATATTGTGATCAAGACATTCTTTGCCATATGCTGAGAGATGAAAATAGAAGGTACCTAGGTCCAAACATTCTACCTGAAGTGAGAATGCATTTTTCTGAATAAATATTTTTTCATTTCATTAATTTTTACAATCAAACATTTAGGTCTTAACTAGGCCATCCTTCTTCATGGATGGAGCAAGAAAATGACACAGGTTTGTTCTCTCTGTAGCTACTGTGTCTTCAGGTTTTCTGAACTGGCGTGAATCCTAGCAGTTAACATCTGAGGACTGAACCTCATTCTAGCCATAGGTTAGTTTATTTGTTCATTAATAGGTTAACATATGAACTTCCTAATTAAAATCTGTTGAAGGAAATTATTATATGAGTTAATGTATTAACCATATAATGTGTTGGAGTAGTGCTGGGTGACTATCATAATTTCTGCTGGTACAGTTTACCAAAAGGAAAATAAAGTTAGTTCTTTTTGTTGGAAAAGAAGATTTCATGTTATCTGTGTTTGCAGGCTTTCTGGCTCATCTGCTGGAGGAATCCTTGCTGCGGGGGTGTTTTCATTTTCTCGTCTAACATGGCAGTGGTCCATTGCAGCAGAGGTTTTTAGCTTAAACAATCTCTTTGTGGGGCTGCTTATGGCTCTTACTGTACATTTTGAGGAAGCAGCAACTGCTAAGGAGAGATCAAAGGTAACCTATTTTGATCAAAGTGAAATCAGTTTTTGTTTTAATTTTTAGACAGATGTATTTCTTTTTAACTTTGGCTTAAATACCTTTTATCTATTCTGATTACAGTCGGGATAATCTAGCATGCTGAGAGAGAAAATGATCTCAGTCTTTTTTATTATGGATGGAACCAGGATAGCCCTTATAAAACATGGCGCTTTTCTTCCCTCAGAGTTCAAAAGTTTTTTGGAGAATTAGAGGATTATAAAATCCCCTGTGTGTCCGGTGGGAAAGATAGGCTTGTTGCTTAATTCACCATCATTTGTTTGTGTATATTATCAGAAGGTGCCAAGCTCTACACTGGCCCCCTTAAATTAGGATGCATTGACTCACTCCTTAATTGCCAAAAAAGGTCAAATTTGTAATCTACTAACTAAAAGAAGAGTATCAAATGTAAACCATGAAGTAGTTCAGAAGAGATTACAATGAATTTTAAGACAAACACTATCATCAAAATCACTTGACATGTGAAAGAACCCTATCTTCTAAGAACTTAGAGTCTATACATTGGGAAATGCCAAATCATCTTAGTATAGGCAGCTTTGTGTTGTTAAAGAGTGTAGAAACAAAAGAACATCATGGTTTATATGTGGTTTCCTGTGATGCTATTAGAGGGGGTTTTTGGCTTAAAAAATATCTGATTATGTTAAAAAAATTATTCAATACACTTTTTAAAGAGTGAGAAGGCACACTGTTCAGGTTCAGGTATAGGGACAACTGCAATGGGGTTTTGTAGTAGGGGAAAGAAATCAGGCTCAACTCCAAATACAAGGAAAAGTGGGAATTCATAGCCAAGGAGCAGTGTGGGAGTCAGTGTATGGAAAATTACTGAGAGGAAGCATCAGCGGTAAAGGGAGATTTGACTGAATTCTTGCTGAAAGCAAGCCAGGGTGATCAGACTTCACCTAGGGAATGGTAGTGGATGAAGAACTTGATCAGATATTGAGAATTAGTGTTCTGGCTAAACTGACTTGACAGGATTGATGCTAAAACTGGACAATGCAGAGATGAACATGGAAACTCAAAAGTCAGGACCTAATTGGGAAGAGTTCAGAGGAGCCTGACTTGAGTTTGGTCAACGAGAGAATCTTTGCCAGTTATGAAACTAACACATGTTGGAAAAACTCAAAACCAACACCCAGAGATAACCAGATTTCTAAATAAAAGAGGCTATATTTCATTTGTTTAATAGGAGAAAAAACAATTGCTGAATTTCAATTATAGATTTTACTTGAATAAGCATTACACAATACCCTATTACTATTACAACTTATCTATTTATCATACAGGATTTTCTAAAAGTTGGTTTGAAAACAGTTATTTAAGATCAAATTGCAATTATTTGATGAACTTGGAAAATATTAACAAAAATAATAGTAACAAATATGAATGATTATTAAAATAACTGCTTGCATCTTAGAGGTTGATTTTAACCTAACATGATACGAATGCTTGGTTTTAATATAAAAATGGCTTTTTATTATGTTCTTAGAGTTTTAGGTGAATTTTTTACTTAATTTTTTTTTTTAATTTATTTTCAGGTAGCTAAAATTGGTGCTTTCTGCTGTGGCCTTAGTTTATGTAACCAGCACACAATAATACTCTATGTTTTGTGCATAATACCTTGGATTCTCTTTCAACTTTTAAAAAAGAAGGTACGTTTTTGAATTTTGTAAAAAAAAGTACAATATTTTACTTAGGTCTAATATAACATTTTTGTCATGAGAAAATTTCAGGCTTTAATTTTTCTTGGGTTTCATGTAAAGCATAAATAACCCTAGGGCCTAACAATATTGACTGAAAAAAATAGGATTTACAAAAATTATGCAGTATTGATTGCAGTGGCATCTGGCCTGTTCCATAATTTTATGACTGATTCTGAATAGCATCTTGATGAAAGTAGGCTGAAAGGACTTAAAGCAACAATATCAAATTTTCTTAATTATCGTTTTATACATTCTAAAACACAGAGTGGTGTGCCATCATACTTCATTTATTTAACTGTGTGCCGAGTCCTTGCCCTGTGCCATATGCTTACTCCAGGTGCTGAAGAGTCAGCTCTCAACAAAACAGACATCGCTTCTATTGTGAACTAAATAATAAAATCTCTGGTAACAGTATTGTTTTCTCAAAACGGATTCCCTAGAATTAAAAATGATTTATTGTTATTTCTTCTTTCTCTGAAAGAAAAAAATGATTGTTAATTAAAATGGCAATATAAAGCAACAGGAAAATTACTTCATTAGGCAATGTGAGATTTAGGTACCCAGAGGTTAAAATAGTCTATATACAAAGCCAGCACTAGAGTCGTTTTACCTTATTGTTTGTTTGTGTACAAACTCAGCTTTACTTATCCTTTTATTATTTGTTCATTATACCCAGCTATAATCAGAATTATAATAGAAAACATATAAAACAAAATTATTATCTAGAAATAGGGAAATAATTATACCAAAGCTTTAGATAACTATATTTACTGTACTTGAACACATTTTGCTTCTTAGCTTCTTAACAGTAAAGCAAAAAGGGTAACACAGAGGTTATAAAATTTTTACAATGTGACTAAAAAGTAAGTAAAAAGGGCTGGGTGTAGTGGTTCACGCCTGTAATCCTAGCACTTTGGGTGGCCAAGGCAGGCGGATTGCCTGAGCTCAGGAGTTCGAGACCAGCCTGGGCAACACGGTGAAAGTCTGTCTCTACTAAAAATACAAAAAAAAGTAGCTGGGCTTGGCAGTGTGCGCCTGTAGTCCCAGCTACTCAGGAGGCTGGGGCAGGAGAATCGCTTGAACCCGAGAGGAGGAGGTTGCAGTGAGCCGATATCGCGCCACTGCGCTCCAGCCTGGGTGACAGAGAAAGACTCCGTCTCCAAAAAAATAAATAAATAAATAAATAATAAGTAAAAGGGAAACATAGCAGTTGACAGGAAAGAACTTTTCCTTGGCACTGAATTTTGTGAAGTCAATCACGTAAGTCCTTATGTAAATCTTATTAAACAGCATAACAGGCAGTGTCTTTAACAGTGGTTTTATAGTGTATATAGCAAGTTCTTTATATGGCCTTTTATTATATAAACCTTGATTAAAAATGGAGATACGAAATATAACTCAGTGAAGCTTTTCTATGGAATACGAGAAAGAGGCCCAGATATTTCTCTTGTGAATCAGTGGGGGTGGATGGATACATCTCCCTCTCGTATTGGTCATCTTAGCCAGACTTCCGACCTGAACAGACATCAGAGGGGTGCATTCTTAGCACATATTTCATGTTAATTGATTGAAAGGAGAGGCATATACTTTCTGTAAAACATGGAGGATTCAGAGTTGATAATTTCAGAGCCTGGACTAAGGGCCTGTTTTCCCTGTACTGAGGTAAGCTACCAGAGAGTGATGAAATTGTGAAAACTGTGACTCTTTATTTCCCATTAGTTAAAAAGCAGAGGCTAGAAAATAAGGCCTACCAATGAAGTAACAGGGTAGTTGGATCTCACTGGGAGATGACTGGAGACAGAGCAGAAAGTCCTGAGTCAGTTGGTTTCAACCCTGGCTGCTTACTTATCTGAGAAGCTTTTAAAAAGTCCGTGTTTGTTTGTGTGTATATATACACAGATGTACATGTGTATATAGTAATGTAGGTACATATGTATATATCTGTATGTACATATATACATAGGGACGTGTGTGTGTGTATATATATATGTATTTATTTATGCTACAAATTGATTCTACCCCAAAATAATTCTGATATAAGTGATCTGGGGTGAGGCCCAGACATCAGTATTTTTAAGAAGCTCCCCAGGTGATTTTAATGTGCAGTTAGGATTAGGAGCCACTTATTCCCCAACTCTGCAATAGCTCTCATGCAATTGTCTCCCTGTTTATTTCTCACACAAAAGGAAAATTCTGCAGCAACTCATCTTACCATTCTAAATTCAACTTTATAATATGCAGAAACTGTGCAAAAATAAGCATTTACTTTTTTAAAAACTAATTTTAAGAATAGCAAAGGCATGTTGTTAGATTAGTTATTTCTTATGCTCCTTTCATGCCATCATTTTTTATGCATCTCATTACTGCTATAGAAATCTCAAATGAAATCAGTACTGTAATAAAACACTTCATTTTCAATTAAGAATGTTTATTTGAAAATGCTAACATAAATCAACTGCTTGTTCTACTTCTAGTGAATGTGAACCTTGATTCTTATATTCATTCTCACATATGAATTTCTCTTTTTTGTAAAGGAAAAATTGGCAATTTCCAAATACGATATTTGTGAGAGACTACCTTTCCCAGTTACTAAAGTAAGCAGTATTTGAATCTTGGTTCAGATACACAGGAATTGATTGAATATATCAGAATTCATATTATTTTGGATTTAATATTTATAAAACTTTGTCGATATTGTCCTTTAAGAAAAGTATTTTACCAATGAGAAATATATTTTCCCAAATAAGGTGTATGAAGCAGCATTGTTATAACAACTAATTTTCTTTAATATTCTATCCTATATGTAAATTGAGGAGAAAAAAAGCATTTGGATGAGCTTGGAGTTTATATAAAAGCTAGTTTCATTTATGCCAAACATTTCTGTGAAATGTTCAAAACGCTTGTAGAAATAATTGTCAACATATAATCATAGTAATATATATAGTTGAAGTCTACTCCTAATGATGATGACAAAGTGAATTGGTCTTAGAATTGTATTTTGGGCATATTCAAAATCAGCCAAACAACACATAATCACTTCCAGGCAGGTTATCTTAGCTGTGCAATGCTGCTTGTCATGACATGGTTTTAAATGTAAGTGATGCAATAAACATGATACTCATGAGCCTTTGCTAATATTATTTGCTTCACTCAGCTTTCACCTGCCATGCAAAGGAGTTCAGGCTGATGCAATTTTCTAGTAATCCGTAGTAATCAGAAGGTTTAACATAGTATTCTGTGGTGACTTAATATAAATTGGGAGATCAGCTCTGAGTAAACATATTTGATGTTTTCCTTGATATGTTCTTGAAGTTCCGAGATGAATCTACTAAAATAAACATTGTTATACCACCCAATGTGCTCTGATGCAGGAACTCTCCCTGGGCTCTTTGTTGAAGTTGAGCCTGTACTTCTCTGCTGGTTTGCTGCCCTATGTCCACCTTCCCATCTCATCTTACCTTAATCACGCCCGGTGGACCTGGGGAGACCAGACAACACTGCAAGGATTTTTGACACATTTTCTCAGGGAAGAATATGGAACCTTCAGCCTGGTAAATTCAGATTTAAAGCCCTTCTAAGGAAACAAGTGGCAAAACTTCAGTGCTCTGCCTGGGCCTTGATTAAAAAAACAATATTTGTCAATGACAGTAGATCAAATGTTTGTTTTGGTTATTTATGTAACAAACTTGCCCCTTGGAATATGGCCTTTGATATATGTAAGAGAAAAGTCAGAATCACTTAATTTAACATCATGTAGTTGTATATCCTGAATATACTTTTTAGGATAGCAGTCATTAAAGTCTTCCACCTACAGTCGAAACATTTCAGTCTTGTTAGCAGTGAGTCACTATGGGTACTTGATCTGTGAATAAAACTATTTGGAAAAGATCGAAGGAAAAAAAATCCTCAATTTAAAAAATTTTCCTTGACCAAACCACTTCTTATTATTATTTATTTATTTTTTACATATTTCATGAACAGTTTTTATGTTAATGTCTAGTTTTTGAAACTCAAGACATATCTGTAAATGCCTCATGAGTTCACTAAATGGAAACAGTGTGCTCCAAAGAAGTTCAAAAGGCCTTGCTTTTCCTAAGACATATTAGGGGAACACATTAAATATAGTCACAGTAAAGATTATCTGAAAAATGAAAGGATGAGCAGAAGATTTTTTATTTTCATATAGACAGTTATATCAGGTTTTTCTTTCTTGGTTTGTACTTTTGTGTCCTACTTAAGAAGGCAAGTCTCAGAAGAGTATGTAGTATATAATACCACTTATACAAAACTCTAAACCATGAGAAACTAAACAATCTATTGTTCAAGGGTACATACAAAAGTAGTAGAACTATATATTTATAAAAAATAGGGAAATAATTAACACCAAATTCAAGGTAGTAGTTACTACTGTGGGATAAGGAAGAAAAAGTCTTTGAGGGCTTTGGGAGATACCTTATGATATTGATGAGGTTTTGTTTCTTTTTAAAAAAAAGAATTTTTTTTTTTATTTTGCTTTGTTTGTTTGAGATGGATTCTCGCTCTGTCACCCAGGTTGGAGTGCAGTGGCGCGATCTCAGCTCGCTGCAAGCTCCGCCTCCCGGGTTCACGCCATTCTGCTGCCTCAGCCTCCCCAGCAGCTGGGACTACAGACGCCCACCACCACACCTGGCTAATTTTTTTTGTATTTTTAGTAGAGACGGGGTTTCACCATGTTAGCCAGGATGGTCTCGATCTCCTGACCTCGTGATCCACCCTCCTCGGCCTCCCAAAGTGCGGGGATTACAGGCGTGAGCCACCGCGCCCGGCCAGTGAGGTTTTGTTTCTTAAATGAATGTTGGATCTGTAGATTTTTAAAAAGCTCTTTGACCCTTAAAGATGTATTATATATGTTTTTTATATGTAGGAGATGTTTCATAATAAAAAAGTATTAATTATTTTGACTTAGAGAGTTTGATACTTTACATTTATATTCTGCTTTAATTATTTTGGTTATTCCAGAAAAATATTGTCTGAAGACCATTCTAGATTTCAAATTTATATAATTCATACATAATTGTGAAATTTTAGATGAACAAGTTATAATGAATTTTAATCAAAGTGCTCATAAAGAGCTTAAGGAAAGTCTATAATGGAAGTATAAAAAGGTTATTAATTTATTAACATGTAAATCATTTTTGCTGGAATAGTTTAACTGATTTCTAGCCAAATATTCTTTTCTTTCTTTCTTTCTTTCTTTTTTTTTTTTTTTTTGAGACAGAGTCTCACTCTATCACCCAGGCTGGAGTGCAGTGGCGTGATCTCGGCTCACTGCAACCTCCACCTCCTGGGTTCAAGTGATTCTCCTGCCTCAGCCTCCTGAGTAGCTGGGATTACAGACATGCACCACCATGCCCGGCTAATTTTTTGTGTTTTTAGTAGAGACAGGGTTTCACCATGTTGGCCAGGCTGGTCTTGAACTCCTGACCTTGTGATCCGCCCACCTCGGCCTCCCAAAGTGCTGGGATTACAGGTGTGAGCCACCGCACCCAGCCTGCCAATTATTACTTCTAAAATTCTTCCTAAAGGGTGGCCAAATTAGTTTTCACTGACTTCTGTTTAAAAATTCAATAAGACTCTGAACTAAAGACTTTGAGTGAAGAGAAATGATACATTGTACATTTAAAACCTGTGTCTTTTAGACATACAGCCAAAAAGCATATGAAAAAGTGCTCAGTATCACTAATCATTAGAGAAATGAAAATTGGAACCACAATGAAATACCATCTCACACAAGTCAGAATGGCTATTATATGAAAAAGTCAAAAAACATGCTGGTGAGGTTTTGGAGAAAAGAGAATGCTTATACACTGCTGGTGGGAGTGTAAATTAGTTCAGCCATTGTGGAAAGCAATGTGGCGATTTCTGAAAGAACTTGAAACAGAATTACCATTCAACCCAGCAATCCCATTATTGGCTGTATACCCAAAGGGATATAAATTGTTCTGCTCTAAAGATACATACACACGTATGTTCATCACAACACTATTCACAATAGAAAAGACATAGAATCAACCTAAATGCCCATCAATGGTAGACTGGATTTTTTTTAATGTGATACATATACACCATGGAATACTACACAGCCATAAAAAAGAATGAGTTAATGTCCTAAGCGAACTAATGCAGGAGCAGAAAACCAAATACCACATGTTCTCATTTATAAGTGGGAGCTAAACATTGAGTACACATGGACACATATGTACTTAAGGGCAGAGGGTAGGAGGAGGGAATGGATTAAAAAAACTACCTATTGGGTACTATGCTTATTACCTGGGTGATGAAATAGTCTGTACACCAAACTCCCTTGACACGCAGTTTACCTGTGTAACAAACCTGTAGAGGTACCCCGAAACCTAAAATTAAAAAATTGTTTTAAGAAAACCCGAATCTTTTAAGATTATTAAAATACAATAGCCTAATAAAGCGTCAGTTTAATGCTTGTGCAGATAAACTTTTGTCTTTTGTGTTTAGGCCAAATCTGAAATAGGATCCAGTATGTCTGAAATACTGCTGTGAGTATGAAATATTTGAAACTACTTTAAAATGAATTCTCTATTAGTTCCTTTAAGTGATTTTAGGGATTTCTGAGTTCATCTCTTTGTAACAAAGTATGTCTGAGAAGTAGTTGTTACCTCTACAGTTAACAGTTGTTTGTGTTTACAGTTGTCCCTCAGTATCCATGGGGTATTGGTTACAGGAACTCCTAAGGATATAAAAATCCATGGGTGCTCAAGTCCTGATATAAAATGGCATAATATTTGTATATAACCTATTTACATCCTCTTGTATACTTTTAATCATCTCTAGATAATTTATACCTAGTATAATGTAAATGCTATGTAAATAGTTGTTATGCTGTATTGTCTAGGGAATTATGACAAGAAAAAACATCTGTATATGTTTGTACAGACAGTTTTTTCCCCAACTTTTTTTTTTTTTTTTTGATTTAAGGTTAATTGAATCCATGGAGGCAGAACCCATGGATACAGAGGGCCGACTGTACTGTCAAATATTTTTAGCACCTCCTTCACTAAGATAGAGCTTAAAATGAGCAATAAACACAACGGTGAATATTAGAATACTATATAGAGCATTTATAGAACTAAAATGTTTCAACCTTCAATTGAACAACTATTTTCTTGTTATTTTGGATTTTAGTATTTCAGAGTTTAATTTATGTAATGTCTCCTATGACTTCTTTAGGCTATCCTTGCCGTAAGCTCTATCTTTGGCTTACATATTTTTAACATCCAACCTTATTAGAGCTGGCTTAAGCAAATATATTTTCATGTATATTATTTAATAGTGTTCTTTGAAAACTGGGTTAATATTTGCTTTAAAACCTACAGATTAAGACAAGTGGAAAGATATCCATACCAACTTGATACAAAATTTTGGAAGAAAATAGGTTTCTACAACACTAAAGTGATGTCCTAACTAATTACTAATTTGGAACTCTTGGGGCTGTTTGAAAAAAAACTATGAGGAGAATATTTCAACTTTATATGTGAGGCAGTTTATGAGTTCTCACAGTTTCGGTGTAATTTACTTAATAGCTTGCTTTCTTCCAGCCATCCTTCCTTGCTTTCTTTTTAAACAACTTCTTTTTTCTACTTCAAAAAAGGTACATAAGCTTTATAGAAAACTTAGAAAATACAGGTAAGCAAAAATAAGAAAATTAAAACTACCTATAAATCCAACATGCAGAGATAACCACTGTTATTAATCTGTTAATGACTATATTTTTCTAATATTTTTAAGATTTTTATTTCTTTTTAAAAGTAGGATCATAGTAAACATACTGTTTTATTAGCCTGCTGTTTTTCACTTTACATTATATCTTGGAAATACCTCCTTGCCATCAGTTACTTTCACGTAACCTTTTGATGGTTCTCACCATTGATTGTAAATATTTCTTTTTATGTGTGAGACTTTTGTGGCTTTCTCATTTTCGCTGGGGGAATGTAACAAGAAGCTCAGTTTTCTTTTCAAAAATAAAAATGGCACTGAGTGCGGTGGCTAATGCCTGTAATCCCAGCACTTTGGGAAGCCAAAGTGGGAGGATCGCTTGAGCCCAGGAGTTTGAGACCAGCCTGGGCAACATAGTGAGACCCGTCTCTGCAAAAAAAAAAAAAAATTTTTTTTTTGAGATGGCGTCTTGCCCTGTCACCCAGGCTGGAGTGCAGTGGTGAGATCTCTGCTCACTGCAACCTCCGCCTCCGCCTCCCGGGTTCAAGTGATCCTTCCACCTCAGCCTCCTGAGTAGCTGGGATTACAGGTGTGTGCTACCACGCCCAGCTGATTTTTGTATTTTTAGTAGAGACAGGGTCTCACCATGTTGGCCAGGCTGGTCTCAAACTCTTGACCTCAGGTGATCCACCTGCCTCGGCCTCCCAAAGTGCTGGGATTACCAGAGTGAGCTAACACAACCGGCCTACAAAACATTAAAAAAAAAAAAAAAAAAGGCATGGTGGCATGCACCTGTAGTTGCAGCTACTCAGGAGGCTGAGGTGAGAGGATCGCTTGAGCCCAGGAGGTCGAGGCTGCAGTGAGCCACCTTCATGCCACTCCAGCCTAGGCAACAGAGTGAGACTCTGTCTCAAAAAATAAAAAAATAAAGATAAAGACAGTCAAATGTCATATCAATGTCTCTGAGCTTTCATTTTATTCTGCTTTGCTCCATGCAGAAGGACTCACTGCCTGCTCTTTTCTATCTACCTTCCAGAGATTGTTACAGCATTAAGGATAACTGGTATATTTTGTCTTAGCAAACCCTACATGAACTCCAAAGAACTCTTGAGAGTAATCCTAGACCATATGTCTAACTTTTATTAGTTGCACATAAAAGTCATCTATTGGGACCCTTAAAGGCCTCCTTTACATTAAAATAATAGCAGGCTGTATACCCAGAAAAAAGACTTGACAAAAGTGATGACCACTCACACCCACACTTCTGTGTTCTGTGTGGACCAAGTCATCATGTAGAATGAAGGCATAATCTTAGCACTCCCTGAATGAGAATGTCTAGTCTTTAATAGTTTCAGGTGGGCAGGAACATTGAAAAAGGCAACTCATAATTAACTTATGAGAAAATCCTTCAAAATGATAGAAGCTAATCATCTACCCTTTTCCAGTCAAGCAAATTAAATTTTTTCCCCATGCATATCTCTAAATTGCAATCCTGTACAAGGAAATTATTGAATCTAACCTTAGGCAGTGACCATCTTTTAGCGCTTACACTTAAGCAATAGATCTCCAAGAATAATTTTGAGACTGACTTCATTCCTTTTGAAGAATGGTTTGAAATGGGCCTCATGCTGGAATCAATTTTTTCAAGTGTATTTGAAAATGAGTAAGGATATCTTCTCATAGTAGATGAGTCTTCATTAGTAAAATACACATTGTATGGTTTCTATAATTATGGTATCACATTTTCTCCAGTAAAATTGCCGGTAGGGAGAAGAAAGTTCTTTGAGATGATGTATAGAGTCATTTCTTTTTTAACAATTGGAGACAGCTAGAGCAGAAGCTATTTTAGAACTCAAATTTTAACACCTGAAAATGCATATGAGTTAATGGAAGAATTTAGTTTATTTGTAGGAAAAAAACATAATACATTTCTCTGAGATTGCTTAAATGTTTTTTGAACCAAAACAAATAATATAGAAAACAAGGAAACCAATTAAGGAAAAAAATAACCCACAAAAGAATGGCTGGGAATTATCTCTCATGGCCTTTATTTTCTTCATATTAGATCTCCAGAAATCTATTTGAATTAATTTTGTTATCATTTGCTAAATCACTGGAGGCCATGTCTACACTGCCAAGAGAAAAAAGTTCAAAAACTCATTTCAAACAGCTTCCTACCAAACCAGTCGGGGATATTCTATACAGTATACCAATATAAAAAATACAGAAGAATTATTTGTTCTGATCCTATTCCAAATTATATAAGTTGATAACCAAATGTTACCATTGGAAAACGTCTTGGAACTATTTAAGTCTTTCTATTGCACTTTTTCTTCCAACTTTAAAAGACAAAATTTTAAAATCTGACCCCAGCCCTTGTGATTGTTCAGTATATAATCAATGGTATCTTACAAGGACTATTTTATTTGGAATCAATCAAATTTGTTTCCTGCCAACAATAAGTTAGATTGTTTTTTGCAGTTCTCAAGTAACAAATATGAGGACCGAACTCTCATTCAACATCCAAGCCCTTGCAGTTTGTGCAAATATATGTTTAGCAACAAAGTAAGTAATACAATTCCTTTTTCTGTTATTTTTCTATGTTCATGAATTGAATTAATGTTTTCAGTATGTCGCTGTAGGACATTGCCAGTATTATTTTATACTCCAAATAAATGACTCTCCTAGCTGTCTATTAAGATAAACGTGTATTGCTTTCTTCTATTCTGATTCTAAATAAATCAATGATTTCAAGAAATTGAGCATTATATTACATCTAAGTAGACAGTCATTTGATGTCCTAAACTTCAGGTTTGATCCCTTAACTCTGCTATAACCGATTATTATTGCTGATTTTAAAAAGAAGCAATAATTTAAATTCCTCTGATGATAAAAGTGATCCGATGACAAAAGAAACCCTGAAAAATGTAGCACTGTAAATCTCCATTAATTTATTCATTTATGATCTAGTCTGTTGAATGCATTTGTATGTAAATGTATATTTGTACATTTATCTATAGTTTTGTTTACTTGACACAAACATTGTGAACATTTTCTCATACTATAAAAATACTTAAAATCATTTAAATGTCTATATAATAGAACATTCTATGACCACAGGAGAATTAATTTAACTGTTCTTCTATTGAGAGGTCTTTAGATTGCTTCCACTTTTTCCACTATTATAAGTAATAACAAAGCATTTTTATGGATTAATCTTTATTTACATTTCTGGTTATTGCTTAAAGATTTATGCCTGCATGATAAATAACTGAGTCAATGATTATTAATATTTTTAAGGCTTCCGATATAGATATTATCAAATTAAATTTTCTGAAGGATTATACTAACATATATTGTCATACCACTGCACACCAACATTGAGAGTTATCGTTCTTAAATCTTTATTATTTCAAGCATGAAAATGTTTCTATTTTGCCTGTATTTGATCACTTCTGAAATTTAACAAAATCAGTAGTTTGCATTTCTTCTGTGAATGTTAGCTTTATATCCTTTACTGCGTAGTCCCAAGTTGTAGTTCAAATTTATTATTATATTTTGGTTATTTGTTTCAACTCAGATTTTAAAAACCGAAATCTCTCTTTGCTCCTAGTTAAAAATGGAAAGTTTTTATAGATCTAATAGTTTAAAGTCCTGTGATATTATATTTGACATTCATGTATCTAAATATTTTAGACATATTTTTATTATTTTTTGTAGGGACAGACAGAATCCATCATTAGTATGGCTTTTTACTGGAATGTTTTGCATTTATTCATTGTTCTTTGCTTGGAGAGCAAATTTAGATATTTCAAAACCACTTTTCATGGGTGTGGTAAGTTTTACTTAGATATATCCTTTGACCAGAAAGTTTGTGAAGAATGTGCAAATTTGCATTTCATAAATCTTGTAGAAGGGCAAATTACTTGAGGAATAGTTAAAATTTTATATACATTTTTATAAATCAAAGTTGAATTATTGAGTCAATACAGCTAAGGCCTCTTTTTAGGATAAAAAGAATGCAGTGTTTAACACAGTTGTTAAATAGAAAAGTAAATGTAAAGTAGATTTAAGTCATTGTATGTGTGTGTGCTTGCAAATATAGGTACAACTGCATTTCTCCTGGAATTTTTTTAACAGCAAAAGAAATATGAATTGTAATTGAGGGCACTTAACAACATATTTCCTTATTTCTTACCTCCCCAGTCCCAGGCCTAGGCAAAAGAGCAACCGTATTTCTGTTTTCTTTGGCAGCAGTCTCTGAGATTAGAGTATTTCTTCTACTTACAATAGATTCTCTGTAAATGTCAATAGCACTTTTTTGACAGCTGAAACAAAGTCTGCGTATGTGTGTGTTCAGGAAGCCTAATAAATAATACCCTACTTGATCACCTGAGTTCTGAATCAATTGAGAAACAAGGTAATACAGTACAACGGGTGGGAGAATCACTTTTATTACTGATAATACTGAGATTGGAAAATGCAGCTTATATCTGTAGCCAAGGGGGCTTCCTCTTCCAGCATCCCAGAATAGACAGATTTACCCACTAGTCATAGGCAGTGCTGTGCAGGTCAGGCCTCTTCCCTGTCTCCCCCACCCCACTGGTGCCACAGAGATAGACTCTAGCCCTGGACAAGTGCTTCCTGTGGGTAGCTCACTTCCAGGAGAAAGTGAGATGAAAAGGGAGGGCGCTGCAGGCCCAGTCCCAGCTCCCAAACTCCCCAGTCAGATCAGTCCCTACATCCTATAGGAGGAAATACGTGAGGGGTCAGAGACAGGCCAGGACAGTGGAGCTTCTCCATGTGGAAGGAAACATCAGGAGTAAAGCAAAAGCATTTCTCTAACTCCTTCAGCCTGTATATTACTGGAGTTCAAGACTAAGGCCACAGTATTGAAATGAATGTGTGGATCTGAAAAGGGAGATGCACCTGTCAAACTGGGAAGGAAGAATGTTTGAAAATAGAAAAATAAAATGACCTGGGCTTGGATTGGGGAAATCAGTTAACAAAACCTGAATGACAACAGGCACACACAACTAGGTGCATGCAGCATATTTAAAAAATATATGAGGAGCTGATTGATAGCATTAAATAGTCAACTGGACCCACTGGTTGCATGTCTCTTTCACAGGTGGAACGATTCTGGATGCAGAGCAATGCAGTAGTGGCCGTCCTCGCTGGCATTGGTTTGGCTGCAGTTGTGTCTGAGACTAACCGAGTGCTGAATAGCAATGGGCTTCAGTGTCTGGAATGGCTTTCTGCAACTCTTTTTGTAGTTTACCAAATATATTCTAATTACAGGTAATACATGGTTATTTTTATGAAAAGTAGCTGTCAAGCCAGAGATACCTGAATATTTAGATTCTAACACTTTATTTCATTGTTAACTTCTGGTTTTCAAGACTCAAAGTGAGACAGCTTGGTTGAATGCAGTAGTTCTTTAACTTTTAGGGTCGTTAAACCTAAAAGTTAAAGCATGGGCGATGAATGGTTTCAGGCCATTGCAAACAAGGGTTTAGGTGGTGCGTGTAGACAATTTGTATCTTTTTCTCTTAAGAACCCAAGAGATACTTTTAGAATCCCTAGTATAGGTAAAATTCCATGACCTAAAATACCACTTAGATGGAGAGTAAAATGATTTAGAGTTTTTTGTATACCCTAAAATAATTCACTTTATGCTTCCCTTTATGTCCAGTTTACTCTGTAGTAGTAAATACTAATTTTTTTGAGACAAGGTCTTATTCTGTCCCCTAGGCTGGAGTACAGTGGCATGATCGTAGCTTACTACAGCCGTGAAATTCTGGGCTCAAGCAGTCCTCTGCCTCAGCCTCCTCAGTAGCTAGGACTATGGACACATGCCACCATTAGCATGCCTTTTTTCTTTTTTTTTTGTAGAGACAAGGTCTCACTATGTTGCCTAGGCTGGTCCTGAACTCCTGGTCTCAAGCAAGCCTCCCTCTTCAGCCTCCCAAAGTGCTGGAATTAACAGGTGTGAACCACTATACCAGCCTTAATTATTTTTAAATTAAGTTCTAAAGTTTCTTAACTCATATATTATTAGTATTACATGTATTTTTCAAAAAATCTGTTTAATAACCATTACAATAAAAATCTCAGTCTGACATAAAAGACGTCTAAGTCTTAGACTATAGTTCGTTTATTTCCAGCAATATCAAGTACACATTATGGAAATGGAAGAGAGTCCCTTGGAATTTTGCTATAGTGAGATTGGACTGGTATTATTTTAAAGGATTACATTTTCTCTTTTAACTTAACTTTAAAAACCAATGTTCTTACCATTCAACCCTGCAATCTTATTACTGGGTATATACCTAAAGGAATATAAATCATTCTAACATAAAGACACATGCATGCGAATGTTTATTACAGCGCTATTCACAATAACAAAGACATGGAATCAACCTAAATGCCCATCAGTGGCAGATTGGAAAAAGAAAATGTGGTCCATATACACCATGGAACACTAGGCAGCCATAAAAAGAATGAGATCATGTCCTTTTTAGGAACATGGATGGAACTGGTGGCCATTATTCTTAGCAAATTAACAGAGGAACAGAAAACCTAATACTGCATCTTCTCACTTATAAGTGGGAGCTAAACGATGAGAACTCATGGATACAGTGAGGGAGAACAACAGACACTGGGGCCTACTTGAGAGTGGAGGCTGGGAGGAGGGAGAGGATCAGAAAAAAATAACTATTGTGTGCCAGGCTTAATACCTGGGTGACGAAATAATCTGTGCAACAAACCCTGTGACGTGAATTTACCTTTATAACAACAAACCCACACGTGTACCCTGAACATAAAATAAAAGTTAAAAAAACCCACAACATTGTTCTTTATAATACTGGGGTAGAGCTGGTGTTAGGAAGGCCACCAGGAGGCCTTGAGAGAAGGGGCTGCGTGTCCTGGACACAACATCATCGCTAGCTCAAGAAGGTGCACCAAGCCCACAGTGTGTTTCCCAACCTTTTCTTATCCCAGTCATCTCCTGGCTCAGGCCATTAGGGCAGTCCAGGTTCGACACCAGACATATTTGCACAGGCTAGGTGTTTTTATCTTGTTTTGATTTTTTTTATTTGTCCCAGGGGAATGGAATACATAGCACTTTTGCTAGGTGGCAAAATGTGCCTCATCACTCTGCAACATAGGGAATCAGGTAGGAAACAGTAATTTTTACATCAATTACAAAGGCAGGGATAATATTCTGTTCCTAGAGGTGTTCATTTGTTTTGTGATACCCCAGATATTCTCAGCTCCATCAAATGTAATGGACTTGGTAATAACAGAAAGGACATTGCTTGTCTCATTTTTTGATACTAATTACTGTTTTGTCATCTTTTTCTTTTTTCATAGAATGCTGTCAGAATTCATGCCAGTTTTTCTTTGAAGTTAGAAAGTTAACTTCATTCTTGAAAAGAATGAAGTTATTGGCAATAGCAAATAATGCCTGGAGAGAAGTAAACAACTCAGGAAACTCGTCCTCCCCTTGCTTCTCATTGGTCTCATTCCCTAGCAATTTCTTGATCTCCAAAGGCAGAGAGGGACACAGGAGGCCTGTGATTCAGGGGAGAAGTGGAAAGGATCAACCTCTGCATGCAAGAAAATCATACAAATGCCATACAAATTCAAGTCAGAAATGGGCAGATTTCCTTTTGCATTTCTGAAAGTTCCTTTGAGTAAATGGAATGAACATAAAATTGCCTTAAACTCCAAGTGGAATCAGAAATCTTACTTTCTAAAAATAAAATTGGATTGCACTTAGGGGGAAAAAAGGACCTATTCTTGTGTACTGATTCCCTTTTTCTGGAAATGATTATAAACTCCAGAAGTAAGCAGTAGACTGATTTTTTTTCAATTGCACAATTAGCTGCTGCTTATCAGGTGATAGTATTCTCTCTTCAAATATACATATTATTTTAGAATGTATTGAAACACTAAATGTTGATTGTATGATGGGAAAAGAATGGCATAGAAAATAAGCCTAGTCTTATTAAAACTGTAGCAAAGTGTTGCTATTTTAATTTTTTTGGATCCTTTTATTTAGTGTTTGTGACCAAAGGACCAACTATGTGATTGATAAGTTCGCAAAGAACCTTCTCACCTCTATGCCTCATGATGCAATTATCTTACTCAGAGGAGATTTGCCAGGAAATTCTCTCCGTTACATGCATTACTGTGAGGGGTTGAGGCCTGACATTTCATTAGTGGATCAGGAAGTAAGTATATGAAAAATATACTTAGAATATAGCGATGATTTAAAAACATATGTTTTGGAAAAAACATCTTTTTTAAAATGGTGGACGGGTACAGTTTTCATGATCACTGTTAGGTAGAATATATATGACATTCTACATGTTAGGTAGAATATATATGGGCATACTTTTTTTTATTTTAACTAATAGTGTAAGTCACACTAGTTGCTTCTTTCTCATTTAAAAACATTTAAACTGAACGTTTTAAGAATTAATGTGTTTCATGTTAGATTCATAATGTTTTAGGTCTCTAGTTCATGTGACAAACCATAAAAGTGTTTGTTGTATGGTAAATCTATTTTTAAATTGTTATTTTACATTCAGGCCGGGCGCAGTGGCTCACGCCTGTAATCCCAGCACTTTGGGAGGCTGAGGCTGGCGGATCACGAGGTCAGGAGATCGAGACCATCCTGGCTAACATGGTGAAACCCCGTCTCTACTAAAAATACAAAAAATTAGCCGGGTGTGGTGGCACGCGCCTGTAGTCCCAGCTACTCGGGAGGCTGAGGCAGGAGAATGGTGTGAACCTGGGAGACAGAGTTTGCAGTGAGCCGAGATCGTGTCACTGCACTCCAGCCTGGGCAACAGGGCGAGACTCCGTCTCAAAAAAAAAAAAAAAAAAAAAAATTGTTATTTTATATTCAGCTAACTCAACCATTCAAATTTACCTTGCCCATTGGTCCAGGGATTAAAATAAATTATATTGAATATGAAATAAATCATACTGTAGGTAAGTAAACATTTCACTCAAAATAGAAATTATTAACCATAATTATGCTATAGAATTTTTATATAAACTTTCTTAATGCTGTGACAAAAATACATTAAGAGAGGACTTGTGAAAATTTTGAGGGCTATGAAAACTTTTTTTTTCATTGAAGAACTATTTAAACTAAGATTTATTATTTAAGCCATAGATACATAAAAGGGAAGAAACCTGTCTCTGGTGTTTTTAGAGCAGTCATTAGGAAAAGAGAAATTCTTAATCTTAAAAGAATAATATGATGAATTCAATTGAACAAATTATTAGGCATAGTACTTAATGCACTTTGTTGAATTAATGAATAATTATAATTTTTGGAGAAAACTTTATAAACAGATTTGTAAATATACAATTTTACATTTTTATAAGCAGTTGCATTTATATCATGGATGCCGATTGATTAATTTGAACTTCAGTCTAGATTCTGACAAAAGCTATGTTATTTGTTAATAACATGGTTCCACACTATGATTTTAAACACTGTTTAGAATGTCAGCTCCTGTAGTTGAGAAGCATGGATTAGAAAGTGAATTAGACCTAAACTCAAGTCCTCATTCTGTCACTTCCTGGATATGTGACATGGGGCTAATGATTTTTCCTCTCAGAGCTTCTGTTCCCTTATTTATGAAATGTAAGTCATCATTATGTAAGTTAGGGTGCATTTGAATGCAAGAAACAGAATACCTGACTTAAATGACTGAGTTTTTAGCCTCACATGAGACGCAGTCTGGAGATAGGTGATGTTAGGATTGATAATATGAGCAGTTCAGGGACGTCAGTTTCTGAGGCAGTTTTTCTGCCATTCTCTTGACTTTTCCCTCCCAGTCACAGGATGCATGCCCAGTTCCAAACATCACAACCTAAAACAAAGCACAGTGCTTCTTCTGGGGTATCTCCCTCTCTCTATTTATTGGAAATAACATGTGCCCCAGAAGCCCCCCAGCAGACCTCCACTCAGGCCCCACTGACCAATACTGAGTCATATACTCACACCTAAACTGCTTATTAGCAAAGGAGAATGACTAGACTGAGAACATTGCAGCCTGAGCTACCTGATCAAAATGAAGATTGCATTAGTGAAAAAGAAGAAGGTATTCACTGTTGAGTGGGCAATCAACAGTGTCTGATACAGTTATTCTCACATAGCAAGGTTATTTTGAGAACCAAATGAGGAACAGTAAAGTCCATAGCACACAGTGGGTATGTAATTAATATTAATATCCTCCAGAACCAGAACTATTGGGTAATAAAGCCTAATTCAGTAAGTATTTTTTGAGTATTTACAGTTTAGACTTAGATTAAAATTAATTTGTCATTTGCTGGGTAATGTCTTACATAAGACAAGTAAAACATAAGCACAATTTCTCAAATGATGATATCCGAACATAACAAAGCTTTGGTGGTGTTAATGGGAGTCTCTTCTTTAAAAAGAGGGAATGAATACATATCAAAGTATAGAGTTAAGTATGTGTTAAGTATAGAATTAAGTAAAATGATTTTTTCTAATATAAGTAAATTATTTAAATCAAAAGAATGTGTAAACTTGTAAGGATATGTAATTAATATAGGGCTACTAATAAATTCAGATAATTTGAAATGCCAAAAGAGTTTTTAACTTTGAGGCCTAGATTATTACATGATTGAGCTTCTCCAGGGCAGGGATTATATCTTATTCATTATAGATGAGCATACTTGATTTTTTTAATGAATAAAATAATGGCTATTTTGTCTAGGTTGTCTAGTCTGGCCATCAAAGGCATTTCAATTTCAGCAAACATGATTTGAGAACTGGCCAGGTGTGGTGGCTCACGTCTGTAATCCCAGAACTTTGGGAGGCCAAGGCGGGTGGAGCACTTGAGGCCAGGAGTTCGACACCAGCCTGGCCAACATGGTGAAACCCCGTGTCTATCAAAAATACAAAAATTATTCTGGTGTAGTGTCATGTGCCTGCAATCTCAGCTACTTGGGAGGCTTAGGTAGGAGAATGAACCCAGATGGCGGAGCTTGCAGTGGGCTGAGATCATGCCACTGTACTCCAGCCTGGGTGACAGAGTGAGACTGTCTCAAAATAATAATAATAAATTTGAGAACCGTTCTATGCCAGGCAGTGTGCTAGGTGCAGATACACAGAGATGAAAAAATACAGTGCCTTTTTTCTAGGAGCTCACAGTCTGGTGAGGAACAGGCTCTCATAGAGGTGAGTACAAAGTACTAGAGGATCATGCCATTCTGGCTATGGAGACAGAGGAGGGCATCAGAGGAAGTGATATTTACAGTGGTTCTGAAAGTTGAATACACGTTCTCTAGGTCAGTGGTCCCCAACCTTTTTTACACCAGGGACCGGTTTTGTGAAGGACAGTATTTCCACAGACTGGGGGTTGGGGGTGGGGGTGGGGAATGGTCTCGGGATGAAACTGTTCCACCTGAGATCATCAGGCATTAGATTCTCTTAAGGAGCATGCAGCTTAGATCTCTCACATGTGCAGTTCACAATAGGTTCACACTCCTGTGAAAATCTAATGCTGCCACTGATCTGACAGGAGGCAGAGCACAGCAGTAATGCTGGCCCCTGCTGTGCGGCCCAGTATGGGGACCCCTGCTCTAGGTATAAGAATGGGGGAAGGTCCTTCTGGGGAGTCAAATGCGGGAGGTAAATTGGAAGAAGGTACTGATGTGACTGATGATAGTCATAATAAAATCCAAAGTTTACATCACTAAAAAAGTAATCAGTACCACATTCTCAGTTGTGCTTATATTTTTCAATTATATATATATTAGGTTGGTGCAAAAGTAATTTAGGTTTTTGCCATTACTTGATAAACTTGATTCTTTCTAAGAAATATATTAAAAGTCTGACATTATGTGTGACTTTTCTGGCAGATGATGACTTACGAGTGGTATTTACCCAAGATGGCAAAGCACTTGCCAGGTGTCAACTTTCCTGGGAACCGGTGGAATCCTGTGGAAGGAATATTACCTAGTGGAATGGTCACATTTAATCTTTATCATTTTCTTGAAGTAAATAAACAGTAAGCATTCTTTTTATATAATAGCTTTTCTAAAATCTTAAGCTTTTCTAAAATTGTTTCTGTAGCAGTTGTGCATCATCCAAAAGACCAATTTTCTCTGCCTATTTCCCTGTCACTGGTGAGATTATCTTTGTAATTAAATTGAATATCTGTGCATAAATGAGGCCAGGCAGAAATAAATGTTATTGTTTTGGATAAAGGAAAAATACAGACAGATTAGCAAGAACAGCAAATAAGATCTTAGTACAATTCACAGAAATTGGAGATGTGCCTGCCTACTTGAAATCATTGCAGGTGGATGGCAAGCAATTATAGTTCCCCTGATCAACACTATGGCCCCCCTTTTAAGTGTAAAGCAAATGTTTTCAGGAATAATCACTATATAAAAATAGCTTAAGAATTTTTATAAAGGATAAGACATTTTTATAAATAAGAAAAACACCTACAGTTTATGCTAGCTGAGATAAAATATGAGAATTGTGAATTCTATACTTGAGAACATAAAATTATTTGTAGTTAGGTCAAGAATAAATAATTCCTCCGATGGCACAGTGTTGAACATTTCTTCTGCCATGAAGTGCTTGAGATTGTCCAGAGCTTGAAGAAGAAACACTTATTTCATGATTTATTTTTTCTTATAAAGAAGACTTCAGAATGTCTTTGTAAATCCCAAAGTTAAATTATCCCTTGCTAAGAACATAATAATGTGGTATTTTGGGTGTTTAGAGCCTGAAGTTTATATGGCTCGTGGAGTAAACGACAGTAATGGTTATAAATGCGCTGTGAGAGTAACATTTAATTATTCTATTCTAGATAAAATATTAGGAACCATTAACATCCCCAAGTTGGCATTTTTGTGAATTTTCGAGAATTCAATCCCACAAGCATTTACTGAATGTCTACTATGTTACAGCTTGTATTAGGCTCCAGCAGTAGAAAGATGAATGGGACTCAGTTCCAAATCCAAATAGAACACAATCTAGTTGTATACATACATAGATGTGAATACAACTAGCCATAATTTGGTGGGATAAGTTCTATACTATCAATGCCTTGTAAAGTGTCAGACATAGTATATACTCAATAGGTGTTTACTGAATAGATAGATGATTTAACTGACAACATATGCCAAGTATTCTGGCAGCATGGATAAGGAAGCCATTAATTCTGTTTGGGGACATTCATTCAGCATTTATTTAATAAAAATTGCATGTCCAAAATGTTCCAAGAACAATATGATGGAAGTATCGTATGCTCTTTGAGGAAACTCTAAACAACACGGAAAAGTGTGAAGACGATCAGTATCATCTGTCTCCCAAGGACAGCTGCTGTTAATATTTTGATAAATATTGTTGGATTCCACTCACCTTTAACATAAATGACTTATTTTTAAAACATACACATATTCATACATACTGTATTATATATAGCTGAGATATCATTTTCTGTCCAATTTTTTTAACCTACCATTATATCATAAGCATTTCCCCATGTATATTATTGTCATTGTTGGCTAATATTCTCATAAGACGCATAATAATTTAACGAATATTCTATTTTTGGGATATTCTGTTTCTAGACTTTTGCTCTTATAATATACAATTATGATAAACATTCTGCCCCATAAAGTTTTGTTAATGTTTTTGACTAACAAAGATCACTGCATAAATATGACTTATTTAATATCAGTTTTTAAAATAGTTTTTAAATTTAAAAGTTTCATGTGCTTGTTACAGAATGAGAAATGTTTTTAAAAACTGGAAGAAAACAGGGTCCTATTCACTCAGAAACAACACATATATAAAAAATGCATATTTTTTACAAAGGTGAAAGCATAAGTGTCCTGTTTTTTATATTTACTATCATAAAACAATTTCCTTATGTTTTTACAAACTTTGTAAATACATGTACTGTAATTTAAAAATAATAAGCAAATAAAACTATTAGGAGATATTTAACATGATCTAATTTTAACTATAATAAAATTATACCTACAACAACTGCTTTTGTATATGTAGGGTTTTTTGTGGAGGGGCAGAATTTTAAATTATTAGTATAGATTCTCAGAAGTAAAATTACTAACTCAAAGGACATGCATTATTTAAAGGCATGTGATAGAGATATTTTTCCCCCCCAAAGGGATGGACCATCATCATATGAAAGTTATCTAAATGCATACCTCTGAAAGGAAGCTAGCTAATGTTTAGTGAGCACCTGTTATTTTAACATGCAGTAATATTTACT
The DNA here is from genome assembly GCF_000001405.40 of Homo sapiens. Taxonomy (NCBI): domain Eukaryota; kingdom Metazoa; phylum Chordata; class Mammalia; order Primates; family Hominidae; genus Homo; species Homo sapiens. The sequence goes on from NC_000014.9 coordinate 56,627,775, forward strand.
TTTCTTGTTAGGGGGTGTGGTATACAGTTCTATGAATTTTAACCCGTGTATACATTTGTGTAACCACCACAACAGTCAGGACACAGAGCAGTCCATGATTCCATAAATTTTCTTGTGCTGCTCCCGTATAGTCACACTGTCTCCTCAGGCCTAACCCTGGCAACCACTGATCTGTTCTTCATTATTATAGCTTTACCTTTTCCTGAGTGTCATATAAATAGAATCAAAGTATGTAACCTGTTGATATTGGCATATTTCACTTAGTGTAGTGCCTTTGAGAACCATCCTAGTTGCTGTGTATATCAATAGTTTATTCTTTTTGTTTCTAAGTAATATTTCATTGTATGGATGTACTGTAGTTTGTTTATCCATTTACTCATTGAAGGACAGTTGGGTTGTTTCAAGTTTGGGGCATTTATAAATAGAGCTGCTATAAACATTCATAAACAGGTTTGTGTGTGAGTATGTTTTCTGCATAGGGTTGGGATTGAGTTGTTTTCTTATTGTTGAGTTTTGAAAGTTCTGTTTATATTCTAGGTACGCAACCTCTGTCAAATATGCAGTTTGTAAATATTTTCTCGCAGTTGCTTGTCTTTTACAAGTGTCTTTTGCAGAGCAAAACTTTATTTCTTTGAAGCTCAAATTCAATTTTTTTCTATGAATTATATTTTTGGTATCATATCTAAGAACTCTTTGCCTAATGCCAGATCACAAAGATTTTCTCATGTTTTCTTCTATGAGTTCTATAGTTTTGTTTTTGTGTTTGGATGTCAAATTGTCCTTATACTCTTTGCTACAAAGATTATCCTTTCTTCATTGCATTGTATTTGTACTTTTCGCTGTCTATACAAATGAAAAAAAATCTTCTGGGGTTTTTTATTGGTTTTAACTTAATTCGTGTTTTTGTGGTTTATCTTTTTTCATCCTTTTGTTTCTAACCAACCTATATCATATTTAAAATAGGTGTTTTATAGACAGCATATATTTGAGTCTTATTTTACTATCTCAGATCTCTATTTTTAATTGCTATGTCTCCACCATTTGCATTTAATATAAATATTGATATGTTTAGATGTATGTCTACTATTATCTTTTTTTAGATTAGTTGACTTTTTGTATTTCTTTTTTTTTTTTCTTTTGAGATGGAGTCTCACTCTGTCACCCAGGCAGGAGTACAGTGGCACAATCTTGGCTCACTGCAACCTCCACCTCCCAGGTTATAGCGATTCTCCTGCCTTAGCCTCCTGAGTAGCTGGGATTACAGGCATGTGCCACCAAGCCCAGCTAATTTTTGTATTTTTAGTAGAGATGGGGTTTCACCATGTTGGCCAGGCTGGTCTTGAACTCCTGACCTCAAGTGATCCATCTGCCTTGGCCTCCCAAAGTGCTAGGATTACAGGCGTGAGCCACCACGCCTGGCTGACTTTTTGTATTTCTTTTAAAAATGTTTATTGAGATTTTTTACTATATCGCTTGGTAAAGTTTTTGTTTTTGTTGTTTTTTTTTTTTTTTGAAGCTGGTTGCTGTTGAGATTACAGCATCCATACTTAACTTTTCATGGTATACTTAGGAGTAATAATTTACCACTTCAAGCAGAATGTGATAACCTTACTGTCATATAAGTCTTTTACTTTTTGTGTTACATATTATGTCAGATAGGGTCGTTTTTATTTCAGTTGTCATACATATATTAAAGAACTTAAGAGAAAAAAATATTCTACAATATTTATCAGATACTTACCAGATCTGTTGTTCTTTCTTCAATCCTGATATTCCACATTTTCCTCTTGTATGATTTCCCTTCGTTCTGAGGATATTCCTTAAGTATTTCTTTTAAACCAAAACTATTAGCCGTGAATTCTCTTAGTTTTCCTTTATCTGAAAATGTCTTTATTTCATCTTCCTGTTTGAAGGATATTTGTGGAAATAGATTCTGGGTTGATAATACTGTTTTCCTCAGCATTTTAAAAATGTTACTTTAGGCTGGGCACAGTGGCTCATGCCTGTAATTCCAGCACTTTGGGAGGCTGAGGCAGGATTGCTTGAGCCCAGGAGTTCAAGACCAACCTTGACTACATAGGGAGACCCTGTCGCTACAAAAAAATAAAAATAAAAAATTAGCTGGACGTGGTGGTACACACCTGTGGTCCCAACTACTTGGGCAGCTGAGGTGGGAAGATTGTTTGAATGCAGGAGTTTGAGGCTGCAGTGAGCTATGATTGTGCCACTGCACTCCAGCCTAGGCAACAGAGCAAAACCCTATCTCAGAAAAAAAAAAAGAAGAAAAAAAAAAGTAAGTTAATTTTTTTGGCCTGTGTAGCTTCTAATTAGAAATCCACAGTAATTCAAATAATTGTTCCCCTAGGTGAAATCTATTGTTTTTCTCTGGCCATTTTCAAGACTTTTTATTTGTCTTTAGTTTTCAGCAGTTTGATTATGATATATTTTAGCATGGATTTCTTTGCGTTAACTTGTTTGGAGTTTTCCAAATTTCTTCAACCTGTAAGATTGTATCTTTCACAAAATTTGGGAATTTTTCATACATTATGTCTTTAAATAATTTTTCCTGTTTCACAGTCTTTCTTTTCTCCTTCTGAGACTCTGATGAAATGAATTTAGACCTTTTGGTATTGTCCCACAGATGCCTGAACTCTTTGCTTTTTTTTCAGTGTTTTTCTTTTTTTGTTTAAATTGTATCTTTTTTTTTCTATGTCTTCAAATTCCCTGACATACTGTCTTGCCAAACTTATATTAAGCCATTTGGTTCCTTTTTATATATTTTACTTTTTGTTGAGCTTCTCCATCTTTCCTTTTGTTTCTAGAGTATTTGCCCTTCCTTCTTGATGCATGCTTATAATAGTTGTTTTAAAGTCTTTGACAATTCTAGCATTTGTGTCATCTTAGAATAGACATCTATTGATTGTTTTTTCCCTTATGAGTTGAGATTTTTCTGGTTCTTCATATGCCTAGTAATTTTGGATTGTATCCTGGACATTTTGAATATTTGGGTCTTATTTAAATCCCAAGGAGAATGATGACTTTTTGGTCTGTTTGTTTAGCAAGCCCTTGGCCAAGTTAATCTCAGGTTTCAAATTCTGGCCTGCCTTCTGTGAACTGTGGTTGCAATACCGGTTCTGTTTCCAAAGCATTTGCAGTGCTATTTGGATTAATCCCATGTGTGTGCTACTGTTACTGGCGGCGAGTGTGTGAGTTACTGGCAGCAAACCCATACAGGGCTGCAGCAACCTCAATTCTTGCCACCTCAGAAGAAAGAATTCAACTGAGGGGAATAAGACAGAAGGAGAGACCAAGGCACATTTTAAAGCAGGAGTAAAAGTTTATTAAAAGCTCTAAAGCAGAAATGAAAGGAAGGAAACCACACTTGGAAGAAGGCCAAGCAGGCGACTTGACAGACAAGTGCCCCATTTGACCTTTGACTCAGGGTTTTATACGTTGGCATACTTCTAGGGTCTTGCATTCCCTTCTCCCCTGATTCTTCCCTGGGGGTGGGCTGCCCAGATGTGCAGTAGCCTGCTAGCACTTGGGAGGTGAGAATGTGCAGTGTGGGCCAGGTGTGGTGACTCACGCCTGTAATCCCATCACTTTGGGAGGCTGAGGCAGGTGGATCACCTGAGGTCAGAAGTTCAAGACCAGCCTGGCCAACATGGCAAAACCCTGTCTCTACTAAAAATACAAAATTTAGCCAGGCATGGTGGTGCGTGCCTGTAATCCCAGCTACTCCGGAGGCTGAGGCAGGAGGATTGCTTGAGCCTAGGAGGCAGAAGTTGCAGTGAGCTGAGATTGTGCCACTGCACTCCATCCTGGGCTACAAAGCAAGACTCTGTCTCAAAAAAAAAAAAAAAAGAGACTGTGCAGTGTGTTTACTGGAGTTGTATGCATGCTCACTTGTGTTATTCCCTCACTGGTGGTTTGGCCCTAGAAGGTCATACCGGTTAAACTCTGCTGTTTTGCCTCTTAGTGCACATGCTTGAGCCCACTCATTCAACTCCTGAGATCTTTTCGGGAAGCTGCTGATCACCAGTTTCAGGTGTTTCTATCTATCTGTTGGGAAACTGCCTTTTCCTGGTGCTGTCTGTGACCAGTTACTATTTTAGAGAAGCAGTGTGACAACTGTCTGACCATCACCTGATGGTTGTCTGAAATTCCTGGTGTGGTTGGGGCAGGACGGCAGAGAGCCCTCTCCTGCCCTGCTCATGCCTGACTAGCTACCTATGGTAACACTACCAGGTACCCAGTCTGGAACCTGGGTGGTGGTCTGTCCTGTGGTTAATTTTACGAACTCTGTTTAGGGTCAGACCTGTGCATGCTCAGCTCAGAGATAAGCTGAGGATACAACTTTATGGCATTGCTCTCTGCATCTCTCTCCTTTCTGTGGTCACCCCATTACTTTCCAGCTTGCTGGGGCCTTCCTTTTTGGTTCTCTAGCCAGAAAGCTGGGGCTTTAATTTCTTTCTTCTGCTGTGCCCTTCCTGTGACTGTGTCTGCATCTGGAGCCAGACTGAAGGACAGAGAGAAAAAGCAATGGAGATTTGCCCCACACTCTTGGAAGCACAATGCCTCTGCTTAGAGAGAAGGGCTCCCCTCTCTCAGAGTTTTGGGTGCCTGCCAACCCACCACTACTATCACTATGCTGCTGCCTCCGCTAATGCCACGATGTTGCCTGGCACCTGGGAAAGGAGAGAAAGAAAAAGACCTGGGGGATTCCCTCCACTCTCTTCAAACCTTGGTCCCCTGTGCTACTTCTTGGGCTGCAAAAAATGGGGGGACTTTTCTTGGAGCTTTTTTTATCCTTATTTGAGACATACTTCTGAGTTTTAAGCTTCCTTTTTTCCCCCATGAGATGGGGGTCTTGCTGTGTTGCCCAGGCTGGTCTCAAACCCCTGGCCTCAAGCGATTCTCCCACCTCAGCCCCAAAGTGCTGGGATTACAAGTGTGAACCACCATGTCCAGCCTCTATTATGCTTTGAGACTGTTAATTATATTAGATATCTCATTAGTCTTCAACAGTTCTGAAAGATAGTTGCCATACCTCTTTCACAAGTGAGAAGACTAAACACAGGTAGTTAAGTAATTTTTCCAAAATCATATAGGTAATAACTGTTGGGAAAAAATCTAAAAATGATCTTTCATGAATTATATTTACTTAACATTTAAAACTTTAAATTTTAAGTACATCATGTATTTTTCTGTTTCCAACAGAAAAGAAACATTTGTTTGCATAGGAATTCATGAAGGCGACCCAACCTGGAAAAAGAACTATTCACTTTGGCCATGGGGGTCTTGTGACAAATTAGTTCCTTTGGAGATTGTATTCAACCCTGAGGAATGGATTAAACTTACAAAAAGTATCTATAACTGGACCGAAGAATATGGAAGGTATGAACAGCAGTTGTATTTTGATGCATATAAACATAGCAGTTTTGAATACCCAAAAAAACTACTACATTTTGAGATGCCTTCTAATTTTTTTTTTTATTAATTGTTAATATTGTTACTTGCTACCCACAAAATACCATAAAACAACAGAAAGAGAACATGTCCTTCTCGTTCTCCTACTTACAGAACAATGGGGAGAGAGGAGGGAAGAGGGTGCTGGTTGTGTGGATACCATGATGGTTAGATGCATGGCACCTTCTACTTCCAAGTCTTTGAATGCTGCATCATCTACCATCCTATAGCTCATTACCCTAAAAGCAGAAGAGGTTCATTAACTGCAGTTGAACTTTAAAAGGCATTCTGTTGTTTATGATAGTTTCCATATGCACAAACTTGTCATTTTTTTTTTTCCTTAAGAATGGCAGATAACTTCTCTGTGAGCGAAGACTCAGCTTTGAGTAGCTTTGTTTTCAGTGTTTCTTGGCATCAATCTGGTTATGTTGTTGGGGCATTACTGGCCTTCCATTAAGCATTTCTACATAGAGCTTAATGTTTCCTAAATAGAAAATGAGTCACTATCTAGGCTGCTCTATCTATGGAGTAGTGATTCTTTTACTTGATTTCACACACACACACAGAGTCACTATCTAAAGAAATGTGCCTCCATTACCTACTTTTAAAGTTATGAATTATTTAAAGATTATATAACCTATTGCTTATAATTTAAGAGCAACAGACAAGATTATATTTTAAAATACTGTAAAGGTTTTTTGAAAAGACAGTATGCGCAAATACAGACCACATTGTTGTATAACAGCCAGAGATGGATGATCAAAACACTCTGCAGCCGTCATGAGAAAAAGTCAGAACAGCTGACAACTAGTACACGTACATAACTTTGCTCATTATCCCCATTCTATCAAATATATACATAGTAAGAAAATTTTTAAGAGAAAGAAAAATCAAATGGCTTGGCCATTGTTCTTTGAGCAGCATCAAAGCTCCAGCAGTGATTTTCCAAGCCAGGAGTCCCCTCTCTTCAGGCTGATCCCCTTGTTTCACAGCTCTTTGGCTCTTACCTCTGTCCATAGAGTGACCTACACCTCACCTCTGCCCTGTTGCCATCTAACATATAGTTCTTATGAACAGCTGGCTCCCCAGAGACTTTCAATGTCTTCCTGTTAATCTTCTGTTTGCTCTCTTGAGGCATGGGAGCTAATTATGCAGATTAAGAAGATATTTACCAAAACTCAAACTTCCTTAAAATTCAACTTTTTTAGGAGAACAAGTTTATTAATTTGATCACTGTCAGTATTTCAAGATTCATCTTATTGGCCTTGTCAGATGATAAAACAGTTATGACCTATCCATTGCAAAAATGTAGATGATGGCTGGGCATGGTGGTTCACGCCTATAATCCCAGTATTTTGGGAGGCTAAAGCAGGTGATCACCTGAGGTCAGGAGTTTGAAACCAGCCTAGCCAACATGGTGAAACTCCATTTCCACGAAAAATACAAAAATGAGCTGGGTGTGGTTGTGGGTGCCTGTAAACCCAGCTACTTGGGAGGCGGGGGCAGGAGAATCACTTGAACCCAGGAGGTGGAGGTTGCAGTGAGCCAAGATCGCACCATTGCATTCCAGCCTGGGCAGCAAGAGCAAAATTCTGTCTCAAAAAAAAAAAAAAAGTGGGTGACAGAAAGATATTACTGTTTTCTTGTAACTACAGGTTTGATCCATCTTCTTGGGAATCTGTGGCCAATGAAGAAATGTGGCAAGCGAGGTGACTATTCTACATTTTTGTGTGTGCAGTCTATTTTTAATATGGCAGGGAAGTAGCTTATGGCACTTTTAATTTTGAGAGTAGGGGTGAGTAGTGATAATAAAAATAGCATTTATGAGCAATTATGTTTTTGAGGCACTGTACTAATCATTATACATGAATATTTCAGTTCATCCACACAATAACCTCTGAGGTTATTTTGATCCCCATTTTATAAAAGAACAAACTGGATGTGGAAAGGCTACTTGTCCAAGGGCACACTGCTGCTAGTGATGGAGTCCAAAGTTCACATCTGTCTGCCTCTGGAACACTCATCTAACTAAAGTGAGTGTAATCGATTGAGTAGAAATTAATCATTACAACCTCGCCTCCATTTGTAATGTGCCTGTCAATTAGTTAAGCACTTATTCAGTACTTACTGGAGGCCAGGCACTGGGCTAGGCATTGAAGCTACACATATGAATATGACACAGTTCCTACCCTCATGAAGCTCATAGTCTAATGAGCAGACAGACATGTTAAAGGAGATTGAAATATTAATCTGATGGAGCCTATACTTTCCTGTAGTTCAGAGAGGACAGCTGTCATCCTGTCCTGTATGGAACATTTCATAGTGATGGCAACTGCTTCTTTTGGTTCCTGTCATTGTTTTGTTTTTTAATCAAAATAACACTAACAAACTCTGGCCTAAGTATTAATGTAAAAGTCCTAAGTAGTGCAGACGGAGTATCTTGTACATAAGGAGTGCTTCCTTCAGCAAAAATGTATTGATGTCCAGTCTGAGCCAGGGACTGTGTGCACTGAGAACAGTTATGATATAAAGAGCTTATATAAGTTTAAAGAGGTTTTTAAAGAGTGGTCAAGAAATACAGCTGCAAAATAATGATTGCAAATATATATATATATACTATAGTTTATGCAATAGTATTTTTGAATAAGTCAGAAAATAGCATATTTTAAGTTGTCATTGTAGTCATAGGGACAAATTCTTACTTTAAGGAACTGATCAAAGATATACCATATGTTTGCATAATTCACTGTGATTGAATGTGGGAAAGCGGGGAAGAAATCACATAAAAGAAGAAAGAGGTCATTATTTGCACAGGTATTGATTTAATTGGCGTTCTGAATACAACTTGGATGAGTTCATGGGGTCTAAGGGTCTGGCCACCTTGGAAGAACTGGGCACACATGGCATGAGCTTCGTGTTGGGTACCTTCAGGGATGTGTTGGCAGACTCAGCAGGTTTCCCTTTTCCTGGCTTCTCTTGCATAACAATAACATACATTTGGAGGATGAACAATGTATAATAGTGATAAGTGTAAGCTTTTTTTCTAAAATATTTGGTCATTAGTGTGAATGCAGCATCTTGGTGGGTGGGTGGAGGGATTGTTGTTGGTTCAGAGCAAATGTCCATGAATATGAGAGAATTGAAAATAATACAATAAAGGATTTTGTACATCCCTTATCAGTGGAGAAGCCTGGAAGATTTAGCTAGCCCTGAATGTGCAATTGACTGTATGATTTTAATGAAGGTTCCTATCCCCACCCCCAGGATGAAAACACCGTTCTTCATCTTTAACCTGGCAGAAACTGCTCACATGCCTTCAAAAGTGAAAGCTCAACTCTACGCTCAAGCATATGACGTATGTTACACTTTTATATGTAGATATAGATATATTTGGTGGGAAGGTGATGGTGATTGTTCAGAATGGATAGAGGGTATATCACATTAGAATTTTTATTATTTTATTTCTCTCAATTTGGGTGGTATAAAGCAGCACATATGAACAAATCCTCAGTTGTATCACAGTATCCAAAGTAAATGGCTGTGGTAGGCAGAATAATACCTCCCACCCAAAAAAGATGTCTAGTCCTAATCTCCACAACCTGTGAATATGTTACCTATGTAACAAAGCAGGGGGTGGTGGGGATTAAGTTAGGTGTCTTGAGACAGGGGGTTACCCCAGATTATCCAGGTGGGCCCAACATAATCATAAAGGTCCTCATGAAAGGGAAGCAGGCAGGTCAGAGTCAGAGAAGTATACATGATGCAGAAGCAGAGGGCAGAGAGAGAGAAACTTGAACTTTGCAGATGGAGGAAGGAGCCAGGAGTAAAAGAGTGCAGGCCACCTCTGGAGGACGTTGGAAACAGAGTCTCCTCTAGAGCCTCCTGAAGGAATGCAGTTATGCTGGCTTTATGACTTCTCACCTTCAGAAGTGTGAGATAATAAATGTATGTTGTTTATTTGTTACAGTGGCAATAGGAAACTAATATAATAGCTTCATTTAAAACAAGTTCTAGCTGGTTACTGCCTCTGCAAAGGTCATGACCCTGGCTACACTTGAAATGATAGGGCCTTGGCTTGTTGAGATTTCACGAGAAGAGATGATAAAGAGTCATGGAGGGTGGCTCTGTCTTTTAACTGTGGCCCCAGGAAGCCAAACTAACCTTCGGAAGACACAGCCACGCTGAAGGTCTTGCACAAATCGGTCCTTTCTGATGGGAAGTGGGAGCAGATACAAGAGGCTTGCTGTGGCACTACTGTAACCAAGTCTCTGCTTTGCTATGACTTACGGCACTGGCCACTTCAGACACTTGCAGAGTCTGCTCTATAGGAAACTAATATCCTGACAAGGGCCAATGAAAACAGAGGGTAGGACCTGTATATATGAGCAGCTGAGATATTTCTGCCATCTTTAGACTGCTGTGGTTCTACTCAGCCAGGACAAGTGTTTGGTGCTAAGACAAAATAGCATGGTGTCCAATCAGTATGACTACTTTTACTCCTCAATTGTGATCTCTGGTTCCTTATGTATTCACTTATTCATTCACTCACAAAGCATTTCTCGAGCACCCACTCCATAGCAAATAGTGTGTTGGAGACAACCAAGTCTTATCCCTGCTATCAAAAAGGTGGCAGGCTAGAGAGGGAGATGGAAGATCAAGTCCTCAGTCACAGTTCAGTCTTGTGAGTGCTGTGAGAGGCACACAAGGGTGCTACAGAAACCCAGAGCCCTGGACCAGAGCAAGCTGGGAAGTAGGCTGGTGAGGGAGGGAGGAAGGGAAGGCTTCCAGAGAGGATGTCATTGGAGTGTCATCTTGAAAGATCAGAAGGAGCTAACCAAACAGATGGTAGGGCAAGGCAGCAAGAGAGGGAGGGGAGAGCAGTCCATAAGAAGCAAGCCATGGGGGCAAAGGCAGATCCCTCCGAGACACCCCACTTGAGGATAGCAAAATACCTGATTATAGAAGGCAGCATGCTGGAGTTCTGTCTGGCAGTAAGGAGGCCCAGCTTCTAGGCCCACTCTGCCATTAGTTGTCAACTGTGCATCAAAGAACCTTTCCAGGCCTTGATTTTTTTTCTAAAAAAGAAAAAAAAAAGGGCTTTAAACTTGAAAAGATCTCCTTTCACATAATAATCCTGTTTATCTCTAATACCTTGTAATTCTATGAAAAACAAGTAGTATTTAGTTGGGAGAAAACTGAGACTTACTTACTGATACTTTATATTCTCATCAGCGACCTCTTCTATGGTCAGTTGTTTGTTAGGCTACTACTAAAGCTCATTTGTGGATTTATTGTCCCTTTGGGTCAGAGAGCTCTGTTTTTTTTCAGTGAATACAGATTATTGGTATCTCCTTTGCACATAGTCTCCAGATGTGTGACAATGTTTACAAGACAAATGAGGCCAATTACTTCATGGTAATTACTGAATTACCACCCCCAGTGCTAGTTTTTCAAGAATGTTCTTCTTAGGTGTAAAGAATATATTTCTGCTGTTTATATTATCCTACTCAATAGCTCATACAGAATATTAAGTTCAGGTGACATCAGGGAGCAGGGCAGGGCGTAGGCAATGCTATAGGAATAAATTGGATAATTTGAAGGTGTCCCCAACTAACAGAATACATCCACCAAGACTAATATCACAGCAACACATGTATATAGAGGAGGAAATATAATTCCACATAACGAAGAATGATGGGCTTCTCAAGATATGGTACATGTGACTTAATAGGACATCTAAAATAAGTTGATAATGTGTCAGTAACAAAATATTCCAGAAAAAGGTAGCACAGTTGTCCTGCTGCCTGAAGACTAGTAGGTGGGTCATGAATGAGCCTCCATTCTCTGGAGCAGTTGGGGAAATGCTCCTGGAAGTGTTGGCATCTATTTTGGACTTCAACACCTTAGTGCAGGGTGGTGGGTTGGGGATGGTTAATAGGTACAAAAATATAGTGAGACAGAATGAACACAATCTAGTATTTGATAGCACAACAGGGTAACTACAGCCAACCAGGGTAACTACAGCCAACAACATTATGATACATTTAAAAATAACTAAAAGAGTATAATTGGATTGTAACACAAAGAAGGGATAAATGCTTGAGGTGATGGATACCCCATTTACTCTGATGTGATTATTATGCATGGAGGCCTGTATCAAAATATCTCATGTACCTTATAAATATATACACCAACTGTGTACCTGCAAAAATTAAAGTAACAAACATCAATCTAACAGGTCTATATTTGTATAGAAATATGTAGTATAGGAGGTGGAGCCAAGACAGCCAAATAGGAACAGCTCCAGTCTACAGCTCTCAGCATGAGCAACGCAGAAGACGGGTGATTTCTGCATTTCCAACTGAGGTACCGGGTTCATCTCACTGGGGAGTGCCGGACAGTGGGTGCAGTGCACCATGTGTGAGCCAAAGCAGGGCAAGGCATTGCCTCACCCAGGAAGCGCAAGGGGGCAGGGAATTCCCTTTCCTAGTCAAAGAAAGGGGTGACAGACAGCACCTGGAAAATCGGGTCACTCCCACCCTAATACTGTGCTTTTCCAATGGGCTTAACAAACGGCACACCAGGAGATTATATTCTGCACCTGGCTTGGAGGGTCCTATGCCCACAGAACCTCACTCATTGCTAGCACAGCAGTCTGAGATCAAACTGCAAGGTGGCAGCAAGGCTGGAGGAGGGGTGCCCGCCATTGCTGAGGCTTCAGCAGGTAAACAAAGCAGCTGGGAAGCTCGAACTGGGTAGAGCCCACCACAGCTCAAGGAGGCCTGCGTGCCTTCCTGCCTGCCTCTGTAGGCTCCACCTGTTGGGGCAGGGCACAGACAAACAAAAGGCAGCAATATCCTCTGCAGACTTAAATGTCCCTGTCTGACAGCTTTGAAGAGAATAGTGGTTCTCCCAGTATGCAGCCTGAGATCTGAGAATGGGCAGACTGCCTCCTCAAGTGGGTCCCTGACCCCCGAGTAGCCTAAATGGGAGGCACCCTCCCAGTAGGGGTGGACTGACACCTCACACAGCCGGGTACTCCTCTGAGACAAAACTTCCAGAGGGACAATCAGGCAGCTGCATTTGCAGTTCACCAATATCCGCTGTTCTGCAGCCTCCACTGCTGATACCCAGGCAAACAGGGTCTGGAGTGGACCTCCAGCAAACTCCAAAAGACCTGCAGCTGAGGGTCCTGACTGTTAGAAGGAAAACTAACAAACAGAAAGGACATCCACACCAAAAACCCATCTGTACATCACCATCATCAAAGACCGAAGGTAGATAAAACCACAGAGATGGGGAAAAAACAGCAGAAAAACCAGAAACTCTAAAAATCAGAGCACCTCTCCTCCTCCAAAGGAGCACAGCTCCTCACCAGCAATGGAACAAAGCTGGACAGAGAATGACTTTGACGAGTTGAGAGAAGAAGGCTTCAGAAGATCAAACTACTCCAAGCTAAAGAAGGAAGTTCGAACCAATGGCAAAGAAGTTAAAAACCTTGAAAAAAATTAATTAGACAAATGGATAACTAGAATAACCAATGCAGAGAAGTCCTTAAAGGACCTGATGGAGCTGAAAACCACAGCACGAGAACTACATGACAAATGCACAAGCCTCAGTAGCCAATGCGATCAACTGGAAGAAAGGGTATCAGCGATGGACAATGAAATGAATGAAATGCAGCGAGAAGTTTAGAGAAAAAAGAATAACAAGAAACAAACAAAGCCTCCAAGAAATATGGGACTATGTGAAAACAAGAAATATGGGACTATGAAAAGACCAAATCTATGTCTGATTGGTGTACCTGAAAGTGACAGGAAGAATGGAACCAAGTTGGAAAACACTCTGCAGGATACTATCTAGGAGAACTTTCCCAACCTAGCAAGTCAGGCCAGCATTCAAATTCAGGAAATACAGAGAACACCACAAAGATACTCCTCGAGAAGAGCAACTCCAAGACACATGATTGTCAGATTCACCAAAGCTGAAATGAAGGAAAAAATGTTAAGGGCAGCCAGAGAGAAAGATGGGGTTACCCACAAAGGGAAGCCCATCAGACTAACAGCAGATCTCTTGGGAGAAACTCTACAAGCCAGAAGAGGGTGGGGGCCAATATTCAGTATTCTTCAAGAAAAGAATTTTCAACCCAGAACTTCATATCCAGCCAAACTAAGCTTCATAAGTGAAGGAGAAATAAAATCCTTTACAGACAAGCAAATGCTGAGAGATTTTGTCACCACCAGACCTGCCCTAAAAGAGCTCCTGAAAGAAGCACTAAACATGGAAAGGAACAACCAGTACCAGCCACTGCAAAAACATGCCAAATGGTAAAGACCATAAAGGCTAGGAAGAAACTGCATCAACTAATGAGGAAAATAACCAGCTAATATCATAATGACAGGATCAAACTCACACATAACAATACTAACCTTAAATGTAAATGGGCTAAATGCTCCAATTAAAAGACACAGACTGGCAAATTGGATAAAGAGTCAAGACCCATCAGTGTGCTGTATTCAGGAAACCCATCTCACGTGCAGAGACACACATAGGCTCAAAATAAAGGGTTGGAGGAAGATCTATCAAGCAAATGGAAAACAAAGGCAGTGGTTGCAATCCTAGTCTCTGATAAAACAGACTTTAAACCAACAAAGATCAGAAGAGACAAAGAAGGCCATTACATAATAGTAAAGGGATCAATTCAACAAGAAGAACTAACCTAAATATATATGCACCCAATACAGGAGCACCCAGATTCATAAAGCAAGTCCTTAGTGACCTGCAAAGAGACTTAGACTCCCACACAATAATAATGGGAGACTTTAACACCCCACTGTCAACATTAGACAGATCCATGAGACAGAAAGTTAACAAAGATATCCAGGAATTGAACTCAGCTCTGCACGAAGCGGACCTAATAGAGATCTACAGAACTCTCCACCCCAAATCAACAGAATATACATTCTTCTCAGCACCGCATTGCACTTATTCCAAAATTGACCACATAGTTGGAAGTAAAGCACTCCTCAGCAAATGTAAAAGAACAGAAATTATAACAAACTGTCTCTCAGACCACAGTGCAATCAAACTAGAACTCAGGATTAAGAAACTCACTCAAAACCACTCAACTACATGGAAACTGAACAACCTGCTCCTGAATGACTACTGGGTACATAACAAAATGAAGGCAGAAATAAAGATGTTCTTTGAAACCAACGAGAACAAAGACACAACATACCAGAATCTCTGGGACACATTTAAAGCAGTGTGTGGAGGGAAATTTATAGCACTAAATACCCACAAGAGAAAGCAGGAAAGATCTAAAATTGACACCCTAACATCACAATTAAAAGAGCTAGAGAAGCAAGAGCAAACACATTCAAAAGCTAGCAGAAGGCAAGAAATAACTAAGATCAGAGCAGAACTGAAGGAAATAGAGACACAAAAAACCCTTCAAAAAAATCAATGAATCCAGGAGCTGGTTTTTTGAAAAGATCAACAAAATTGATAGACCACTAGCAAGACTAATAAAGAAGAAAAGACAGAAGAATCAAACAGATGCAATAAAAAATGACAAAGGGGATATCACCATCAATCCCACAGAAATACAAACTACCATCAGAGACTACTATAAACACGTCTATGCAAATAAACTAGAAACTAATCTAGAAGAAATGGATAAATTCCTGGAGACATACACGCTCCCAAGACTAAACCAGGAAGAAGCTGAATGTCTGAACAGACCAATAACAGGCTCTGAAATTGAGGCAATAATTAATAGCTTACCAACCAAAAAAAGTCCAGGACCAGATGGATTCATAGCCGAATTCTACCAGAGGTACAAGGAGGAACTGGTACCATTCCTTCTGAAACGATTCCAATCAATAGAAAAAGAGGGAATCCTCCCTAACTCATTTTATGAGGCCAGCATCATCCTGATACCAAAGCCTGGCAGAGACACAACAAAAAGAATTTTAGACCAGTATCCTTGATGAACATTGATGCAAAAATCCTCAATAAAATACTGGCAAACCGAATCCAGCAACACATCACAAAGCTTATCCACCATGATCAAGTGGGCTTCATCCCTGGGATGCAAGGCTGGTTCAACATACGCAAATCAATCAATGTAATCCAGCATATAAACAGAACCAAAGACAAAAACCACATGATTATCTCAATAGATGCAGAAAAGGCCTTTGACAAAATTCAACAACCCTTCATGCTAAAAACTCTCAATAAATTAGGTATTGATGGGACGTATTTCAAAATAATAAGAGCTATCTATGACAAACCCACAGCCAATATCATACTGAATGGGCAAAAACTGGAAACATTCCCTTTGAAAACTGGCACAAGACAGGGATGCCCTCTCTCACCACTCCTATTCAACATAGTGTTGGAAGTTCTGGCCAGGGCAGTCAGGCAGGAGAAGGAAATAAAGGGCATTCGATTAGGAAAAGAGGAAGTCAAATTGTCCCTGTTTGCAGATGACATGATTGTATATTCAGAAAACCCCACTGTCTCAGCCCAAAATCTCCTTAAGCTGATAAGCAACTTCAGCAAAGTCTCAGGATACAAAATCAGCATGCACAAATCACAAGCATTCTTATACACCAGTAACAGACAGAGAGGCAAATCATGAGTGAACTCCCATTCACAATTGCTTCAAAGAGAATAAAATACCTAGGAATCCAACTTACAAGGGATGTGAAGGACCTCTTCAAGGAGAACTACAAACCACTGCTCAAGGAAATAAAAGAGGATACAAACAAATGGAAGAACATTCCATGCTCATGGGTAGGAAGAATCAATTGCGTGAAAATGGCCATACTGCCCAAGGTAATTTATAGATTCAATGCCATCCCCATCAAGCTACCAATGACTTTCTTCACAGAATTGGAAAAAAGTACTTTAAAGTTCATATGGAACCAAAAAAGAGCCCACATTGCCAAATCAATCCTAAGCCAAAAGAACAAAGCTGGAGGCATCACACTACCTGACTTCAAACTATACTACAAGGCTACACTAACCAAAACAGCATGGTACTGGTACCAAAACAATATAGACCAATGGAACAGAACAGAGGTCTCAGAAATAATGCCACATATCTACAAATATCTGATCTTTGACAAACCTGACAAAAACAAGCAATGGGGAAAGGATTCCCTATTTAATAAATGGTGCTGGGAAAACTGGCTAGCCATGTGTAGAAAGCTGAAACTGGATCCCTTCCTTACACCTTATACAAAAATTAATTCAAGATGGATTAAAGACTTACATGTTAGACCTAAAACCATAAAAACCCTAGAAAAACCTAGGCAGTACCATTCAGGACATAGGCATGGGCAAGGACTTCATGTCTAAAACACCAAAAGCAATGGCAACAAAAGCCAAAATTGACAAATGGGATCTAATTAAACTTAAGAGCTTCTGCACAGCAAAAGAAACTACCATCAGAGTGAACAGGCAACCTACAGAATGGGAGAAAATTTTTGCAACTTACTCGACAAAGGGCTAATATCCAGAATCTACAATGAACTCAAACAAATTTACAAGAAAAAAAACAACCCCATCAACAAGTGGGTGAAGGATATAAACAGACACTTCTCAAAAGACATTTATGCAGCCAAAAAAACACATGAAAAGATGCTCATCATCACTGGCCATCAGAGAAATGCAAATCAAAACCACAAGGAGATACCATCTCACACCAGTTAGAATGGCAATCATTAAAAAGTCAGGAAACAACAGGTGCTGGAGAGGATGTGGAGAAATAGGAACACTTTTACACTGTTGGTGGGACTGTAAACTAGTTCAACCATTGTGGAAGTCAGTGTGGTGATTCCTCAGGGATCTAGAACTAGAAATACCATTTGACCCAGCCATCCCATTACTGGGTATATACCCAAAGGATTATAAATCATGCTGCTATAAAGACACATGCACACATATGTTTATTGCGGCACTATTCACAATAGCAAAGACTTGGAACCAACCCAATGTCCAACAAAGATAGACTGGATTAAGAAAATGTGGCACATATACACCATGGAATACTATGCAGCCATAAAAAATGATGAGTTCATGTCCTTTGTAGGGACATGGATGAAGCTGGAAACCATCATTCTGAGCAAACTATCGCAAGGACAAAAAACCAAGCACCACATGTTCTCACTCATAAGTGGGAATTGAACAATGAGAACACATGGACACAGGAAGGGGAACATCACACTCGGGGGACTGTTGTGGGGTGGGGGTAGGGGGGAGGGATAGCATTAGGAGATATACCTAATGCTAAATGACGAGGTAATGGGTGCAGCACACCAACATGGCACATGTATACATATGTAACAAACCTGCACGTTGTGCACATGTACCCTAAAACTTAAAGTATAATAAAATTTTAAAAAATTATACTTAATTTAAAAAATAAAATTGATATCTGTAAAACAACAACAAAAAACTTAGTAGGATTTTGAAAACTGAACAGTTCCTGAATGCCTGCTTTGTGTGAGGCAACATGCTACAGCCTTTACACCCGTGTCTTATCAGAGGAGGGCTCAGGAAGAGAAACCACTGGAGAAAAAAGGATGATGACAAAAAGGGTAAAGCAACTTTGAATATTTTACCAAGAGGATAAAAGGGTAGGAGTCTGACAGTAACCTTGATGTATATGAAAGTGCATGGTGATTCTTTCCCATTTTTTCTTTCTTTTTTATTTTTTATAACTAGAGATGGGGTCTTGCTTTGTGGGCCAGGCTGGTCTCCAACTCCTGATCTCAAGCCTGATCTCTGGCCTCGGCCTCCCAAAGTGCTGGGATTGCAGGCATGGGCCACCGTGCCCAGCCTCTTCCCTATTGTATAAAATAAAGGGAACTAAGGGGAAATTTGCTTTAAAAGGAAGCTGGACAACTGAGGGTTATTAACTATTGAAACAATATATCAAACATGAATTGTGGAATATTTCATGAGGGTGCTATTTAAAAATAGGTATGCATTTGTTTGCCCTGGAGTAGGAATTGGAAAAATAGATAATATGATTGGGTTTCTTTTAACTAAATTATGTAATGTCTAATTCAAAAAGCACTTGTCCCTTGGAGAAAGCACTATTGTTTTTCTGTGCACTCAGAAAGTCTACAGGTAACTCCTGTGAATACAGCTCTAACTTGACAATCTCCAAGAAAGCTGTGAGATTCCCAAGTAAGCAACTATAATATTCCATTTTGCAGATTTGTGTCTGCGTTTTTGTTTGTTAAATTTTTGATGTTTCCTGTAGAAAACTCAGTATAAAAAAAATTTAACTCTATCCAATTAATACTGTCTCTGATGTTGAAAAATGAAATTCTAAATTCCTATGGGCAAAGTTTTAACTATCAAAATTATAAATTACAGGATACTGTGAAGCTTTTCAGTATCTCACTTTATGGATATCTCTTAAATTCTATCACACCCAGCCTCTCTGATGATGAATTTGTCTGGATTGTTTTATCGTTGCTAGTGTTGTTAGTGTTGTTTTTAATGTAGAGAGAAATTTCTGTCAAAAATGTGGGACAAAAATTTAAATTCCTTCAAGTTCTTTTTCCAGGCAGTCTTCTAAAGAAAGCTGTTTTTTTTTTTTGTTCTCCAACAGCTAAATTTAGAGTTTCAACCCTTCTGCCTGTTGAGTAAATAGCTTTCCATGAATTAAAACTAAATCCCTTCCCCAGAACATCTTTCTGGAGGAAGAGCATTTTGTCCTAACACTGTGTCTTCGGTTTCCCCTGCAACATCTAAAAACCTCAGAAGCAGTTTTAGAAGCAGCATATTTGCCTCCTGCTACTGTAATAATTGCAGTAACATTCTTGGGTTCTCTGCATGGCTTAGCAATGATTAGATTTTTACTGGAGGCTGCTTGAATTTTTTTTTCTTGTTATTAATTCCTCTGTGTTTTTTTGTTTTTGAAAAAAAAAAAGTCAAAGAATAACAATGGAATACCAACATTTCTGCTGTTTTCTAGCTTTATAAGGAGATTGTCTATTTACAAAAGGAGCACCCAGTGAATTGGCACAAGAACTATGCCATCGCCTGTGAGCGGATGCTGCGTCTTCAGGCAAGAGATGCAGATCCTGAAGTGCTGTTATCGGAAACCATCAGACATTTCCGTCTGTACTCTCAGAAAGCACCGAATGACCCACAGCAAGCTGATATTTTAGGTGCTCTAAAGCACCTAAGAAAAGAACTGCAAAGTCTGAGAAATAGGAAAAATGTCTGAGACAGCAAAATATGAAAAACCTGCTCATCGTTCAGCTTCCAAAATTCTGAAGTCTGGAAGTTTTTCCTTCAAGAAAAGAAACTGCATAAAAAATTTAAAACTAAGTCATCTCCCAGATATAAGTATCATGGTCCAGCAGTACTGTTTAATGGGGTATTCAGTGACTAAGGTCTGCTATTTATGCAAAATTCTGTTTATCCCGTGTTACCAAATTACCATTTCAGTGAGAAGCTTTTGAAAAGTCTTCTGACTTCCAGTCTTTCACCAGATGACTGCACTGGATTAGATTCTAGAAGAGAATGAACCATTTTCATATAACTAAATATTGGTCATGAACTGTGTAAGGGCCATGCTTATTGGGATCAGTTTTAAAGTTAAATTCTTTTGATATTAATACCAGACCAAAGACATTTTCTGTTTCCTGGAAAAAAAAAATGAATCATGTTAGGCTTTAGGTGAGAGTACATTTTTTACAAAGTAGCTATAGTTGTTACATAGTCTTACACTTCAAGCTAAACACCAAATGGGTGATATTTTGAAAAAAGTTTGTGTTTTACTGTCTTAGATCGTTCTTGGAAATCACTAAAAAAAAAAAAAGTTAATTTGATGTTTGCTTATTTCAGTTGCAGAAACTGGCGAGTAAAAAAGATTTTGCATTTACTTAATTAATTTTATATTTATGTTTTATTTCTATTTGGACTCAGAGATCTAGACCCAATAATTAGTAGGCTCCTGCTGCCAAAATGCAAAGGGGAAAAAAAGGCAGGGATTGGGGGGGATGGGGAAGTGGCCCAATAAATTCATTTCTGTTACAAGCATCTTTTATACATATTACTAAAGAGAACATAGTAAGAAATGCAAATAATAGTTCTTTATTTTATTATGACAGTTAATTAATAGCAACCTGTTTTAATGAATAAAGTCACTCAGAGTCCTTCAGCACTTCCTAAGTAGAGGCCAGAATCTGTAGGGCTTCTTTTCCCCCCAATTGTATAGCTCCTAGACTCCAAGCACTATATAGGCCCCTGTATAGAAATGCTCACTAATGAAGAGGGAGGGCTAGAAGCTTGTCTGCATTCAAAGATCACTGGTGAGTCATTCAGCAAGAAAAGGCCCCTTACCAGGAATAGTCACAGTTCCGTGGCATTGTACTAGCAAAAGGGTCTGATCAAAGGTCTCCTGTGGAGCTTGCATGGTTCCCTTTCATACTACGACCATAATTAAAACCACTAATTCTCTTTTAAAATGCTGCAGGATGCCATGTAGGCATCTGTCTGGAGTGTCCTTTGTGATGTCATAAGCTGTTAAGGACCAGTGCCGAGGGCTTTTGAGTGAAATGCCAGTCATGAAGGTGCTTCAAGACAAGGGTGCCTCTAAAAGCTTGACAGGGCCTTGACTGCACAATTCGAGCTGAATTTGCCCCTTGTCAGCTGCCAGTAAATAAATCTCAAAGGGGGAAAAGCTGAAGTTTCATTACCTGATCCATGGGGCTTTGTTGGTTTTGGCATCACACAGGGGAAGCTCTTGCCCCTCCATTCTCTGGATTTGAAGATGTCCATTGGAGCCTGCAGTGCCTGGACAGGGTTCAGAGCGGAACCTTTTGAAGAGTGTCAATAGTTGTAACAGTTCAGCTGTTAGGAAGACAAATAAATGGAGGAGCTCATTAATCCGCTTTTGGCTCTCAGTGCCTTTTGCCCTTTTATCACAGCCTTATTAGGCTCCTACTCATCTTGAACCAGAAAAAAATGAATTGAAGTTGTTGAGTACTAATTGGCAAAGACTTTTAATCATGGGCCAAGAACTTTCACTGACTTGAAAGTAACTTCTCCACAGGGAAGGACCAAAAACCTGGTTTACCTTAAAACAAAAACCTGTTGGAGTTCAGCGTGGTGTAAAAATGTAAGGAAGCATTGATAAATTGTCTAAGTTTATCCATTTGAAAGAAATTGTGTAAGATTATGATATTCTCTTTTCTTTAAAAAAAAAAGTACAATAAAATTCAAACATTCCTTAGGAAAGCATTGTCTTTATTGGTTCAGAAAAGAGATTGCACATATGCGTGGTGGTTGTGTTTGTTTCTGAACATCTATACACAGATATGTGAATATTCATCTCTGCATCTACATACGCATGTGGTGTTTGAGGAACCTTATTAAAAGTTATATTTCCTATTAGTAGCCTTAAGAATGGCAAATGAAGACCTCTTTTTGAGACTGTCTGCTTGTAAAAATTTTTTAAATATGTGTCTGTACTATAGAGATATGTGTATGGCTGAATGTGCTTTGTGTATAGATTATTGTCAAATGGTACCTAGATTATTCTATATGTGTGCAACAGTGACTTTGGGCCACTCTCTCTTTGAGAAACCAATGATATGATGGCCCGGAGTAGATAGGATCATAATGATTTAAGTTTCTAAAAACCACTGGTAAATGAAAAACTAGTAAACTGAGCTGAGATTTAGGGATGTTGGGCTTCATTCCCAGATGAACTACTTTGGAGAATCCTTTCCTTTCTATTAGGTGAGGTTAAACAAGTTGCTTTCTTTTTCTTTCTCTTACTTTCCTTGGCTAGTGTACAGACTCCATAAAATCTGATAAAAGGGGTTTCCTGTAGTCTGACCCCCGACATTGAGGAGACTGTAATGGAGGTGACTTCTCATGCAAGATTTGGCCAGCGTTCTAGCAGTGTCCCGGGAGTGCCATGGTTTGGCAGGAAGACAGGAACCCCACAAGGCCAACTTCTGCCTGGACTTCGGCCTGAAGAGCCAGTGGGAGCCAGTGAAACTGTCTGACTCTCCACATGCGTCAGGGCCCTGCCGCCCTGGCACCAAGGCTGGCACGCACCAGAGGGCAAGTGGAGAAGCGGATGGTGGCTCCCATGTTATCTGACTAACCACTGGGTGGGCTACACTCCCTGTGCCCCCGCTGTTGCCTCTGATAGGAGTATGCTTGGTTCTTGGTATTGACTTGCCTTTTTTTGTTGTTTTTTAAAAGCACCCATTTTGTTCAATGCTTCTGTTCTGTTACTCAAAATGTAGCCAAAATAGAAGGGAATCAATTACTAGTGTATTATTTTGAAAGCTTCAAACAGAAATTGTGAAATGTTATTTCTGCTCATATTCTTAGTGTTTTCTCTTGGTAGAATCATAATGTTTAGCCTTTATGATATTTAAAACCCATTTTGAGTGTTAGGTTTATTTTTATGATACTCTGCCGGTAACTTTTAAGTCATCAGGCTAGGATATGAAGAGTAGTTTTTTAAGTTTATGTTTTAAAAGTGAAATATTGTGAATCTTTCATCATAGTTCTCATCAATATCCCTCAGAATTTTTAAATGTTAATGCTTTAATATTTAGGAAAAATTTTATACCAAAGTTGAAAAAAAATAGAATCCTGTTACTCCCGACTTCTGGTGTGTTTTATAAATGCATCAACACAGGATATTACTTAGAATTCTGTTCTAACTGGCTTCAAGTCTTATGGTTAGTTAAAGAAAACAACTTCAACCCAGTAAGAGATTCACATTTTGTTGTGAATGCAAAACCATTCTAATGCTGATACTCACAAACAAATAAGTAATGTTTCCAGGGATTCTGGGAACATCTAAAGGCCAAGATCTTGGCACAGCATTACAGAGCAAACAAGGAGCTAAAGCTTTAGCAGTGATCATATTCAATGAAGACATCATTGTCAGCACCCTCTCAAGGTCTGTTTGATTTGGATCAGCACAGACAGTATTTTTAAAACAGCCCCAGGAATAGTACAGTGTGCTTACTCAGCTATAGAAAATTAAACAGGAATATATCCTGAAAAAGGGGTTTTTCAGGAAAAAAAAAAATTCTGATTGCTCTTCAACAATGTAACATACATTTGATGGAAATTGTATGTACTAGAAAGATTAGCTCATGCCATATTGGAAAACAAAAAAAAGGTGGTGATGCCACATGGGAAGGACAAGTAGCGTTTCCAGCACTGTACATGTGAAGCCAACAATTATTGGCCTGAAAGTGGAGTTCTCTGACTCTTTGCTGCAGATCCAAAGTTAGATGTGAGGGTTAATTTTCAATACAAACATTGCGATGATATTACAAGGTTGAGAAAGTTACAATATAAAGGTCAAGACACAAAGGCACAATTATGGGGCTATACTCCTATCCCAGTGATCCAACCTCACAGAGTAACTGCAGAGTTGCAAGTCTTCTGGTACATAGTTGCCATTAGATGAGGATAAGTATAATAAAAGATACATAGAAATAAGCCAAATCTAAGGTTTAACCATTTCAAAACTTTAGCGTATAAGAAGTATAGGGTGAAGTACAATAGATGGAAATGGCATAAAATTTTTTAATCATTAAGTTCATAAACGTTGCAAACTAATAAATGGAGATTATGTCCTGTTTTTAAAATAACAAACCATAATCATCTTCTATTTAGAAGTGTTATCTGAAAGGGTATTTTTTGAAATGTAACCTTTTAAAGAAGGTACTTGATATTTCTCTCAGCTAAATGAAATATTCCCTTAGATAGTTGAACTGTTGAAGATATCTTTAATACCAGTGATGGTTGTTCACATATAAAAGTGTGTGTGATTAAAACTGAAAGGGGAACACTGCTTGGAAAATCACACCCAGTTTTCTCATCCTTGGATTATGGACCTAAGTGAATCACCCATTACCCTGGATCCTTGAGTATCAGCTAAGACACAGGAATTCAGGGCCGGGAGTGGTGGCTCATGCCTGTAATGCCAGCACTTTGGGAGGCTGAGGCGGGTGGACCGCTTGAGTCCGAGAGTTTGAGACCATCCTGGGCAACATGGTGAAACCTGGTCTCTACAAAAGAAATACAAAAATTAGCAGGGCAAGGTGGCATGCACCTGTGGTTCCAGCTACTTGAGAGGCTGAGGCAGGAGGGTCCCTTGAGCCTGGGAGGTGGAGGTTGAGGTGAGCTGTGATTGCACCACTGCACTCCAGCCTTGGTGACAGAGTGTCTCAAAAAAAAAAAAAAAAAAATTATTATAAAAACTCAAGAGCTTTTAAAAATTACTCTTGCAAAAGCTACAGAAACTTTAAAGAGGATTGTTTATAAATGGAAAATGATTCATTTATCAAAAAACTAGGGTTCCTTAGTCTGACAGGTGAAAGTTTTCAAAACAGTTCGTTCTTAAAAGCATAAAAAACTGAGTTCAATTATGCAGAGCTTAAAACAAGCAACTTCACTGATAGAGAATACTCGTACTTAGTGTTTGTTTTTACTTAGAGTGTCATAATTTTCCCCTAAAATTATAGCATATTCATTCAATATGTGGCTTGTATCTACACAGTTAAGTTTCTCTTTCAGTGATTAGAATTTTAGCCATTAACCTATGCAGTCGCCTGTATCCACCTGGAGGCAGTTCCTCCAGTTGCAGGATTGTGCTTATTTAAACTGATTGTCAAACTGTGGGTCATGAAGTCAATTGAGTGAGAATTGACCAGCTTTTTCATAATGAAATAGAATTAAAAACACCACCATGGGCCGGGCGCGGTGGCTCATGCCTGTAATCCCAGCACTTTGGGAGGCCAAGGCAGGTGGATCACCTGAGATGAGGAGTTCAAGACCAGCCTGGCCAACGTGGCGAAACCCCGTCTCTACTAAAAAATACAAAATTTAGCCAGGCATGGTGGCGGGCTCTGGAGCCTGGGCAACAGAGCAAGACTCTGTTTCAAAAAAAATAAAAAATAAAAAAATACCACAATGCATTCGAGGTAACAAAGGTAAGTATTGTTTCATGGAACCTTCAGTTTCATTTAAAATGTGTATGCACATATGCATGTGTGTATAACATATATGTCATATATGTGTGTATGTAAAGAAATTGATAAATGTGTGTAGAGTCAATATAAAATATACTTATTGTAGGTCATAGTAAAAAAATAAATTTGAAAGTCACTGGCTTAGAAGAACTTAACACCAGGCCAGGCACGGTGGCTCACACCCATAATTCCAGCCCTTTGAGAGGCCAATGCGGGTGGATCACTTGAGGTCAGGAGTTCGAGACCAGCCTGGGCAACATGGCAAAACCCCATCTCTACTAAAAATACAAAAATTAGCTGGGCGAGGTGGTGCGCACCTTTAATCTGAGCCACTCAGGAGGCTGCTGCTCGAGTTTTGCTTGAACCTAGGAAGCAGAGGTTGCAAGTGAGCCGAGATCGCGCCACTGCACTCCAGCCTGGGTGACAGAGCAAGACTCTTGTCTCCAAAACAAAAAAAAAAAAAACAGGACATCAAAAGGGTTAGTAAGGGATCATCCAGTGTTAACTATCACAGCTAATCTAGTTTAATAAATGAAGAAACTGACATCTATACTAAACAAGTGACTTGATTACTGTCACACAGCTAGGTAGTAACAGCACTGAGACTAGGACACAAGCTTCTTGGCTCAACCTGGTACAGTTTCCCTACTCCAGTCCCAATTACATGAAACCAGCTATATTCCACCATCACCTCTGGCACATTGAAGTCCTCAAATAATGCAGCCATTTTAAAATTAGCATAAACTTGTCTAGGGGTAAATGGTGTGTGAAATCAACTATGTTGCAGGAAATTAAAAGCTATACGTTGAACTTTCCCCCTCTCCTTCAACCCTCCAGAATGTAATTTTTTTCCCCTTTCCTTTTAGACGTGGATAGTTATATCCCTGGCTTTTGACTGAAAATTTTCTTGCCCTTTCTGGACTTCGGAATATATACCCAAATTAAAAGGTTTTAGTGTGACAAGAAAAAAGTCACTTTGAAATCCAGGAACTTATTAGCATAAATTACATTCCAGCTGAATCAGCTGCTAGAAGCTCAATTTGAAAAATGTTGCACTAGTTTATATATTTCTTACCCCTCTTAAGTAGACATCAAAACACAATCATATTTCTGTATTTTAGAGAAAGAAATATGTCCCAGCTCCACTGGAATTAGACTTTACCTCCCAGAAACGGACCCCACCTACCACTGGTATTCATGATTCTTCTATTTGGTTCAGCCACTTTTTAAAAAATATTGAATGTCAGGCGGGTGCAGTGGCTCACACCTGTAATCCCAGCACTTTGGTAGGCCGAGGCAGGCGGATCACCTGAGGTCAGGAGTTCGAGACCAGCCTGAGGTGGTGAAACCCCATCTCTACTAAAAATACAAAGTTAGCCAGGTGTTGTGGCACAAATCTGTAATCTCAGCTACTTGGGAGGCTGAGGCAGGAGAATCGCTTGAACCCGGGAGGCAGAGGTTGCAGTGAGCCAAGATCGCGCCATTGCACTCCAACCTGGGCAACAAGAGCGAAACTCCATCTCAAAAAAAAAAAAAAAAAAAAAAAAAAAATGTTAAATGTCCACAAGGCAGAAACCTCTTTGAAGACCTAAGTGTCTGATATCCTAAATATGAACCTTATGTATTCAGTGTGTAGGTGACAATGATTTCTCCCAAATTTGACTCTTGGTTTATATGTATGATTTGTGAAAATATAGACTGTAGTAAAAATAGTAATAATAGCTGTTATTATAACAATCTTGGTGACATTTGTTAGCCACTTAATTGCTTCACCTAAATTTCCTTCATTTACTCTCAGAATTAGAAGTAATTTGGCCCTGCCGGGCGTGGTGGCTCACTCCTGTAATCCCAGCACTTTGGGAGGCTGAGGCGGGTGGATCATGAGATCAGGAGTTCGAGACCAGCCTGGCCAAGGTGGTGAAACCCCGTCTCTACTAAAAATACAAAAATTAGCCAGGCAAGGTGGCAGATGCCTGTAATCCCAGCTACTCCGAAGGCTGAGGCAGAAGAATTGCTTAAACCCGGGAGGCGGAGGCTGCAGTGAGCTATCACGCCACTGCACTCTAGCCTGGGCAACCGAGCAAGACTCCATCTCAAAAAAAAAAAAAAAAAGTAATTTGGCCCTTCATCTTCGGAGGCAAATAAGTTTGGCACCCCTCAAGAAACGAAAATCCCCTTCTGATGTGACCACATAAGCCATGCTGCATGCACTTTGCGCGTTTGATAAAGATATATAGATTACCTATTTCACAGGGTTCGCTTTTACTAGGACAAAACTTTTCTCTTTCACTTGTCCCTTGCTGAACAAATAAATAGTTGATTTAAAGAGCCTAAACCTGGTAAATATGTGAGCTCATTTGTACCAAGAAAATGTGTGAACAAGACTAGAACTTTATTTTATGGGATCCCATGAAATCCCTTAATAATTGTGCTTATATTGTCATGTGAAACGTGACCTGCTTATAATTTGGATACAATAGAGATTCTATTTTCCTATTTTATTATCATGCACCTGGATGAAGCCAACACCTTAACACCTTCATCTCATCTCTTAAAGCTCCCATAGCCATGTGCTATCTCCTGTGGGAAGTCACTGTGACTTCCCTCCCAGGAAGAGGGGACAACTCTAGTTCATATTGCTTGCACAAAGAAGCACTTGGAAGGATGTGGGTCTGGAGGGTTCATTTTGCCCCTAAAAGAGCAAAGAGCAGAAACAGAGTTCTTTCCAGAAGATAGGATTTTTCTGGATTGCACCAGAAGCACTGTATAGTATAGTGATTAGACTCCCAGCTCTGCCACTTCCTCACTGTGTGACTTGGAGTAAGTTTTTAAAGTTCTGTGTGGGCCAAGCACAGTGATTCACACCTGTAATCTCACCACTTTGGGAGGCTGAGATGGAAGGATCGCTTGAGGCCAGGAGTTTGAGACCAGCCTGGGCAACACAGTTGAGACCTCATCTCTACAAAAAATTTTTAAAAATTGCCAAGCATGGTGTCGTGTGCCTGTGGTCCCAGCTACTCAGAAGGCTGAGGCGAGAGGATCGCTTGAACCCGGGAGGTTGAGGCTGCAGTGAGCTGTGTTTGTGCCACTGCACTCCAGCCTGGGGCAATATAGTGAGACCTTATCTCAAATAAATAAATAAATAAATAAAGCTCTGTGTGGCTTAATTTCCTTTTCTGTAGAATGGAAATATAATAGACTACCTCATGGTGCAGCTATAAAAATGAAAAAGGTTAATATTTATAAAGTGTATTGAACAGTGCCTATATAGACCAACTGCAAGTCATGTTGGCTGTTTTCATTAATATGTCAGTAAAAACAGTTCTTCTCTACTTCCTACTCAGTAAAATAAATGTTCAAAGCCTCCTGGTACTTTGCTTGTCTCTCTAGTATGTTTAAAAACGTCTTTACTAAATATGCATCTGGAAAATTTAAATAATTCAAATAAATTACAATGATAATTATAAATATAAAAACGTTATTTAAATTATGTGAATATCTGGGAATTAGAAGAGAGTAACCAAAAAGCACTAAGCAGTTGAAGAAATGAAATCAGTCCCATTAATAAGAAAAACACATCTCAATCTGTGCACACGCATGCACACACACAAGTAAAAATCGTGTGCACAATTCATTTTCACGAGACCCCATTACCATGACCGTCCTTCCCTCTTTCTACTGGTTTCCCCAAACCATGGCCCACCTGGAAGCAGGCATCTACATTATCTCCTCTTCTTCCCAAACTTAGATTTTACCATCTATATATTTGATCTTAGTCTATTGTCCCCTGCATTCTACCCCCCAGGGACTTCTCAGAGAACAGTCTCCTACCAGGACAGCTTCTGCAGGCGCTTGGAGGACTGGCGTAGGTCAGAAAGCTTGCAGTCCAGAGCACAGGGGCCCTGCTGGACCTTCAAAACCATCCTGGGGGATAGGGTCATAGATTGCTGAGCTGGGATGAGTGGAGTGGCCAAGAGTATGTTTTGTAAATGAGCACCCCATTTATTCACTTTTTTTTTTACTTTTTTAAAAATAGAGGTGAGGTCTTCTATGTTGCCCCGGCTGGTCATGAACTCCTGGGCTCAAGCAATCCTGTCACCTCAGCCTCCTAAAAGTGTTGGGATTACAGGCATGAGCCACCATGCCCATCCCATTCACTTACGTTTACTACATTTAATAAACATTTTTTGAGCTTCTATAATGTGCCAGGTCTGAATACGACGTTTTCAGAGGGGAACCAGACAAGGGCCCTGTCCCCGACAGAGCTTCCATTCCAGAAGGGGAGAAAGCCAAAATGCCAAACTAAAAATCTGCCCAAGGATCTTTGTTCACCACTACTACATTCTACCCAAACAAGGAATGAAACTTGCTTTCTCATTGTTAAAAGTGTTGCTTACGAAATGTTTACCACCACCCTCTCAACCCAAGTTAACAAGTTTCCCACCTGTTGAGATGTCTGCATTTCATTCTTGGGCTATCTGGAGCTTTGCTGAATCCACAAAGGGCTTCACTGGACCCACAAACGGTCATTAGACCACACTTTTATTTTGGCACATCTCTCCCCACCTTCTTTCCCACACCAACATGAGTAATTCTCTGCTTTCTTTGGCTACCCTTTATCCTTCTGCTGGTCTCAGCAACATTGGATTAAAAAAACATTCATGCTGTCTATCTGTGGCAAAGAAATATTCCCACCTCTCCCACTGCCACCCATAGTAACAGAGAAAGGAGGCGAGAGGTAATAAAAGTGTGTCACCTGCTCTTAAGCTTGGTGCCTAACTCTCCTTAAAGCCACCACGCAAATTTCTAGAGGGATGTTGATCTCATTCAGGCTCTTATCCCACACCCTTGCTTAGCTTCATTGCTACAAAAGCAGGCCCTGCTTCCACAAAGCAATGAAGGGAATCATTGCTTCTGTAGCATTCTTGCCAAAAATATATAATCTCAATTTAATTTTTTTGTTTGTTTGTTTTTGAGATGGAGTCTTACTCTGTTGCCCAGGCTGGAGTGCAATGGGGCAATCTCAGCTGACTGCATACTCCACCTCCCAGGTTCAAGTGATTCTTGTGCCTCAGCCTCCTGAGTAGCTGGGAATACAGGTGCCCGCCACCATGCCCGGCTAATTTTGTATTTTTTGTAGAGACGGGGTTTCACCATGTTAGCCAGGCTGGTCTCAAACTCCTGACCACTCGCCTCAGCCTCCCAAAGTGCTGGGATTACAGGTCTGAGCCACCGCACCCGGCCTTAATTTAATCATGAGAAAACATTTCACAAATCCAAATTGAGAGACTGTCTACAAAATACCTGACCAGGACTCTTCAAACATGTTAAGGTTATGAAAGACAAGGAAAGACAAGAGAGTGTCCTGAATTTAAGGAAACTAAAGAGACATGACAGCTATGTGCAGTGTGGGATCCTGGATTCAATCCTAGGACAGAAAAATACTATTACTATTATTAGACAAAGTCTCACTCTGCCACCCAGGCTGGAGTGCAATGGTATGATCTCAGCTCACCGCAACCTCCGCCTCCCAGGTTCAAGCGATTCTCCTGCCTCAGCCTCCCAAGTAGCTGGAATTACAGGCATGTGCCACCATGCCCAGCTAATTTTGTATTTTTAGTAGAGACAGGGTTTCTCCATGTTGGCCAGGCTGGTCTTGAACTCCCGACCTCAGTTGATCCGCCCACCTCAGCCTCCCAAAGTGCTGGGATTACAGGCATGAGCCATCACGCCCAACAAAAAATACTATTATTAGAAATAGTGGTGAAATCTGAATTTAAATCTATAGTGTGGTTAATAGTAAGTATTGCACTAATGTCCCAGCTTCTTGGTTTTGATCATTATGTAAGATATTAAGGTGAGTGAAGTTGGATGAAGGGTAGACAGGAACTTTCTGAACTATTGTTGCAACTTTTCTGTAATTCTAAAACTATTTAGGAATAAAAGAGGGTTTTTGTTTTTTGGTTTTTGTTTTTTTTTTTTTTTAGTTTTAAAAGCAAGGCACTCCTTTTCCCCCTTTACTCCTTGTCATTCTTTGTTAACTACTGCTTTAGGCCTCAAGACAAACAATAGATAGGACAGTGGTCTTTATGACTTGGGTGCACCAATGATCAAAGAGACACAATCCCTAAGGCCAAAGGCCACAGGCCTGCCACCAGCCTAGTCGTTAGGGTAGGTAGCTCTCGACCCTGGGCCTGAGCCTCTTCCTAGTAGCTGTCTAGGTGGACCTGGGTGAGAACTGGGCAGCCCCAGGGAGCCTGAAGCTCTGTTTTCAGCACCTTGGGAGGCTCCGGAGAGGCCGATGGGATTAAATTCCCCTCAAAGCCACTGGGCTCACACCCAGCTTGAAGACAGCAGGATCTAGTCGGGGATTATTCTTCCAGTCCGGGTTTCTCTCTTCAGGCAGCCACTACGGAGAAGAGGGAGTGGAGGCGAAGCACCCTTAATACCCTCATTCTTTCAAAAGATGAGTCAGGTTTTTGTAGCTTCATTAGCATTTGCAGATAAAAATACATTTTAAGTGGCATTATGCTAAGTAATTATTCTTAGAAGATGTGAAATTAAACACATTTTACTCAGCATGAAATTATTCCTGCCACGTACTGAGTTTTGTGACAGCTTGAGAGTTTGGACAGTGGGTTGCAAGAAGGGGAGAAGCAATCTATGTACTTAAAAAAAAAACCCAAAATATTTTACCAAAGGTAAGTCCTTGTAGCGAAATGATTTGGCTGGATGGAATATTAAACCTGCTACTATAAATTTCACGCCTTGCATTCCTAAAGCAGATGCAGAGTGATGATGCCAAAAATTAATTGGAAATAATGCGACTTGCCTTGTGTACTCTATCCAGTAGAGGGCATAGCAGATAAGCATTGTGTGTGTTGGTGACTTAGCAACTGATAAGGCTTGTTTGTAATTGCTTCTGTAAAGATATGTAGCAGCATGCTTGGATGCTTATTTACATTTAGGAATGTGGTTCGGAATAGGAGGTGTAGATTTATAACTTTGGTTTTGTCTGTCAATACGTGGGAGACTTTTGGTTGTTGCAAGCATTATATTTACCAATGCGCAATGTTAAATTGCTGGATTTAATTGTTACAGTACAGTGAATTATTCTATTATTTCTTACTTTTTTATCCCAAGGAAAATTCAAACTTTCCAGGCTTAAGGGCAGGATAAAATGGCTCTGAGCATGTCAACGTCTCAAGAGCACATTATTTTCTTATTGGATTGTATTAACTTTACAGATGGAAATTTGAAGGAGAATTAGAAGGCTTAGAGATGGGGAATTTGGAGAAGAAAAGAATAATGTCCTAAGATTTCTGGAGGGGCTAACTGGTAAGTCATTTTGAAAGCTGCTGATGCTAATTCTCATAGCAAAAGACATAGCAGATCCTAAAATTATCAGGAATGAGGCATGAGGCACAGAATTGCTAAGAAGGAAGTGAATCTTGTGTCACACTAAGAATTGCCAAAGGATTATTCAGGTTCTGTCTCTGTCTCGCTCTCTCTTCTCTACCTGTTACAATTGGCACAGATTTTTCTTATGTAAACTCTTAATAGTGCACCTGTCCACAAGCTGGGTGAAGGGTGTTTGGCAGTTCCACTTAGTTTAAAAACCAAACACAGTCTCCTGCCTCAAATACACACATTTGTTCTGAAGGGACAGCAACATGACATATGTAAACAAACATTCATCCATAGGCACTCTGGTTTGCAGCTGAAGGAAAAGCTGGAGGCGGGAGTGGGGACACAACATAATAAAACCAAACAGACAACCATGCTAAAGAAAAAGGCACCAGCCTCCCTCCCACTACTGCCCAGGTGTCAGGTGGCTGCAGGAGGCAACCACAGACTGTCCTGTCCACGCTGGAGGATCCAACCCTGGGCCAGGTACCAGCCTAGTGGGTCTGGAATCCTGGTGGTCGCCACCCCTCCTCCTCCTAGACTCTGCCTCTCCTCTGGAATTCTTCCCCACAATTGTGGATGCTTCCATAGGATCTGAGGTGAGAGGCGTGGGAAAATGAAAAAGGGGAGAAACCACAAAGCCTGCTTCTGGGTAGGGAACCAGGAATGCCCTCGGTGGTGGAGCAGGAGACTTGCTTTTCACTCTGTGCCCTTGTTAGCTCTGAATTTTGTACCATGAGCAAGTGTTACCCAATCTTAAAATGGATAGACAGACAGGTAGTTGGTGAAAGAAAGAAAAAGCAAGAAAGAAGGAAGGAAGGGAGGGAAGGAGGAAAGGAGGGAGGGAGGGAGGGAGGGAGGGAAAGAGGGAAGGGAGGAAGGGAGGGAAGGAAGGAATTAAAAAAGGGAAAATTGTAGTGAAACAGGACCTGGCCTAAAGGAATGACTAGCCAATTCCTAGACTTGTTCTCATGGTCAGCCTCTCCCTGCCATGTGAGTGAGTTTCCCCTCTTGTCATAGAGGAATAATTGTCCTTTCTCACAGGCATATGTTCTATTGCAGATTTTGTTATCTTTTCTCCTTTGAAACTTGAGTTTGTTGTTTATATGACACTGTTACTTTACAAATGGCCTTCTCCCGTCCACACATGTGTATGTGGGGGTGGAGTGGGAGTCCTTACTCCTGTGAGAAGGGGGAGAAAGAGGCAGAGAATGGAGAGAGGCTATTCATCATTAGAAAGGTTGTGACAGAAGAATTAGACCTTCGGGATTATAAGTTTAGGTCTCAGGGTGAGTTCAAGTTTAGTGTGAAAGTTAGGGCCCCCAGAGGTCTGCCTTTCATTCACTCCTCAAAATCTGATTGCTGTTACTGCCACAGAAAGTTGTACATGCATCCCAAGTGGCAAGAGCCATGATTTGGCTTCTACATAGCTGCAGCTATCAAGAGAAAGTCTAAATCTTGTCTGTCTTCTCAGATAGCTACTTTTCTTGTCTAAACATCTTTCCGCCAGAAGCTATATTTAATATTGCAAACAACTACTCCCGTGGTATATAGGTCATGGATTTATTGCCAAGAACAGGATCCATTCCACCTAGTTTAAGCATTAAATGGCTGACAGAATTATGAGGAGGGTGAAGAGACAGGCTCTAGGTTTAACCTTCCCAAAGATGACTCTCAAAACTTCTCTGCAGAGCCCGGCCACCAACAGAACTGCGGCCTTTCGCAACCAGGAAGCTCCCTAACAAGATGGGAAGCTACTGCTTTTGTCCCAAACTCCAGAACCATGACACCCCTGCTATATCTCAGAAGCCACCGTGGTCAGGAAGTTACTGCAACTGCTACAACCAGAACCACCCCTGTGCCCACTAGAATCCACACAAATTAAATGGCTTCCCCAACACTGCCTTTCAACACACACACAAAGCTACTGATTAGACACAGGGAAACTATCTCCGACTAGGCTTGCCCGCAAAAACAATAGAAAATGTAGGCTGTGTCTCACTGCCACCTTCTGAATCCCACATGAGTGTATCTGAATGGCCGAACTACGCTCACATCCAGAACCCTCAGTGCAAGGGCATTTGGGAAGCACAGTTTTAATTGTCCAGCCTCTGCAGTACACAAAACATTCTAGAAGGCAGTTGCATTGGCCGGGCACCCTGGCTACGCCTGTAATCCCAGCACTTTGGGAGGCCAACGCGGGCGGATCAGCTGAGGTTGGGAGTTCGAGACCAGCCTGACCAAGATGGAGAAACCCCCGTCTCTACTAAAAATACAAAATTAGCCAGGCGTGGTGGCACATGCCTGTAATCCCAGCTACTCAGGAAGACTGAGGCAGGAGAATCGCTTGAACCCAGGAGGCGGAGGTTGGGGTGAGCCAAGATCGCGCTGTTGCCCACCAGTCTGAGCAACAAGAGCAAAACTCTGTCTCAAAAAAAAAGCAGTTGCATTAAATGTTGAGCATCGATACACTGTATTTGTCACTCTTTAACAATTACAGAAATGAAAACATGGGTTTTATTTTGAAAAAGCATATTTACAAACTGTACACAAGAGTAAATTTTTTTTAACCAAAAACAAATGCACATTCAGAAGTGGGTAAATTAGTAATGCAGGAATTTTCAACAAGGGTTTATGGGTACTGAGATCAACCCAAAATAATGAGGGTTAAGAATTATATATTTCTGGCCGGGCATGGTGGCTCAAGCCTGTAATCTCAGCACTTTGGGAGGCTGAGGCAGCAGGAAGATCATCTGAGATCAGGAGTTTGAGACCAGCCTGGCCAACATGTATCTATTTATGTGACATCCAAAGCACACTAATCAGTACATTGATTAGAACATGAGGAAGAGCAAAAGATAGCCAGTTTTACCCAATAATGACATGAAAGCTAGGTGAAGACTTCTCTGAAGACTAGAACTGAGAAGGGAAACTATTATTTCATCAATAGAATGGGTTAAAGATGCAGCGTGATCTTGCCAGTCTGCAGGAATTGGATCTGCATGCATGAGCAGTTGGAATCAGCATACTTCCAAAAAGATCAGAAGGCCTTCGTGTAGAAAAGTAATGCAAAACAGAAACCACAACATCTTCTGTTCTTTTTCGTCATTTGAGAAGCCATTCTAGGACTACTTGGGTGTGAGTGGAAGCACATCCTTGGGACACTGCCCAAAGGCAGAGTAGGAAGTATGAGAACTGGGACAGTTATTTGTGCTACAAGAAAAGAGCAGCTTACAATAACAATTTCTGGGAATTCAAAATCAAATGACCGGGGAGACTCCAAGACACACTCTTCCAAGGCTCTCAGAAGCTGGATGAGCACTTATAAAGAAAAGCATTCCCTATGACCAAAACACAGAGATCACTGATTACAACAGAGACAGGGGGTGCAAAGGAGCAGAAAGACACGGCAGAAATTATCCTGCGGGGAACCCTCCCAAAGCCTCATGTAGTTCGTGATGGAAGTCAGAAGTCCAACTGAGAAGCAGAGCATGAAACAGGGGTCTGGGTCCTGGTGGCGGTGCAGAGTGCAGTTCCCTGATGTCCCCCCGCATCAAGGTCAATCCCGTTGTGCCTCGAGGGGAAGCAGAACCAATTGTTTGAAAGCTTTGAGTTACTTATGACTTTCAGCATAGACATGAACTGTTTTAATATTTTCATTTATTTACGTATTTCACATTTTTAAAAAGTATCTGGCATGTGTCAAGTAATATGAAAAACAGGAAACTTTAAGGGGTTTATACTTTTATGAGGACCTAAGATAGGTAAAGGAGCAATTGCATTATAAGGTGTACTTGCTCTTATAAGGGAAACATAGAGGGTTGTACGGGAAACCTATCTAGACTCAGAGTGGAGGATGTCAAAGAAAGCTGGCTGGCAGAGCGGACTAACTGAGCTGCAGGGAGGAGGAGAGTTAGCAGGAGAGGGCAGATGACTGGGGAGTGCTAGAGTAGGAGGGGAAAGAGGATTCGGGAACAGGGATGAGCAAGTGCAAAGCCTTGAAGGGGAGAGAGGACAGCACGTTCAAGGAATTTATAAAGTAATTCTGAGTGGTTGAAATGCAGAATTTAGGACAGGTGTGGTGGCTCACACCTGCAATCCCAGCTCTTGGGAAAGATGAGGTGGGAGGATCGCTTGAGGACAGGAGTTTGAGACCAGCCTGAGCAACACGGTGGGACCCCCACCACTACCCCACCCCAGCCCCCACTCCCTGTCTCTGAAAAAAGAAAAAGAAAAAAACTAGCTGGGTGTGGTGGTGCAAGCCTGTAGTCCCAGCTACTCCAGAGGCTGAAGTGGGAAGATTGCTTAAGCCCGGGAGTTTGAGGGCACAGTGAGCTATGATCGCACTACTGCACTCCAGCCTGGGTGACGGAGCAAAACCTGTCTCAAAAAAAAAAAAAAAAGTGCAGGATTTGAGTGGAAGTGGCAAGAAATGAGGCTAGTGAAGCATAAACCAGCTGATAACGATCTTGAGAGCCACAGTACAGAGTTGGGTTTTATCTGGAGGACAGTGGGAAACTAGGGGAAGGACTTTAAGCTGGAGAGTGATACCACGTAAACTTTGAATGACCGTGGTGACAGCAATGTGGAGAATAGACCGGGTTGGGGTGGGGCACGATGGGAAGAAAAGAACCCAGTCAGAGGTGGTTGCACTTACACCGGGTGATGATGTGGCCTGAACTAGGTCGATAACAGTGGGGAGAAAGAAAAATGAACATATTCTAGAAACCAAACCCTGAACAGACTCTTAACACTGCCCGGCCATCCTGGCAAGCATGACTTCTCACTCTCCAAGACAAACATCCCAAGCTTTCTTCTCTCCACACTTCAGCTCCCACTCCTCCACCTCTTAGCTATCTAATGTAGTTGAGAAAATAGAAGCCTTTAGAGAGGATTTCCCTTTTCCCTTATATCATACCTGTCTGCTTCTGTGTCTATCTTCCCCTCTTCCGCTCCTGAACCACCGCCTTCTCAAGGACTCTCTCTGTTCCTTCAGTTCTCTCCTCTTCTGTATCCTTTCGTCGCTCTCCCTCTCTCTCTCTTTCTCCATATCACACACCCTGGTGTTCTCCATCTGGAGAGACGCTTTTCCTTACACTTCAGCCGTTTCCTATTATACCCTATTAAGCCTTCATACCCTGGGGCTGCCTCTTTCCCAGCTCACCTGGGTTCATTCTACTCCTTGCGCCTACACTTCAGCCACACTGGCTCCAAACACTCCAAGCCTTTTCACCTGAGGGCCTGTGTAAAAACTGCCCTGTATGCCTGTAAAAGAGTGTTCCTTTGTACTAGGTTGAGTAGTATCTCCCCAAAATTCTGGCCTTATTTGAAAATAGTGATTGACAGTGATATAGTGACAGTGATACAGTGACAGATCACTATTTAAAATAGTGATTTGAAAATACAGATTGACATCTATAGATGTCAATTTGTTAAGGTGAAATCACACTGGATTAGGGTGAACCCTAAATCCAATGACTAGTATCCTTGTAAGAGGAGAGGACACACAGAGATAGAGACATGGAGGGAATGTGACCATGTGGAGGTGGAAACTGGAGTGATGTGTCCATAGGCCAAGGAATGACAAGAAGAGTCAGTTTTGATTGAGGAGAAAGGAAAAAAAAAATGGTTAGGCAGACAGGGTGGCTCTTCGGTTGAATCCTTTCAAACAAAAGAACAGCCGGCAGGGACAGATAAGGGAATTTGCACAGGAGGGCTTACCTGAGACATGCCACAGCCATATAGATAAGAAAGCCTGCACAGGTGACTTGCCCAGACATGCCCGCAATGGAAAATTCCATTCCCTGACACATGTGCAGTAAGGGGAACAAAGCAATATGGAATAACTCAAGCTAAGGGCCCACACGCGCATTAGGAAGATGGGGTGGAGCTACCAGAAATTTGTGCCTTAGGCAGATGAGACACCCGGCCCTCATTGATTTCCTATAAAAGCCTTTGTACGCAATTGTGAAAATGGCAGCCCTCTTCTGGGTACCCTCTCTGCAGCAGAGAGCTTCTTTCCCTTATTAAACTTTTGCTCCAACCTCACCCATTGTGTCCACCGTCCTGAGACAAAGAACTCTGGATGATACCTTATAATGAGAAACTGCTACATTGTGGCACATTGGTGAGACTGTAACAGTTGGAGGGAATTTGTTACTGCAGCCCTAGGAAATTAATACATCATTCTTCACCCATGACTCATCCCTTCTCAGGCATCTCTTCCTAAGGAGGTCCTTCCCTGGCCCGCTTACCTAAGAGTATTGCTATTTTTCTCCTTTGTTAAAACTAGTTTATTTTCTTTATAGCCCTTAGCATGAGTGGAAGTCATACAGGTATAGTTTCATTTTTAGTTTTGTTATCTGTTTCACACGCTAAACTGTAAGCTCCCAGAGGGCAGACACCATTATCTACCTTTCTAGTACTGGCCTGAAACATGGTCAGTATCCAGTAAATGTTTGACAAACTAGTGAAATAGTGAATGAATGAATGAATGAATGAATGAATGGGATATTGAGAAGCTAGAGTGGATAGGACTTGTGACTGCTTTGATGTGAGGGGAAGGGGCTGCAGGGGCAGAAATTCCAGGTTCTGGCTTCAGTCCTTGGTGGATTTGGGTGTCCTGAGCACAAGAAGAAGAGCAAGTTTAGAAGAAGGATAATGAGCTCAGTGTTGGAGTTTTGAGTCTCAGGTGCCCATGGGGCATTAAAAATAGATGTCCAGTAGCTGGTATCCCTGTTCCTGCCTTTCTCTGCTCTCACTCCTACCCCCTCCTCAGTCTATCCGCAACACAATAGCCAGAAGGAGCCTTTAGAAATACAAGCAGATGGGGGGAGGAGCCAAGATGGCCGAATAGGAACAGCTCCGGTCTACAGCTCCCAGCGTGAGCGACGCAGAAGACGGGTGATTTCTGCATTTCCATCTGAGGTACCCGGTTCATCTCACTAGGGAGTGCCAGACAGTGGGCGCAGGCCAGTGGGTGTGCGCACCGTGCGTGAGCCGAAGCAGGGCGAGGCATTGCCTCACCTGGGAAGCGCAAGGGGTCAGGGAGTTCCCTTTCCGAGTCAAAGAAAGGGGTGACGGACGCACCTGGAAAATCGGGTCACTCCCACCCGAATACTGCGCTTTTCAGACCGGCTTAAAAAACGGCGCACCACGAGACTATATCCCACACCTGGCTCGGAGGGTCCTACGCCCACGGAATCTCGCTGATTGCTAGCACAGCAGTCTGAGATCAAACTGCAAGGCGGCAGCGAGGCTGGGGGAGGGGAGCCCGCCATTGCCCAGGCTTGCTTAGGTAAACAAAGCAGCCGGGAAGCTCGAACTGGGTGGAGCCCACCACAGCTCAAGGAGGCCTGCCTGC
The DNA here is from genome assembly GCF_000001405.40 of Homo sapiens. Taxonomy (NCBI): domain Eukaryota; kingdom Metazoa; phylum Chordata; class Mammalia; order Primates; family Hominidae; genus Homo; species Homo sapiens. The sequence continues at coordinate 56,668,062 of NC_000014.9, forward strand.
CTCTGTAGGCTCCACCTCTGGGGGCAGGGCACAGACAAACAAAAAGACAGCAGTAACCTCTGCAGACTTAAATGTCCCTGTCTGACAGCTTTGAAGAGAGCAGTGGTTCTCCCAGCACGCAGCTGGAGATCTGAGAACGGGCAGACTACCTCCTCAAGTGGGTCCCTGACCCCTGACCCCCGAGCAGCCTAACTGGGAGGCACCCCCCAGCAGGGGCACACTGACACCTCACACGGCAGGGTATTCCAACAGACCTGCAGCTGAGGGTCCTGTCTGTTAGAAGGAAAACTAACAAACAGAAAGGACATCCACACTGAAAACCCATCTGTACATCACCATCATCAAAGACCAAAAGTAGATAAAACCACAAAGATGGGGAAAAAACAGAACAGAAAAACTGGAAACTCTAAAACGCAGAGCGCCTCTCCTCCTCCAAAGGAACGCAGTTCCTCACCAGCAACGGAACAAAGCTGGATGGAGAATGACTTTGACGAGCTGAGAGAAGAAGGTTTCAGACGATCAAATTACTCTGAGCTACGGGAGGACATTGAAACCAAAGGCAAAGAAGTTGAAAACTTTGAAAAAAATTTAGAAGAATGTATAACTAGAATAACCAATACAGAGAAGTGCTTAAAGGAGCTGATGGAGCTGAAAACCAAGGCTCGAGAACTACGTGAAGAATGCAGAAGCCTCAGGAGCCGATGCGATCAACTGGAAGAAAGGGTATCAGCAATGGAAGATGAAATGAATGAAATGAAGTGAGAAGGGAAGTTTAGAGAAAAAAGAATAAAAAGAAATGAGCAAAGCCTCCAAGAAATATGGGACTATGTGAAAAGACCAAATCTACGTCTGATTGGTGTACCTGAAAGTGATGCGGAGAATGAAACCAAGTTGGAAAACACTCTGCAGGATATTATCCAGGAGAACTTCCCCAATCTAGCAAGGCAGGCCAACGTTCAGATTCAGGAAATACAGAGAACGCCACAAAGATACTCCTCAAGAAGAGCAACTCCAAGACACATAATTGTCAGATTCACCAAAGTTGAAATGAAGGAAAAAATGTTAAGGGCAGCCAGAGAGAAAGGTCGGGTTACCCTCAAAGGGAAGCCCATCAGACTAACAGCGGATCTCTCGGCAGAAACCCTACAAGCCAGAAGAGAGTGGGGGCCAATATTCAACATTCTTAAAGAAAAGAATTTTCAACCCAGAATTTCATATCCAGCCAAACTAAGCTTCATAAGTGAAGGAGAAATAAAATACTTTACAGATAAGCAAATGCTGAGAGATTTTGTCACCACCAGACCTGCCCTAAAAGAGCTCCTGAAGGAAGCGCTAAACATGGAAAGGAACAACCGGTACCAGCCGCTGCAAAATCATGCCAAAATGTAAAGACCATCCAGACTAGGAAGAAACTGCATCAACTAACGAGCAAAATAACCAGCTAACATCATAATGACAGGATCAAATTCACACATAACAATATTAACTTTCAATGTAAATGGACTAAATTCTCCAATTAAAAGACACAGACTGGCAAGTTGGATAAAGAGTCAAGACCCATCAGTGTGCTGTATTCAGGAAACCCATCTCACGTGCAGAGACACACATAGGCTCAAAATAAAAGGATGGAGGAAGATCTACCAAGCAAATGGAAAACAAAAAAAGGCAGGGGTTACAATCCTAGTCTCTGATAAAACAGACTTTAAACCAACAAAGATCAAAAGAGACAAAGAAAGCCATTACATAATGGTAAAGGGATCAATTCAACAAGAGGAGCTAACTATCCTAAATATATATGCACCCAATACAGGAGCATCCAGATTCATAAAGCAAGTCCTGAGTGACCTACAAAGAGACTTAGACTCCCACACATTAATAATGGGAGACTGTAACACCCCACTGTCAACATTAGACAGATCAACGAGACAGAAAGTCAACAAGGATACCCAGGAATTGAACTCATCTCTGCACCAAGCAGACCTAATAGACATCTACAGAACTCTCCACCCCAAATCAACAGAATATACGTTTTTTTCAGCACCACACCACACCTATTCCAAAATTGACCACATAGTTGGAAGTAAAGCTCTCCTCAGCAAATGTAAAAGAACAGAAATTATAACAAACTATCTCTCAGACCACAGTGCAATCAAACTAGAACTCAGGATTAAGAATCTCACTCAAAGCTGCTCAACTACATGGAAACTGAACAACCTGCTCCTGAATGACTACTGGGTACATAACGAAATGAAGGCAGAAATAAAGATGTTCTTTGAAACCAACGAGAACAAAGACACAACATACCAGAATCTCTGGGACACATTCAAAGCAGTGTGTAGAGGGAAATTTATAGCACTAAATGCCCACAAGAGAAAGCAGGAAAGATCCAAAATTGACACCCTAATATCACAATTAAAAGAACTAGAAAAGCAAGAGCAAACACATTCAAAAGCTAGCAGAAGGCAAGAAATAACTAAAATCAGAGTAGAACTGAAGGAAATAGAGACACAAAAAACCCTTCAAAAAATCAATGAATCCAGGAGCTGGTTTTTTGAAAGGATCAACAAAATTGATAGACCGCTAGCAAGACTAATAAAGAAAAAAAGAGAGGAGAATCAAATAGACACAATAAAAAATGATAAAGGGGATATCACCACCGATCCCACAGAAATACAAACTACCATCAGAGAATACTACAAACACCTCTACGCAAATAAACTAGAAAATCTAGAAGAAATGGATACATTCCTTGACACATACACTCTCCCAAGACTAAACCAGGAAGAAGTTGAATCTCTGAATAGACCAATAACAGGTGCTGAAATTGTGGCAATAATCAATAGTTTACCAACCAAAAAGAGTCCAGGACCAGATGGATTCACAGCCGAATTCTACCAGAGGTAGAAGGAGGAACTGGTACCATTCCTTCTGAAACTATTCCAATCAATAGAAAAAGAGGGAATCCTCCCTAACTCATTTTATGAGGCCAGCATCCTTCTGATACCAAAGCCAGGCAGAGACACAACCAAAAAAGAGAATTTTAGACCAATAACCTTGATGAACATTGAAGCAAAAATCCTCAATAAAATACTGGCAAACCGAATCCAGCAGCACGTCAAAAAGCTTATCCACCATGATCAAGTGGGCTTCATCCCTGGGATGCAAGGCTGGTTCAATATATGCAAATCAATAAATGTAATCCAGCATATAAACAGAACCAAAGACAAAAACCACATGATTATCTCAATAGATGCAGAAAAAGCCTTTGACAAAATTCAACAACCCTTCATGCTAAAAACTCTCAATAAATTAGGTATTGATGGGACGTATTTCAAAATAATAAGAGCTATCTATGACAAACCCACAGCCAATATCATACTGAATGGGCAAAAACTGGAAGCATTCCCTTTGAAAACTGGCACAACACAGGGATGCCCTCTCTCACCACTCCTATTCAACATAGTGTTGGAAGTTCTGGCCAGGGCAATCAGGCAGGAGAAGGAAATAAAGGGTATTCAATTAGGAAAAGAGGAAATCAAATTGTCCCTGTTTGCAGACGACATGATTGTTTATCTAGAAAACCCCATCGTCTCAGCCCAAAATCTCCTTAAGCTGATAAGCAACTTCAGCAAAGTCTCAGGATACAAAATCAATGTACAAAAATCACAAGCATTCTTATACACCAACAACAGACAAACAGAGAGCCAAATCATGAGTGATCTCCCATTCACAATTGCTTCAAAGAGAATAAAATACCTAGGAATCCAACTTACAAGGGATGTGAAGGACCTCTTCAAGGAGAACTACAAACCACTGCTCAAGGAAATAGAAGAGGATACAAACAAATGGAAGAACATTCCATGCTCATGGGTAGGAAGAATCAATATCGTGAAAATGGCCATACTGCCCAAGGTAATTTACAGATTCAATGCCATCCCCATCAAGCTACCAATGACTTTCTTCACAGAATTGGAAAAAACTACTTTAAAGTTCATATGGAACCAAAAAAGAGCCCGCGTCGCCAAGTCAATCCTAAGCCAAAAGAACAAAGCTGGAGGCATCACACTACCTGACTTCAAACTATACTACAAGGCTACAGTAACCAAAACAGCATGGTACTGGTACCAAAACAGAGATATAGATCAATGGAACAGAACAGAGCCCTCAGAAATAACGCCGCATACCTACAACTATCTGATCTTTGACAAACCTGAGAAAAACAAGCAATGGGGAAAGGATTCCCTATTTAATAAATGGTGCTGGGAAAACTGGCTAGCCATATGGAGAAAGCTGAAACTGGATCCCTTCCTTACACCTTATACAAAAATCAATTCAAGATGGATTAAAGATTTACATGTTAGACCTAAAACCATAAAAACCCTAGAAGAAAACCTAGGCATTACCATTCAGGACATAGGCGTGGGCAAGGACTTCATGTCCAAAACACCAAAAGCAATGGCAACAAAAGCCAAAATTGACAAATGGGATCTAATTAAACTAAAGAGCTTCTGCACAGCAAAAGAAACTACCATCAGAGTGAACAGGCAACCTACAACATGGGAGAAAATTTTCGCAACCTACTCATCTGACAAAGGGCTAATATCCAGAATCTACAATGAACTCAAACAAATTTACAAGAAAAAAAAAAAAAAAACCCATCAAAAAGTGGGCGAAGGACATGAACAGACACTTCTCAAAAGAAGACATTTATGCAGCCAAAAAATATATGAAAAAATGCTCATCATCACTGGCCATCAGAGAAATGCAAATCAAAACCACTATGAGATACCATCTCACACCAGTTAGAATGGCAATCATTAAAAAGTCAGGAAACAACAGGTGCTGGAGAGGATGTGGAGAAATAGGAACACTTTTACACTGTTGGTGGGACTGTAAACTAGTTCAACCATTGTGGAAGTCAGTGTGGCGATTCCTCAGGGATCTAGAACTAGAAATACCATTTGACCCAGCCATCCCATTACTGGGTATATACCCAAAGGACTATAAATCATGCTGCTATAAAGACACATGCACACGTATGTTTATTGCGGCATTATTCACAATAGCAAAGACTTGGAACCAACCCAAATGTCCAACAATGATAGACTGGATTAAGAAAATGTGGCACATATACACCATGGAATACTATGCAGCCATAAAAAATGATGAGTTCATGTCCTTTGTAGGGACATGGATGAAATTGGAAACCATCATTCTCAGTAAACTATCGCAAGAACAAAAAACCAAACACCGCATATTCTCACTCATAGGTGGGAATTGAACAATGAGATCACATGGTCACAGGAAGGGGAATATCACACTCTGGGGACTGTGGTGGGGTGGGGGGAGGGGGGAGGGGTAGCATTGGGAGATATACCTAATGCTAGATGACAAGTTAGGGGTTGCAGCGCACCAGCATGGCACATGTATACATTATGTAACTAACCTGCACAATGTGCACATGTACCCTAAAACTTAAAGTATAATTAAAAAAAAAAAAAAAAAAGAAATACAAGCAGATGACATCGCCCTCTGCTCATCATCCTCTGATAGTGCTAACATCTTATTTATTTATTGTCTGACCTCCCCTATTCTAGTGACCTCTATGCTTCATGAGGATGGGATTTTTGTCTGTTTTGTTCACTGCTTGTACATCCAGCACCTACAACAAGTGTCTGGTACACACGAGTGGTCAGCAAAATATTTGTGTAATAGATAGATGATACTCCAGTAGGAATCTGGATTATGGGTCTGGCACTCAGTAGTGAGTTCTGGTCTAGAGATGAGGACTGGAGGCCACCAACAGATAGATGGTACATGAAACCCTTGCAGTGGATGTGACCTCCCATGGGAAGGACATAGAGTAGGAATAAATAAGGGGCAAGGAAAGGGCCCTGAGAAACATCAATCTTTAAGAGAAAGGCAGAGGTGAGGCCAGGTGCGGTGGCTCATGCCTGTAATCCCAGCAGTTTTGGAGGCCAAGGAGGGCAGATCACTTGAGTTCAGGAGTTCAAGACTAGCTTGGCCAACATGGTGAAACCCCGTCTCTACTAAAATACAAAAATTAGCTGGGTGTGGTGGCACACGCCTATAATCCCAGCTACTCAGGAGGCTGAGGCAGGAGAATCTCTTGAACTCGGGAGGCGGAGGTTGCAGTGAGCCGAGATGGTGCCACTGCACTCCAGCCTGGGCGACAGAGCGAGATTCCGTCTCAAAAAAAAAAAAAAAAAAAAAAAAAGAAGGGCAGAGAAAGTGATGTCCCCAAAAGAAAGAAGAAGCCTGTGTGATACCAAAAGACCAAGAGGAAAGGGCATTTCAGAGAGGGGGTGATCCAAAGTCAAAGCCACTGCGAAGAAGCAGTGTAAGAACAGAGATGCGAGGGTGGTTTCCTAGGATGACAGTGGAGAGTCCGATTTCAGTCTGGAGGAATGAGTGGGAAATTAGGACGTGAAGACAGGAGCTGAGCCACTGACATGGACAACTCACCAAGAAATCAGACTGAGAAGGAGAGTGAGGGTGATTACTGAAGGAGAACTTGTGGGTCAGTGTGGATGTTTTGGTTTAATGATTGGAGCCCGTGGAGCCAGCTTAAATGCAGATGAGGAACAGGTGAAGGAAACAGCTTTCAGACACAAGTGAGGGATGGAGATGCCTGACAGAGTGCAGAGAACAGGATATAAAACAGGTAAAGCAGGGGAAGCCCTTTTGTGAAGCAGAGATACAGAAAGATGGGGCAGTAGCATATGACAACGAGCACTGATTTCTTACTTACACACCTGTGATAAGACTAGAGTTTGGCCGATCCAGGTTAGGCACAGCTGGGCTTGGCTTCAGGCTATTTAGAACGTCTCATTTCCTGGGATTGGCCGAGCAGGATGTCTTTCTCATTGCCATGACAGAAGCCAAGAGGGAAAACCCAACTATGCAAGCACATCTCTATGCAGTGTGTTTGGGCAGTAGCAAGTAGGTCTGAGTGCCTCATAAATAGGAGTGAAGGCTACAGTGATGGGGAGAGTGTGGGATGGCTGGTGGGGCCGTCTACAGAAGGGCGTTGTACGCCATTCTCAGGGCTTCGAACTTTATAAGAGAGTGGAAGCAACATGAGGCCAGAGGAACATATGGGTTTGGGGTATTCAGCGTTACCTAACGTGTATTTAGCCCTCCAAATAGCAGCCAGATGCCAAACAAATAATGAGAACCTGTTCCATTGACAGCATGCTTCCTCTTTCAGGATACCATGCCCAAACCTGAAAGAGCGATCTTTTGAGATGACTTTGCAGTTGCCCTTTCCCAGACGATCGTTGGCTTCTCTCTTCTAACCAGCTCCAGGGTATTGAACAGTGACCTCTCCATGCTGAGACAGGGCTGCATTAACATCTTCAAGGCCCTCTTCACTCCTGCCTGTGGCAGCCAAGGAGTGGTGTGTCCCTGTAGGCCCCCCTGCTAACTTAGGCTTGGTCTTCAACATGACCTTCAATTTATCCCTGAATTGGAGTAGAGAGGATTTTGCCTTTCTCCATATACCATCTGTAGGAACCTGAGTTAGCCTGGCAGAGAAAAACACATGATCTCTTTGGAATGCTTGATGCCCTTGGAGGCTGGTGATAATGGCAGTCCCCAACGTTGACAGGGTCATCTCTCAACATCACTGTGTGTTCTGGATGGTATTTGATAACCACCAGGAAAGAGAAGGAGACCTCAGCATCATGATGCTGTTTCTTCCTGGATTGTTCATATGCTCTTGCCTTTCCTTCCATAACTCAGAGCTAGTGCAGGGGTGGGTGCCTGTGGTTCAGACAGTCCCTCTGTTCCCAGATCCTTTGTGCCCTGGCATTGTGCTTGCAAGATGCGACATTGCTTTCCCCCATCTCATATGCTGGCCAGAAGCAGGACATCCCAGCATCCCAAAGTTCCATAGGTCCACATGAGAAACACTCCATTTACTACTACTTTTCGGCTACAATCTTATTTCTTTGCCTTTGGAGAGTGGCATAAAGCTTCCCACATCGTTCTCTACCTACCCATTCAGAATAAAGTGTGTAATTTTTTGGTAAATTGCGATGTTTCTAGGGCAGGTCAGGGATCCACACTGAGCTTTCAGACGTTCCTCACTAAGCCTGTTGTCCAGCACGCCTTTGCATTGTACTGACATAACCTGTTTGCTTCCTTGAGATGACTGAGTGTTTCCCTGGTTATTAAGGTGGAGCTTGGCCAGCCCACTCCAGCCTTCTGAATGTGCAGAGCACTTGCTTTCTGTGTCTTAAGGCATCCTTCCAGGAGCATTAGCCTTGGGTGAGGAGCTAGGGTGTGGCATGTGTTTACGAGTTCATGATCCCATCTTTCTTTCTCATTTGGGAGACCCCTGCAAGGTGTTGGACCTGACCTCTCTGGGCGTCAGCTTCATCTAGAAAATGTAGGCAATAATATTTCCTCTATAGGATGCTGAGGGGATTCAATGACATAATAAATGCAAACTGGCCCATGCTAAGTGCTCATTCAGAATCTATTGCTGTTATTATACCACAAGCCAGGACTAGGCACTGGTTTTCCCCTGACTGTTATTCCCTTCTGTCTTATTCCATTTGGGATGCTAGAACAGAATAACATTGAGTGACATATAAGCAATAGACATGAATCAGGAGTCTGGGAAGTCCAAGATCAAGGTGCCGGCAGACTCAGTGTCTAGTGAGGGCCCGTTTCCTGGTTCCTTGAGGAGTGCCGTGGCGCAATCTCAGCTAACTGCAAGCTCCACCTCCCGGGTTCACGCCATTCTCCTGCCTCAGCCTCCCAAATAGCTAGGACTACAGGTGCCCGCCACCACACCCAGCTAATTTTTTTGTATTTTTAGTAGAGATGGGGTTTCACCATGTTAGCCAGGATGGTCTCGATCTCCTGACCTCGTGATCCACCCGCCTTGGCCTCCCAAAGTGCTGGGATTACAGGCGTAAGCCACCGCGCCCGGCCGGGAGTCCTTTTTATAAGGGCACTAATCCCATTGATGAGGGATTCCCCATCATAACCTAATTACTTCCCAGAGGCCCAGTCTCCAAATACCATCACCTTGAGGATTAGGATGTCAACATAGGAATTTGGGGGAAACACAAGCATTCAGTCATAGCACCTTCCTTCCCTTATTCCTGGACAATTTATTTCCCTTCTGGCTCAAACTCTGTTAGACTCAGCCTGTGGGCCACTGTGTGCTGCCCTCCCTTTCCAGCCAGAGTGGCTGTAGTGACAGCTTGACCACTCCCAGGGTCATGGATCCAGGTCACTGCTGCTGCTGCCATCACCCCAGCAGACAGAGGAGTCCACTGGCTGCATTGTTCTCTCAGGCGGGGGCGCTGGCCTCCCCAGTGGCTGCACAGAGACAGGTAATGCAATCCACAGTGCAAAAAGGTAAATCACTTATGGGCCAGACTCTAGCCAATGGAAGACAGGGATGGAAGGCAACTCTTGGTATGATTTATCTCCCTTTCTCCTCCTGGACAGACTGTGATGCAGTTCACATAGTCTTTCTAATGAACCCCACAAGATTGAGCAATCAGTGGCACCTGTTTCAAAGCTGAGACCAGCTCAGTAACATGCTCCCATATTTATCTCACTGCTTCTCTGCCTCACTTGATTTGCCCCTCACTTCTGCTTCCCTACGATTGTACCCTGCACCCCAGTAAAGGGTAACCATGTAAACTATTGCCTTTGACACTGCCTTTTAGAGGACTTGGGCCAAGATGCACAGATATTTTTTACCTAGCATACCTGGCAGGTGATCATAAATATGAGACAAAGACATGGGAGGACAATGATGAGCAGAGGATAAGGAGCTCACCATGTCATGGCCAGTCTTTCCACCATGGGTTTGAGCACTCTTTTCTCTGTGAGTTGGTTTGCATTCATGTACGTTGGTTTTGGTCTTTCTTCCTGGAACACATGGTGTGAGTCCCCTACTCCTCTACTAATAGTACTTTTCATTTTTTATCCACAACAATGGGCTTCCTCAGTCTTCTCCAAGTTAGACACAGCTAATCTCTTCATTCATTAAAAAGTGGTTTCCAGGCTCACACCTCCCATTGTTGTCACCTTCCAGGGCCATGGTGTCCAAGATCAATGTTCCTCTTGAAAGGCAGCTTCCAAAAAGAGATCCAATGTTGCAGGTGTAAACTGAACAGGACAGAGGCTGCGTGTGCTGTACTTTGGCCCCTCCCTTTGCTGACAACTGCATTAGATTATCCATCAACTCTCACCTGATCCACTGCATTTGAAGCATTGTGATCACCTCATTAAACAGCAGAGGGGAGCCAGTTTTCAAAAAAAAATAATATTTATTACATAACACCCTTTCAAAGTTTCCTAATCTAGAAAACTGGGCAGTACATTGACATCATAGAAAGAAAATTCATGAATTTTGGAGTCCAGTGAAATTGGATTTGAATCTAGGCTCTCACTGGGAAAATTGGATAGCCAAATGCAGAAGAATGAAACTGAACCCCATCTCTCCCCATATACAAAATCAACTCAAAGTGGATTAAAGACTTAAACATAAGACCCAAAACTATAGAAATACTAGAAGAAAACCTTAAAAAAAAACTCTCCCAGACATTGGTCTAGGCAAATAATTTGTGACTAAGTCTTCAAAAACACAGACAACAGAGACAAAAATAGATAAATTGGACTAAACTAAAAAGCTTCTATACAGCAAAGGGAGCAATCAACAGAGCAAAGAGAGAACCTGTTGAATGGGAGAAAATATTTTGCAAACTATTCATCTGAAAGAAACTAATATCCAGAATATACGAGGAACTCAAACAACTCAACAGGAATAAAAGGTCCTATTAAAAAGTGGGCAAAGGAAATGAATAGATAGTTCTCAATAGAAGACATACAAATGGCCAACAGGCATGCGAGGTATATTTTTTGAATGCTCAATATTACTAATCTTCAAAGAAATGCAAATCTAAACCACAACGAGATATCACCTTAACCCCATCAGAATAGCTACTACTAAAAAGACAAAAATTAACAGATATTGGTGAGGATGTGGAGAAAAGGGAACTCTTACACATGGTTGGTGTGAATGTAAACTAGTACAGCCACTATGGAAGACTGTATGGAGATTTTTCACAAAACTAAAAATAAAATTACCATTTGATTCAGCAATCCCACTACTGGGCATCTACCCAAAGAAAATGAAATTAATGTATCAAAGGGATACCTGCACTCACATATTTATTGCAGCACTATTCACAATAGCAAAGCAATAGCAAAGATATGGAATCAGCAGATGAATGGGTAAAGAAATGTGTTTTATATACACAATGGAATACTATTCTGCCATAAAAATAATGAAATCCTGTCATTTGCAGCAGCATGGATGGAGCTGGAGGCCATTATGTTAATTGAAATAAGCCAGGCACAAAAAGACAAGTATTGCATGTTCTCACTTAATATGAGGGAACTAGAAAATTTGGTCATATGAAAGAAGGAAGTGGAAAAATAGCTAACAGAGACTAGGAAGGATGAATGGGGTGAGCGAGGAGGAAGAAGAGAACTGGGTCAAAGGGTACAAACATACAGTAGTAAAACAGAAGGAATAAATTCAATGTTTGATAGCAGAGTAGTGTGACTATACTTAACAAAAATGCATTGTACTTCGACACCCTGAAAACCCTGACTTGATCATTATGCATTATATACACGGAACAAAATTTCTCATGTGCCCCATAAATTTGTATGAATAACTAGAAAACAAAGCTTTGTGACCTTAGGCAAGTGACAATTTCAATGAGCCTGTTTTCTCTTCTTTAAAATAGGAATATTGAAATCTACCCCACAATACTACTGTTAGCATTAAATTAGATAATATAATAGTGAGTGTTCAATAAGTGGTGGACTTGACCATCCCAACTCACTGAGCCTCTGCTTCCTTAAGGGTGGCTTTGAGACACAAAGTGCTCTGGACTGGACATGAAGAAACTTGGATGCTGGTCCCGATTTTCTTTCTTCACATAGCATGAGGACTATGATTTCTGTTCTACATAGTCTTTAGGGCTAATGTGATATCAAAGAGATAGTGCAGATGGAAGTGACTTAAAAAGGGGTAAGGTAAACATAGGGACCTTTATTTTATTTTTACTTAGCTGATATTTCAAGTGCATTTGCTGTGGGTCAGGCACTGTGCTAGGCAGAGTGGATACAGTAGTGTAAAAACTAACCACAACCCATCCTCTGCCACATCGTGACTGTAAGGAGGCTAGGGCTAGTGTCTCCATTTATTCATGGGGTTGGAGGATGTTTTCAAGCCTTCTTTTTATGGATAGGCCCAGCTAGATTTCAGCTTGGCTTTTCAGGCCAACCAACCTCTAATCTGAAATAAGTTACCTGCTAGGGCTACTTTCTGGGTTGTGTGGGGTGAAGCCATCAGCAGATGGTAATTCTGTTCTTGCAAAGCACTGAGTTTGCAAGAACTGTGCAACCTTCTAGTTTAGCAACCTTACCCAAATTCCGGAACTTCCCTGAGCCTCATTGCTACCCTGTAGAATGGGCACATTCCCTATGTGGCAATATACTTTGGTAATAAACATGACAGTTGATACTCCATCTATTTCATTCCTTCACCATTGTATAATGGTAGAATTACCATCTGAAGAAACAGAGATGCTTCCAGAAGCTATTTTAAAACAGGAGGGTAATTTTGATACTGTGGATTATAAACAAGAAAACTGGATGAAACTAATTACTGCAGTAAAAAATTCATGATGGGGCGGGCGCAGTGGCTTACGCCTGTAATCCCAGCACTTTGGGAGGCCAAGGCAGGCGAATCACGAGGTTAGGAGTTCAAGACCAGCTTGGCCAACATGGTGAAACCCTGTCTCTACTAAAAATATAAAAATTAGCTGGGAGTGCTGGCAGATGCCTGTAATCACAGCTACTCAGGAGGCAGAGGTTGCAGTGAGCCAAGATCACGCCACTGCACTCCAGCCCGGGTGAGGGTGCGAGATTTTCTAAAAAAAAAAAAAATTATAATGGTTGTTTGAGTTGTTTTCTTTCCAATAGACTGTGGGCTTCTCTAGGGTAGGGACTTTGATAGGCCTGGCACATAGTAGGCATGCAAGCAGTGCTTACCTTGATGCATAGAAGTTTGTCAGTCAGTGAATAAAGACAGCAGTATTCTAAGCAAAGTGCAATGTTCTGGACCCAAAAAAAATGGCACTGCGTGGTTAGGAAAAATGAGAAGTTAAAAAATGCAAAGGATATAGGCAAGAATTTGTGGAGCTAAGTTTAGGGCGAATGATACCATCTTGACAGTGAAGAGTCTTTTATGTCATAGTAAAGATTTTTTTTAATTAATAGACTTTATTTTTTTGAACAATTTTAGATTTATAGAAAAATTGGTCAGAAAATACAGTTTCCATCCTCTCTTACCCCCTTTCTCTTCCCCGCTAGTTTTCCCCATTAATATCTGGCATTAGTGTGATACATTAGTTACAATTGATGAATCAATATTGATACACTATTATTAACTAATATCTATAGTTTACATTAGGGTTCACTCTTTGTGTTGTTCAGTTTTACGGGTTTCGACAAATGCACAGTGTCATATACCCACAAGTGTGAATCACACAAAAACAACTTCACTGCCCTAAAAATCTCCTATTTTCTACCCATTAATCCTCCTCCATCTTCCCTGAAACCCTTGGCAACCATGGATCTTTCTACTGTCTATATTTTTGCTTTTTACAGAATGTCATATAGATGGAATCGTATAGTATGTAGCCTTCTCAGAATTACTTTTTCTTTTTTTAAAAAAATATTTTATAGAGACAGAATCTCGCTTTGTCACCCAGGCTGGAGTACAGTGAGATGATCATAGCTCACTGCAGCCTTGAACTCCTGGGATCAAGAGATCCCCCCACCTCTGCCTCCTGAGTAGTTTGGACTATAGATGCTGGTTACCATGCCTGGCTAATATTTTTATTTTGTAGAAACAGGGCCTCGCTACATTGCCCAGGATGGTCTCAAACTCCTGGCCTCAAGTAATCTTCCCATTTCATCCTCCCAAAGTACTGGGATTACAGGTGTGAGTCACTCTGTGCTTGGTCCAGACTGGCTTATTTTACTTGGCAATGAGCATGTAAGGCCCCTCTAAGTCTTTTCGTGGCTTGATAGCTCACTTCTTATTACAGACTAATATTCCATTATATGGATGTACTTGAGTTTGTTTATCCATTTGCTTATTGAAGGATATCTTGGTTGTTTTCAAGTTTTTGACAATTGTAAATGTCAGGTTTTTGTGTGCGCATAAATTTTCAACTCATTTGTGTAAAACACCAAAGAGTGTGATTGCTGGGTCATAGGGTAAGACTATGTTTAGCTTTGTAAGAAACTGCCAAACTGTCTTCAATAGTGGCTATACCATTTTGTATTCCCACCAGCAATAAACGAGAGTTCCTGTTGCTCTATATCCTCACCAGGATTTGATGTTGTCAGTGTTTTGGTTTTTATCCATTCTAATAGATATGTAATGGTATCTCACTGTTGTTTTAATTTGCAATTCCCTAATGTTGAGCATCTTTTCATGTGCTTATTTGCCATCTCTATATCTTTTTTGTTGAGATATCAGTTCAGATCTTTCACCCATTTTTAAATTGGGTTGTCTGTTTCCTTACCGTTAAATTTGAAGAGTTCTTTGTGTATTTTGGATACAAGTGCTTTATCAGTTAGGTGTTTTGCAAATATTATCTCCCAGTCTGTAGCTTGTCTCTTCATTCTCTTAACAGTGTCTTTTGCAGAGCAGAAGTTTTTAATTCTAATAAAGTTCAAATTTTTGATGTTTTCTTTCATGAATCATTTTTTTGTGTGTGTTGTATCTAAAAAGTCATCACCCAATCCAATGTTGTCTAGATTTTCTCATATATTATCTCTAGAAGTTTAATAGTTTTGCATTTTACTTTAGGCCGATGATCCATTTTGAATTAATTTTGCAAAAGGTGTAAGAATTACATCTGGATTCCTTTTCTTTTTCCTTTCTTTGCATGGTCCAGTTGTTCCAGCACCATTTGTTCCAAAGAATGTCCTTTCTCCACTGAATTGCCATTACTCCTTCGTCAAAAATCAGTTGGCTATACTTGTCTATTTCTGTGGGTCTATTCTATTTCATTGATTTATTTGTCTATTCTTTCACCAATACTATACTGCCTCGATTACTGTAGTTTTATCATAAGTCTTGAAGCTGGCTAGCATCAGACCTCTGACTTTTTCTTCAATGTTGTGTTTAGTCTTCTTGGTTTTATTTGCCTTTCAATATAAACTTTTTTTTTTAACTCAAGATTTTATTGTCTTCCTAATCAAACAAAAGATGACACTTAGAACTGGATCACTTGGCCCTCACTCTTCTTACCTCCTCCCCATTCAAAACGCTTGCATCTCTTCATAGCCAGCATTCTTTTAGGTCTGCAGATGGGCTCAATGCACTCAAGCCTTAGCACAATCTTCTTTGTAGTTTTAGCCTTTTTCCAGAAAATCGGCTTAGTCTGCCCACCACAGCCACTCTCCTTCCTGTCGTAACGCCGCTTTCCCTGGGCCTACAGAGATTCCTTGCCCTTCTTGTACTGTGTCACTTTGTGGGGTTGGTGCTTGCCTCACTTCTTACAGAAAGTCCAGTGAGTTTTAGGAACATTCACCATGTTTGCGGGAGTGCTATCGGTAAGGAAAAAAAAAAAATATATATATATATATATAAACTTTCCAATCAATTTGTTGATACTCACAAAATAACTTGCTGGGATTTTGATTAGCACTGCATTAAATCTATGGATCATGTTGGGAAGAACTGACATCTTAATAATATTTAGCCTTCCTATCCATGAGCATGGAATGTCTTTCAATTTATTTAGCTCTACATTGATTTCTTTCATAAGTTTTTTAGTTTTCCTAACATAAATGTCATACACATTTGTTAGATGTATACCTAAGTATTTTTTTTTGGTATGTTAATGCAAAGATGTTTAACTTTGTATTATAGGTGATAGCAAGTCAAAGACGTTGCTACACAAGAGAATAATATTGTACATTTATTTTTGAGAAGATGGTTCCACTAACAGTGTGGAAGTTGGACTAGATCTGGGTAAGATTGGAGGTAGGAAGACCAGTTAAAAGAATTTTTTTTAATGTGTACAAACAGAAGTAAAGGCTTTAACTGAGGAATTGGCAGATATGGATAATAGTAAGTCTCATTCAAGAAATAAGGCAAATAGTAAGGATTTACTATTTAGTAAGGTTCTTTTCCTGAGAAGCCTAGGCAGACAGACATTCCAACAGCCTTGATGACTCTACACTAATCTTCACATCCCCCAAGGGATTGGCATTTTAAGGCCAAAATGATAGTGTTAGCTGTCTGCCCAACATCCGCTTCTCCCCTGCCCCTTCTTCCTTTCCAACACAACCCCAACTTTGCTCGAGTGTCTTCCTTTCACACCTGGCCAAGTATTAGAAGGGAAGCCAACTTCAGGAGTGGCTTGGTTGGTCTAAGAGTGACCCCAGCCTCCTTGACAAGATGGGATCACAAATGGACATGTGGGCCCTCTGGCCAGTGAGACAAAAGTAGTCTGCTGGAGGAGGTGGAGACATGGGCTAGACCATTTTTCCTCCATCCTAAGAGAAAGCAACAGGAAGAAATAGTCTTCTGTCTTGCTCTGCAGCTTGTTCTTTTTGTGACTCCCAGAACTGCTGCAGCCTTATAGCTATGAGTCCAAGGATGGGGCCAACAGTGAAGATGGTATAACCCAGAGAAGGCATTGTTGAGCCACTGAATTTTAAAAAAAAAAAATCACATTTCTTTATTATTTTAGGCAGTTTGAGGTGAGATTTCTGAGATCTATATCTGAAAGCACTCTATTTGTTACACCTGCTCTTACTTAGCAACTAAACTCCAGGAATCTTGCCTGCTATCCACCCACTCCTCTGGGGATTTTAAGTTCTTTCTTGGCATCAGATGAGATCATACCCTGAGAGTAGGACTTTGCCCACTGCTTCACTGCTCTGTTTCCCTTACTAGAGCCTGACACTTAGTAGGCACTTGATAAATATCAAATGCACCAGTGAATAAATGAAGTACCCCAAAGCTAAATTTTATTTCTTTTTTTATTTTTTAGAGATGAGTTTTGCTATGTTCTGGAATACAGCGGCTATTCACAGGCATGATCATAGTGCACTGTAGCCTCAGACTCCTGGGCTCAAGTGATTCTTCCAACTCAGCCTCCCCGGTGGGACTACAGGCACATACCACCATGGTGGACAAGAACTAAAATTTGATTCACATTTGTGTAGCTACCCTTCACCCCACACTTTGCTTTATCCCATTAAGATTTACCATTATTGAGTTGTGATTGATAAATGCCCTTTGCAAATGCCAAAGATTATAGCAAGAAAGAGCAATATCAGAATTGCGTCTGCATTTACTATACAACAAGATTGATAGACACACTGTATAATGTTTTCAAAGTTTCCTATGCAAAGTCTCCTAAAAGAAAGTTAATGCGCCGGGCACAGTGGCTCATCCCTGTAATCCCAGCACTTTGGGAGGCTGAGGCGGGTGGATTACCTGAGGTCGGGAGTTTGAGACCAGCCTGGCCAACATGGTGAAACCCCGTCTCTACTAAAATTACAAAAATTAGCTGGGCGTGGTGGTAGGCACCTGTAATCCCAGCTACTTGGGAGGCTGAGTCTGGAGAATCGCTTGAACCTGGGAGGCAGAGGTTGCAGTGAGCTGAGATTGCGCCACTGCACTCCAGCCTGGGCAACAAGAGTGGAACTCCGTCTCAGAAAACACACACACACACACACACACACACACACACACACAGAGAGAGAGAGAGAGAGAGAGAGAGAAAGAAAAGAAAGTTAATGCCAGAAGAAAAAACAAAAAATCTCTCTTAGAGAATTGTCCCGCTTCCTTCTAATAGGTTGTATGGACTGTCTCATTGGGTATCCTTTCTTGCCCTGGCTGCCAGGAAGCTCAAGGCCTAATCTGATGCTAAATCACAGTAATTCTATTATACTTCCTAGTCAATGCTTGGTTCTTCTCCTTTCCATGGCTTTGCTTTTCTAATTTTAGTTGAATGACTTTATTGTGTTTGCCTTTTTGTAAGTTGCTTCAAATCCTTTTCAGAAAGAGGTGCATATAAAAAAATTTAACAGCTCAATTCTAAAAAGCCATGGTTGGCACCACTTGCTCTTTGTAATAGCCTGGGAGGGCCCCCAAAGTAGCCTGGTGCTTTATCTTTACAAACACATGTCAGCCAGAGCAGCGGTGCTCACCGGAGATCTCGGGAGACAAGGGCAAAAATCACCCGTCATTTTCTACTGAATGGGTGTCTGGAGGACCATTCAGGCTCCTAGTGGCTGGATTTGGTGGGGAGGATTAATGTGGAGAGCCCTTGGAAAATCAGCATTGCTCCTGCCTGCACCGGCTATTGTTCCAGAGGTGAATGTTCTATTTTGAAGATAGAATCTCTCTCCTGCCTGGCTCCCAACCCTGCAAGCTTTGAATGCAGGGTGCCGTGCCCTTTCCCCTGACTCTGGGCCACAGGCCTCTCCAGCCAGCCCTCTGTGCCAACTGGCAGAGGGTGCTCTTGTATAGCAGATCTGACTCCCTCCCCACGCCTGAGTGCCTGAGGCCTTTCAGCTCCAGCCTGCTGCCTCGACCTGCTGGGGGCCCAGGAACCCTGCAAGCATAGAGAGGGGGGAAACTCCTATTTTTCCCCAAAACCTGGCCCCATCTGTCCCCAAAATCACTGCTGAGCTGGCCTCATTTACCTTGAGGCTTGTGTGCCCCTCTCTATACCCCAGTTTCCCCCAGATTGCACAGAGGCTATATACGTGTTGGAGGACTTGGGAATTTGGCTTGCTTATAGTATATCATACATATGTGTTCACAAGTGGAGAGGAGGAGGCAGAGAGAGACAGAGAAAAGAATGGGAAAGATACTGCCTTCTTAGAACTCCGCGATAGCAGATTTCATGATTTAATTGGAAATTTAGTAAATCTGCTAAAACATTTAGTGGTTTAAATTTTTCCTGTTCTGCAAAGAAACAAAGGCTTCTGGTTTACTCTGTGTCTTTCAACAACTTTAATTTCATTTGTAGATTATGGATGGAAGTAGCATTTCCACTCGATTGCATACTGGGCATTAAGAAGACAAAAACCTTCATTGTTTGCAGCCCTCAGAATTTTTTTTTCCAGACATTAAGCTGTAGGTGGCATTCTTTATACCTGACATCAGAGCACTTTTGTCAGGCGTTTAGTTGACAGGATTTACTGCAAGCCCGTCCTAGGTGTGTGAAGCAGGGAAAACAAGAAAATATTTCATTCAGGTGGACAGAGAGGAGTGCAGAGCCCGATCAGGCCGATCGGGTAACCGCTGCTTTTCAAACTGTGTAATTAAAGATCTTTAGAGTTCTTCGAAGGGAATTAATTAGTAGAGAAAGGCTGTTTTGTTTACAGTCTTTATCATCAACATAATCAAAAGCAAGCCTTGATATTGGTGGCAAATTGGACTGAACTCTCCCGAAGCCAAGAAGGCCTCCTGCAGCGCTTTTCTTGTTTTTTGAGGTTAGTTCCATCTGCAGTTAACTTGCTGTTGGGTGTCGGGGACAGAGTGGGATGCAGTACATTGCAGATGGAGTAGGGGAGGGACACACTCAGTATTGTCAAAACCCCCTCAGCCATGTTCCCATCACTAATTGCCCACCTGTGCGTGGTGCAGCAGTGGGTTGGGATTAATGTTTAGGTTCAACTGTCTAGATGGCTTGTTCATGAGTGACTATGTTTTCAGGTCTGAACCATGCACCTGGGAAGCCCTAAAAAGATCATCCGGTAACATGTCACAGTGGATGTCACTGTCCCTGCCTGGTGGCATCAGAAATACCTGCACTGCTTCAAAATAAATGCAATTTTTGAGTCCCACCTAGTCTAGGACCTCCTGGGATAGGGCTCAGGAATCTGTTATTAACTCACTGCCCAGGTGCTTCTGATATGCAGCCAGGTTTGGGAACTACTGATCTAAATTATTTGGTAACCTAGGACATGAACATGAAGAGGGGAGAAAGGCAAGGGTGCCCAGGAGATGACCTCAGGCCAGAAAAGGCCGGTCACAACGCATTAGACCCATGGCCTCCGAATAGAGACTAAAGCTGCTGGGCGACAGGGCCAGCTGGCCAAGTCCAACAAAAGACTTGAAGGACTATCCTGTGCACCTTGACTGAGCAACAAGGGCCAGTCCCCAAGCTGAGAGAGCCTGCAGGACAGCTCCAGCCCCATTGCCCATGTTCCTCTCAGGATCCCGTTTCATGGTGCCAGGAAATGTTCCAAAGGACCCACAGATTTAAAGGAAGGAGCTCTAGTTGATCACATGATTATCCAGTGTGTAAGAAGTAGGTCTCAGTGGAATCTGGGTTTCACAGGCCCAATGTGATCTGATGATCTATGTGAGAATATTCTGGATCCTATCTTGTCTTAGTCATGATAAGTGCTCAGAGACTTTTTCCTCAGTTGTTCCCGGTTGGTCCTTACTTGGCCACCTATGCAATCCTTACCCACCATTTCCTCTGGATTTTATAGGAGATCTAGCCCTAGCCCCTGAGTTTCCATTTCAATGAAAAGTTTATATTGTACAAGTAATACAATGTGGTGTTTAAAAAATGTTTTTAAACAAGTACAGGTGTTTAAAATGAAGAGTGAAAGTTCTTCCTGTAATCTCATCCTTCGGAGATAATCCCTGGTAATGGGGTCAACTACTTCATTTAAAGATGTGGATACTAGGCTTCAGAGAGGTGAAGTCAAGCAGTCATTCTGTAGCAGAGCAAGAGCAGGGGTCCCTGACCCCGTCGCCCAGTGCTCTTTCCACCCCCTCCTCTGTGCAAGAGGCCTCTCCCAGCACCTCAGGCCATTAGGAGCTTTTTGATGCCATCAACAGGGAGGTGACTAACCCATTCCTCATGTTCCCAAAACCTGAAGCCACACCTCAACCCCAGATTCTTCCAGATTACAGGGAACACATCCTGTGGCTGATTCCTCCTCCGCCTCCCTGGTCTTTATAGCCATCCATCATCATCACAAGGCTTCACTTTTCTGAATCTGGTTCTCAGTGAGGAAAGCAGAATTGTGTGGGCTTCATAACTGTTGGCCGGCTGCGGTCAGTGGGAGGAGCAACTGCAGCCATCTTGGAAAATGCCTTAGGAAGAGTCAAGAGGGTGAAGCAGGTTGGGTTATGGCCCTAGGAGAGCCTACTGGGCTATTCTGAGAGTTCTCCTAAGGGCCTTTTCACTTTTCCCTAATATTTCTGGAGACTCAAGCCTACCGGTGGTTGTTATATCTTTCTATAACATACAGTCTAATGATGGGGTGGGGAGTGGGTAGAGTTGTAGAATTAAATATCCTCAATTTCCAAGTAATGGGGGAGAATCCCGGAGCAGTTTGGTTATAGAGGCAACACTAACAACAGCACCCACAGCAAACTTAGAGGTTTAACAGCAAAAGTGGAGGTTGAAGCTTCAGGATGTGTTTTGTTGTTCACTAGTGAAGAGTCTCGCTTAGCCCCTTCACGGTATGTGCAGAGTCCTAGTACAACAATAAGTATCATTATATTATCCGCATTAAGCATCAAACGTGCCAGGCACCAGGATTGGTGTTCCACATAAATTACCGTATCCAATCTACTCTAGCAGAAGGTGTTATTATCATCTCCATGTTATAGATGAAGAGATTGAGGCCACCAGGCATGGTGGCTCACACCTGTAATCCCAACATTTTGAGACTTTGTAAGCCCAGCCACTTTTGGGGCGGGAGGACTGCTTGAGCCCAGGAGGTCGAGGCTGCAGTGAGCCGTGTTTGCGCCACTACTGTATTCCAGCCTGGGTGACAGAGCAAGACCTGTCTCAAAAAAAAAAAAAAAAAAAAAAAAAAACAGAAAAGAAATTTAGACTCAGAGAAGTTATCCAAGGTCACACAGCCAGTTGCTGATAGAGGCAGATTTCCAATCCAGGTTGATGTGATTGCAAAGTCTGAGAGTTTGTAAATATAAATGCAGGCCTGGTGTCAAATCTTGGCCTATATTCACCACATTCTGAGACGCGGCTTGTTGAGGAAGGTGAAGACAGCTAAGGTGAGGACTGGTTTTCCACTCTGCACCCCAGCAAGTGGAGGCTGAGCAGGGCTGTCCACGGCTGCTATGTTGGGTAGACCTTGTGGGGATACCATAGTCCCTGAAAACATGACAAGTGCAGACTCAGCTGGGTTTGGGAGTCTGTTATTCAGCCTGGCTGATTTATTAATTTTATGTTTAATCCCCTCTTCCCCTAGAAAAATGATCTCCACCTTTTTTGAAACCCTTTGCCAATAGTTCTGTTGACTGTAGTAATGTATACTGACCACAGCAATTGATAAAGAAATAAAGGTTTTGTCAGATCTCAGGGTGGAAGGAAGCTGAGGGGCTAGGAATCACTAAGAGAGACCCAGCCAGCTGGGAAGTAATTCCAGAGTAGCCGAGAGGCCAGAGTGGTTTTTGTTTTTTTTTTTTTCTTTTGCCATTTTAAAATTCGTGTCAGTAAAGCTAGGTTCTCCATGTGCCTCTCTGAGGAACCTCTTGCTTTTTAAGCTTAGTCTGAATCTCCTCTGTATTTGCCATGCCATTGTTGGAAGAGACCTTAATTTTAATTCTTTTCTTTTCTGTGGGCCCCTCCCTCCTCCCCAAATGTTTCAGCATCTGTTAATCCCAGCTGGAAACCTCAGCAGATAAAAGTCCTGTTCTATGTAGATTGCTTCCAGAACAAATACAGGGTGGTAGATAATTCAACGTTCAGTTTCAGGAGGGTTTAGGGTGGGGGCTGCAGAGGACAGCACCTCTTCCTCAGAAGACATCCGGTGAAAGCCAAAGGAAAGTAATTCCCAAGCTCAGATGGAATGCATGTAGATCAGGTTCATTTCCAGAACCGCCGCTGCCTGCATTGAGGTGATATTAGAAGCCACCATGACAGCAAAGTAGTTTTATGCATAGCGGCTTAGTGGACACTTTGAGAACTAGTTTAGTGAAGCTATCAGGTTGAAAAATACCAAGTCACAAAGTTTTAATGAAACTAAGTGTGGATCAACGTAGCATAAAGAGCATCCAGGACGACTTAAAAGATCCTTGGGTGGAAATTAGAATGGATCTTCGGGATTTATTTGGCAAAGCTGTCTATTTTGACCTTTTCCCATTTCATATTAAGGCTACTGAAAGTGTGTTTTGTTTGGCTGAGGCTGGAGGAGGACAGCAGCCACTGGTGCCGTTACACTGATGCTGCCAGTGAAGTTTAGCTGCATTAATTGACTGATAAGAGCCTGGGCCTCAAATAGCAGAGAGAAAGGCCATCGGAGATTTTCTTGCTTTATTTCTCTCTGCACTTCATTTACATCTTAAGCCATATTGGTGATCCAGATTTGAATAAAGCCACAGCTTAAGCAGTGATTAGATCTCAGTAGCTTGGATTTCTATGAAATTGCTGCATTTTTACTAGATGTATTTAGAAATACTGGTGAAAACTGACACCTTGGGTAACTTTATCATTTAAAACGGAGCTCTGAGTGGATAAAAACCCCCAGCTAAAATGGGGATATTAGTTGCCAGGCCTTTGACTCAAGTAGTGTCAGGGGTTAGAATTAGACAAAAGACAAGCTCAGCATGACTTGAACAAGAAAGAACGCAGATAAGTCAACCTACCACCTTCTTATAAGCCTCCTCTCCCCAAAAATGTTAATCGAAGCAGTGATCCCATCACCTGAAGAAAAATAAGGAAGCTGCAACGAATATATAATGCAGCAAGGAGCTTTTTTTATTGTGAGGTTTTTTTTTTAATCATAAAGCAATATTTTTAACTCTAAGGTTAACCTGCTAATCCTTAAGCTGGTGATATGACAGTGTCAAATGTGATGGGATTTTGTGATTCTCATTATTGTTATGTATTGTTCTTTCCCTGGCATTCCATATTAATATTTATAAATGCCCTTTTTATAGAAACAAGAGGACCAAACCCCATTATTAAATTTTTAAAATGGACAAACCTCGCATCCAATATAGTTGATTACAGTTTAGAACAAAAAGGATTTCGTTCGGTAGTAATCCACTTCTTGTTTCTCATTGTTGTTGATTTGTGTAGACAGCAGAGCTCCTGACGGTATTTTTTTTTTTAAACTACTGTTTGCACAAAGTAACATCCAAATGACAGAGAATAACAGAATGTTGATTGCACTCCACAAGGAGGAGGCAGAAAACCACCCTGTGCAGGTAAGAGGGCATAATGGAGAAAAGGTGAGTGCTTCAAGTACGAAAGTCACCCACCAAGAGCAACGGCAAGATGAAAGAATCGATTAAAATGTTTAAAAGAGGAGGTTGTTCATTCAGTTGTTCTCAACTGCCTCATTTTACTTGACAAGTGGCCTCAGAAGGGTTCAGTGGGCATCCATGTGTGTGAAGGAGGAAGTCTCCATAATAAAGAGAGGCAAATCAATCATTCCATGCCCTACCTATAGAGGAGAGTCAAAGTTGATGCCTAATCTACTCAGTCCGTTCTCTTTTAGCACCATGGGATGCAATCCAGAGTCAAAAAGGAGGAAAAAAGTCTCTTTGCTTAGAGACATTACTACGTTGCAAGATCTGGGTAGCTGAAGCCTTTAGCCCCAGTGAGGAATGTTTGTGGAAGGAAGATGTTTTCTGGCTGACTGGCCTCATCACTCCTTCTGTCTCCGAAAGGACCTGCGTAACTCGTAATTAACAGGAGTGTGTAGGAATAATTGGTTGTGGTTTTGGGGAGGAGGTGATTGGGTGGCCTGGTTTTGCTGAAGAGAAGTCAATGAGGAGAAAAGATAATATTTCTGCTCTTGAAGCCAAGAACTCAAAGCAGTGATAACAGATTATTAGAAATATCTCAACTCATCCTTTTGGAGAGAAGATGTTTTCATAGGGGATATTTTTATTCCTATTTATAATTTTCCCCCCTACTCAATACCTAAAGCCAGGGCTTCGGAATCAGATCTGAATTGAGTTCTGGCTCTTGCCCTTCCAACTGTATGATTATGAGCCTGGTTTTTTTGTTTTTGTTTGTTTGTTTGTTTGTTTGTTTTTTTGAGATGAAGTTTCTCTCTTGTTGCCCAAGCTAGAGTGCAGTGGCGCGATCTCGGCTCACTGCAACGTCTGCCTCCCAGGTTCAAGCGATTCTTCTGCCTCACCCTCCCAAGTAGCTGGGATTATAGGCATGCACCACCATGCTCGGCTAATTTTGTATTTTTAGTAAAGACGGGGTTTCACCATGTTGGTCAGGCTGGTCTCGAACTCCTGACCTCATTGTCCGTCCACCTCAGACTCCCAAAGTGCTGGGATTACAGGCATGAGTCACTGCGCCCAGCCATGGGCATGTTATTTGATCAAGTTTCCTTGATTATAAAATGTGGAAACTAGCACCTACTTCACACTGTTATGAGGATCAAATGAGATAACTCTATTTTGGACAGGACCTGGCACACAGTAAGCATGCAAGAAATGGTAGCTGTAATTAATACATTTATGACTTGGAGGTTTGAAACTCTGTTTCTTTCTGGATAATTTCCTCTGTTTTTCCTCTCCTTATTTGGGAATTGCAGCCCATGCATGTGGGTCTTTGGAACTCTAGGTTTGCACATGCAAAAAATAAACCAAGTGGGATATGTGGGGGCCTGGGTTGCTTGAGGAGTTCCAGGCTGTGTTTGGCCTTCTGGAATAAAGCACTTGGGCATTTGGTTTTAAACATATTGAAGGTGTTTTCCAATACCAATAAGGAAAGAGGAGCCAGAATTGATGGCTAGTGGTTCTGACAGTTATTCTATTAGAGTGCAGAGTTACGGCCACAGAAGGTAGTGTCTCAGCTCCCAGCTGAGTAGGATTGTATGTTCAAAGCAGCAACGGCGTAATCCAATTCCAATGAAACCCAAGTTTGGTGGAGCAATGAGAAGGCTATTCATCATGACCAATCTTTACAGAAACTGGCCTCGCCTTCTGGGGAAATGTGTCTTATGTTTCAAGCATGTGTAATGGCCTGGGTTTGCAATGTGGCCTTAGTTCAGAAAATATGCTAAGGATGAAGGCTTTCAGACTTCTCGAAAACTTGTCAGTCTCCCTCTCCGTGAATCCCTGAGTGCCCTGCTGTCTTTAAGCATCTTCATTTGAGTTTCTCCTAGAGGGACTCCTCCTGAGTACAGCTGGAGAGCTTTGCCACAGGCGCTTCTCTCCTCCTTTCCACAGAGGACCTCTCAAGCTTCCTTCACACTCTCCTCAGGCAGTTGGTGATCTGAGTCAGTCTCATGGGCTTTCCTTGTTTTCCCTCGAAAACTTCCACCACCTCTCACTGCCCCAAAAAGGTTCTTCTCCCACTGACTTTTCGGAATTTGCCTGTCCTCTGGTCCCTTTCCTCGGGAGGACCCTGAGGGAGCAAACCAGACCCTGGAGTGGAAAGCCCAATAAATGCTTGATCAGAATTGAATATGCATGCTTGGTAGCTGGCACTAGCCTAGTGGAATGGTAACTTTTCCTCTGATAACATTTCCTTTCAGCCAAGCACCTTTGATGACCTTTTGTCCATTGACTCAGGCCACCGTGAGCTCCTGCTGTTGCTGCAGCAGCCTCCTGTGCAGTTGGAGCCTGACATCCCTTCCTCGGCTGTCCTTCCTTTCTCCTGCCCCCACTCCCAGGCTTCTGTCTCCACAGCCCTGGTGCATGCACACAAAACCCAGGAAATGTGAGAGTCAACACTCCAGAGCGAACTTTGACCAAAGGATGGAAGAGCCAATAGGGGAAACCTCCCCTTTCCCATGCCTTTCAGTGGTTCCTCAGAAAGCCTCCCTGGGGGAACTCTCCCACTTGCCCATGGGAGTAACCAGCTCTGTAGCTCTGTAATGCACCCCTAAGTTGGCTTTCCCTTCCTCCTTTTTTTTTTTTTTTTTTTTTTTTGAGATGGACTCTTGCCCTGTTGCCCAGGCTGGAGTGCAGTGGAGCAATCTGAGCTCACTGCAACCTCTGCCTCCCAAGTTCAAGTGATTCTTGTGCCTCAGCCTCCCAAATAGCTGGGATTACAGGCATGCACCACTATGCCCGGATAGTTTTTATATTTTTATTAATAGTAGAGATGGAGTTTCACCATGTTGGCCAGGCTGGTCTTGAACTCCTGACCTCAGGCGATCCACCCACCTCAGCCTCCCAAAGTGATGGGATTACAGGCGTGAGCCACCAAGCCCAGCCCTTGTTTGGTTCTTCTTGATTCCCTCACACCAGACCCCTAGGATGGCTTATCAAAATAAACCACTGACACACAGGCCGTCGGCTCAGACTGCCCTTTCTGGGAGAAGCCAAGGTAAGACCTTATTTTAAACGGAAGACTTCTTAAGAGGGCTTCCTGTCTCCACGGGTGGAATTTCCATACTGCAGGATACATGTTGGCATAGTGCACTTCCCCGAAGCCCCCAAAGCTACCAAGGCACGATCTCACATGGCTTTCGTTCTGCTAGATTGTCAGGGCCTGCTTATTTGTTTATCTCCCACTTTATACTGAATTCAAGAACAGTGTCTTTGTTTTTTATTTTTCCGAGATGGAGTCTTGCTCTGTCTGCCCAGGCTGGAGTGCAATGACGTGATCTCAGCTTACTGCAACCTCTGCCTCCTGGGTTCAAGCAATTCTCCTGCCTCAGCCTCCCGAGTAGCTGGGATTACAGACGCCCGCCACCACGTCTGGCTAATTTTTGTATTTTTAGTAGAGACGGAGTTTCACCATGTGAGCCAGGCTGGTCTCGAACTCCTGACCCCGTGACAGTGTCTCTTCTTTCTGTATCCCTGTGCCTAGTACACTGTCTGGCAAGCGGTAGATCCTTAAAAATATTTTTGATGGATGAATGAATGAGGTGAATGCAAGCGAACCATGACTGTCCCCATGTAGGATATCACAGTTAACTATTTACTCTACTTAAACCCCACCTACATCCCCAAATAATTTAAACATAATACAACATAAAAATAATATAACAGAATTACACTTGATCTTAGCCAAAAGGCCGAGAAGTGATTGTAACAGAATTAAGTTAAATTTCAAGGGAAGAAAGAAGAGACACACTGTCTCCTGGATATTTCCCCCAACACACACAAAGAACACTCAGTTTTGTCACTGCATATCCACATCAATGACACCCTCCAGTATCATCATGGTTGAGCCCCTCACGGCGGCTACTGAGTAGTTGCACTCGCCTTGGTCCCTTTCTCCTGCTTTCCCAGTGACCCTTTAGAGATCTGCATAGATTTTCCCTCAGAGATTCCTCTAGGGGAAGTGTAAGGGTGTCTTTTTTTTTGAGACAGAGTTTCACTCTTGTCACTCAGGCTGGAGTGCAGTGGCATTATCTTGGCTCACTGCAACCTATACCTCCCGGGTTCAAGCGATTTTCCCACCTCAGCCTCCCAAGTAGCTGGGAGTACAGGCGCACGCCACCACGCCTGGCTTTTTTTCTGTTTTTTGGTAGAGACACGAGTTTCACCCTGTTGGCCAGGCTGGTCTGGAACTCCTGAACTCAAGTGATCCACCCACCTCAGCCTCCCAGAGTGCTGGGATTACAGGCATGAGCCATCATGCCCAGCTGGGAGTCTTGTATCAAGGATATGAAGATAGAAAGGATATAACCTTTCTATGAGGCTTTAGGACTATTCAGATGCAGAGTGAGTAGGCACACAGTGCCCATATTTCACCTGAGCTCCCCATAATAGGAGACCAAAATCATCTTGGGAAGCTGGCACCAGAAGAGACTTATAAGTTGTCCTGGGATGCTGAGAAGCTCTGTTCAGGTTCCCTTACCCTCTGAATCATCACATGCAACTGCAGTATCACATGGCAATTTTTTTTTCCACAACCAGATGCTGAGACAAGTGGGCAGGAGGCAGGGCCTGTGGGAGAATGCAGGTCCAGGGACCGAGCTCCCTCCAGAGCCAAGAAGGTGCCACACCTCAGTGTTGTCCCCGCAGTTGGGAGCCAGATTCTCTCACTGGCTTCTGTGGGGTCTTAAGGAGATAAATACTATAAAGCAGTTAGAACAATTGGAAGTTTGTTTTTTATTTTTATTTTTGAGATGGAGCCTCACTCTGTTGCCCTGGCTGGAGTGCAGTGGTGTGATCTCTGCTCACTGCAACCTCCGCCTCTCACTGGGTTCAAGCAATTCTCCTGCCTCAGCCTCTGGAGTAGCTGGGATTACAGGTGCCTGCCACCACGCCTGGCTAATTTTTGTATTTTTAATAGAGAGGGTGTTTTGCCATATTGGCCAGGCTGGTCTCAAACTCCTGACCTCAAGTGATCCTCCCGCTTCGGCCTCCCAAAGTGCTGGGATTACAGGCATGAGCCACTGTGCCTGGACTGGAAGTTTATTTTAAATTTAGTTTCCTATTTAATTCAATTAGATTTTATTTATTTATTTTTTTCAAGACAGAGTCTTGTTCTGTAACCCAGGCTTATGCAGTGGCACAATCATTGCTCACTGCAGCTTTGACCTTTGGGGCTCAAGCAATCCTCCCACCTCAGCCTCCTAAGTTCCTGGAACTACAGGCATGCGACACCATGCCTGGCTAATTTTTAAGAAATCTTTTGTAGAG
Organism: Homo sapiens; assembly: GCF_000001405.40. Lineage (NCBI taxonomy): Eukaryota > Metazoa > Chordata > Mammalia > Primates > Hominidae > Homo > Homo sapiens. The sequence goes on from NC_000014.9 coordinate 56,697,739, forward strand.
ATGAAGTCTCACCATATTGCCTAGGCTGGTCTCAAACTCCTGAACTCAAGCAGTCCTCCCGCCTTTGCCTCCCAAAGTGTTGGGATTACAGTAAGACACTGTGCCTGGCCCTAGATGAGAAATAGAGCTTTTAGCAACATTTCTGCTACAAGAGTAGTATTTGCAGAGGAGTGAAGTTAAGTTTAATCTTGTATTGCCAAAAGCTATGATTTATCAGTTAAGATGATTTGATTGAAAGTAACTGTATTAGGGTTCTCTAGAGGGACAGAACTAATGGGATATATGTATATATGAAGGGGAGTTTATTAAGGAGAATTGACTTACACAATCAAAAGTCCCACAATGAGTAGTCTGCAAGTTAAGGAGCAAGGAAGCCAGTGGTGGATCAGTTCAAGTCCCAAAACCTCACAAGTATGGAAGCTGACAGTGAAGCCTTCAGTCTGTGGCCAAAGGGCCGAGAGCTCCTGGCAAACCACTAGTGTAAGTCCAAGAGTCCAAAAGCTGAAGAACTTGGAGTCTGATGTTCAAGGGCAGGAAGTATCCAGCATGAGAGAAAGATGAAGGCTGGAAGACTCAGCAAGTCAAGTATTTCTACGTTCTTCTGCCTGTTTCATTCTAGCCACGCTGGCTGCTGATTAGATGGTGCCCACCCAAGATGAGGGTGGGTCTGTCTCTCCCAGTCCACTAACTTAAGTGTTAATCTCTGTTGGCAAAACCCTCGTAGACACACCCAGGAACAGTACTTGGCATCCTTCAATCCAATCAAGTTGACACTCAATATTAACCATCACAGTAACAAACTCCAAATCAAACCAATTTGAACAATAAGGAAATTTGTTATATCACATAGCAGAAAGAAAAGAGGTACAGTAAGTTCCAGAGTTGTTGATTCAACAGCTCAAAGATGTCACCAATGATCCAAGACCTCTCTGCTCTCCCATCTTAAGTAGCCTCACCCTGGGGCTGGGAGTGAGATGGCTGTAGTGGTCCCAGCCTCACACCCAGACCTAAAATCCAGAGGGAAATGACAAACTACCTCTTCCTGTGGTTTCTTTTAGGAGAGGAAACTTTCCCCAAAAGTGCCCTCATCAGATTTTTTTTTGAGACAGAGTCTCTCTCTGTCTCCCAGGCTGGAGTGCAGTGGTGCAATCTCAGCTCACTGCAACCTCCACCTCCCGGGTTCGGGTGATTCTCCTGCCTCAGCCTCCTGAGTAGCTGGGATTACTGGCGTGCGCCACCGTGCCCGACTAATTTTTGTATTTTTAGTAGAGACGGGGTTTCACTGTGTTGGCCAGGCTGGTCTCAAACTCCTGACCTCAGGTGATCTGCCCGCCTGCCTCAGCCTCCCAAAGTGCTGGGATTACAGAAGTGAGCCACTGTGCCCGGCCACTCATCAGATTTTATCTAACATTTCATTATCTAGAATAGGGTCACAGCTTAAGCTAAATTATGCTCTAGTAGGAAATAATCCTCAACTCTCAGCAGTTTCAGACTGCAAAGGTGTGTTTCTTGCTTCATGCAAAGTATGTTGTGGTTCCAGAGACTCTCTGGGGCAGCTTGCTCCATGAGTTGGTGGCTCAGAAATCTTGTGGACACCTGCATCTCCATTCTTCCACATTCCTTATGGCAGAGGGAGAGTAGCAGAGGGTCTTGCACAACTGTTTAATGCTGAATCCCTAAGTGATACTTTTCACTTTCGTTCATGGCTTATTAGTCATATGGCCCCATTCAGTTGCAAGTATATGGAGAAGTATTGTCTTCCTATGTCCTAAGGAGGGACAGTAGAATCAGATGTGGAGGACACTGGAAAGTCTCCACCACCATGCCTAATCCTGACCAGTCACCCGAGAAGGTGGTGGTAGCAGGGCAGTGGAATAAGATAAGGCTAATCTTCTAAGGTGGGATCAATGTTGAGGAGTAAATCATAAATCCACTCCAGGTGGTCTGACAATTAAGAAAACAAATATAAACCTTTTAGATCTTAGAAGATGACACAAATTAAAGAGTAGTTTACTCTATATTGCTCATGTATTGATTACCCAATCTTTGATTTGATCATCAGAAAAAAGAAGAATGACAAATCCAGTTACCTGTGTTAGATCTTACCTAAACACACTACCACTCTCCACCTGAAAAGTCCCTTCTGCCTAAACAATTTGAATTTGGAGACACAAGTGTTTCATACAATTTCAGGGTTCATTTTATTTGCACATCACAGTTGAACATTTAAGGGTTCGTAAAATGGTTTTTGATCCGCAGAACAATCTTTATTAAGTTAAAATTCTATTCAATCTCTAGCAACCAAATTTAGTCTCAAATATGAGGAAGAAGTTTATGGGCAGCTTTTGGAAACTCTTCCTACAAAACCAAACACAGGACACTATTTTTTAAAAAAGGATTTCTCATGGCCTCTCAATTTCTCAAAATGAAACCCGGCTTCTTCTTCTCTAAAAGGTAGACTCTGCCACATGCCACATTTGAAAAAAGCTTTTTTTTGGTCTTGGCCATCCAGTGACCAGCTGCATCAAAATTCCCTGGAGAATTATAAACGTTCCTTCCTCACCACCACCACACACACACACACACACACACACACACACACACACAGAGTAAATAAATAAATATAAATAGAAGAAGCTGGAGCCTAGAGATTCTGCTTGAGTGGCTCCAGTATGTGGCTCAGGGAGCTACACTTTTAAAAAGCCTCTCAAATAATCATGATGTGCTGCTGGTTTTACATCACAGTTTTCTGTCAACAGGTAAAGGGCCTCCTATTGACAGTTATTTTCTTCACCTGATGGTTAGTTTATCTAACAAGTCATGGCTCTCATTAGGTTGTTAGGGCAACAGAGTGATCTTTATTGAGCCTAATAGAATAATAAATCCAGCTGGTGTCACTTTATTGTATGTAAGTCTAGGTGTTTGTTTCTTGACACTATTCTGACGGGTCAGATGATATTTCTGAAGGAAAAACAGATCCCTCCTTCTGGTTTGACTTTGTATAGAATGAATTTTAATGTAACTGAGCCCACCTTTAGTATAGCTTTTTCTCATTATAAATAGAAGTGGTTGCCAGTATTCTTGCTTGCCTTTTAAAATAGCAAACATTTAGTGATAAAAATCTTGTTCTGTTCTCTGTATGTCAGTTTATTCATCTGTAAAGTAGAGACAATAATAGCATCTATTTATTACAAGCAATTGTTAAAATTAAAAACAGGCTGGGCGCGGTGGCTCCCGCCTGCAATCCCAGCACTCTGGGAGGCCAAGGTGGGCGGATCACCTGCGGTCAGGAGTTTGAGACCAGCCTGGCCAACATGGTGAAACTCCATCTCTACTAAAAATACAAAAATTAGCTGGGCGTGGTGGCAGGTGCCTGTAATCCCAGCTACTCGGGAGGCTGAGGCAGGAGAATCACTTGAACCCAGGAGGTGGAGGTTGCAGTGAACAGAGAATGCACCACTGCACACCAGCTTGGGTGACAAGAGTGAGACTCCATCTCAAAAAAAAAAACAAAACAAAAAAGACAGAACAGAGTACCTGGAAATAGACCCACATACAAATATATCCAGTCGAATTTTGACAAAGATGCAAAAGAAATTCAATAGAAGAAAGAGAGCCTTTTCAACAAATGGTGCTAGAGCAATTAGACATCCATAGGCTGTTCCTTATACAAAAATTAATTCAAAATAGATCACAAACTTAATAAATGTACATGGGAAAACTTCTAGAAAAATATAGGAGAAAATCTTTAGGATCTAGGACTAGGCAAAGAATTCTTATACTTGACACCAAAAGCATGATCTCTTAAAAAAAAAAAGATAAATTGTACTCAATCAAAATTTAAATTTTTGTTCTACATAAGACTCTATTAAGAAGATGAAAAAACAAGCCACAGAGTTGGAGAAACTATTGCAAATCTCTTATCCTATAGAGGATATGTAATATTCTAGTATCTAGAATAGAAAAAGAACTTTCAAAACTTCACAGTGAAAGCAAACAAACAAAAAAATAAACAAAAAAACCTTCACCAAAAAGGAGAACATTACGATAGAAAATGGGCAAAAGACATGAAGAAACATTTCATCATACAGGATACACAATCATCATACAGGATACACAAATGATAAACAAGCACATGAAAAGATATTCAACATCAGCTATTAGGGAAATGTAAAATAAAACCACAGTGAAATATCAGTATATACCTATCAGAATGACTGAAATAAAAAATAATGACAACACCAAATGCTGTTGAGGGTGTGGAGAAACTGGACAGATCAGACATTGCTACCGGGCATGTAAAACAATTTGGCAGTTGCTCAAGAACTTAAACATGCAACTACGATATAACCCAATAATTGTATTATTGGGCATTTATCCTAGGGAAGCGAATATTTACATTCACACACAAACCTGTACACAAATGTTTACAGAAGCTTTATTTATATAGTCAAAAACTGGAACAGGTGGATGGTTAAACTGTGGTACTTCTGGACCATGGAATGCTATCAGCAATAAAGAGGAATGAACTATCGATACATTCAGCAATCTTGATGGATCTCCAGACAATTATGCTGAGTGGAGAAGGCGGGGAATCACGCATTACCTGCTGCATACTTCTATTCATACAACGTCATTGAAATAACAAATTCATAGACATGGAGAACAGACTAGCAGTTGCCAGGGGTTAAGGACGGATGGGGGTGACAGGGAAGTAGGTGTGGCTACAATAGGACAATATAAGGCAGTGGTCCCCAACCTTTGTGGCACCAGGGATCTGTTTAATGGAAGACAGTTTTTCCACGGAGTGCAGCGGAATGGTTTCAGGCTGATTCAAGCACATTACATTTATCAGATTCTCATAAGAAGCATGCAGCCTAGATCCCTCACATCTGTGGTTCACAATAGGGTTTGCACTCCTGTGAGGATCTAATGCCGCCGGTGAACTGACAGGAGGCAGTAATTTGAGTGGTGGGGAGTGGCTAAAATACAGATGAAGCTGTGCTTGCTCACCCTCTGCTCACCTCCTGCAGTGTGGCCCCGTTGCTAACAGGCCACGAACCAGTACTGGGTTGGGGACTTCTTTTATAAGGGATCTCCGTGGTGATGAAAATATTGCGTATCTTCACCGTATCAATGTCAACATCCTGGTTCTGACTTTGTTCTATGGTCCTGCAAGATATTACTATTGGGGGAAACTAGGCAAAGGATACACAGGATCTTTTTATTTCCTACAACTGCATGTGAGTCTACAGTTATCTCAAACTAAAAAGTTGAATTAAAAAATTAAATGAGGTTGGGCGCGGTGGCTCATGCCTGTAATCCCAGCACTTTGGGAGGCCGAGGCGGGTGGATCACCTGAGGTCAGGAGTTCGAGACCAGCCTGACCAATGTAGTGAAACTCCGTCTCTACTAAAAATACAAAAATTAGCCAGGCATGGTGGCGTGTGCCTGTAGTCCCAGTTACTAGGGAGGCTGAGGCAGGAGAATCACTTGAACCTGGGAGGCGGAGGTTGCAGTGAGCTGAGATCACACTACTCCACTCACACCACGCCCCAGAGTGAAGGGGCTGACTCTGTAGATATTTTAAGAGTGACAGAGCAAGACTCCATCCCCCTCCACAAAAAAAAATTAAATGAGATAATATCCATGGCAGATTCATAGTAGACGTTTAATAGGTTTTAGCTATTATTGATTGCACTCTCCTGCACTCAGTTAATATAACTCCTGTTCTATTCCTCTGTCCCTTCTGAAACACCATGAAGCAACATGATACAGAGGAAAGGCAGTGCTAGCTGGTAGACAAACTCAAGTTCTAATCATAACTCTGACACCTATGAGTCAGTTATATGACGTTGGGCAAAATAAAATCTTTCTCTAGCCTTATTCTCATCAGTAAAACGAGGATAATTGCTCTTTGTCCTCATCGCAGGCCTTTTGGGTTTGTTTGCTTGTTTAAGAATCAAATACATGATTTCAGGGGGAAAAACGGCTTTGCAAACTGTTAAGTGCTATAGAAACACGAACATATTGAACATACATTTATTAAATCCCTCTTACTCATCTACCACCGCTATTACTAATAAATATGACCATTTACTCGCTTGAAACCCATGCTGGAATTTGACATGCAAATATCCTGAGTGTTGCTCATTTGCATTGGAAAAAGGGAAAGAGGTGGGAGGCCTTTTGAAGCCTTTTAAAAATTGAGCTAGGGGGATGAATTCTTATCACTGGGCCCAAGATATAATTGATTTTCTACACAATGGCTCACAGGTGCTACATTTAACACCCTGAGTAGTAGGAGGATGGAAACGTATCCCAAGGTGCAGCTATTACTTAAAATATCTACAAAATCAGCCGCTTCACTCTGGGGAAGGCAGAGAAGCCTTGGCGGTGGGAGGACCTGGTGGGGGGACTCCACCCAGTTGGCGGATGTGCTGACAGAGGCACCTGCTCCTTGCTTATCCCACTCGGAGAACTGGGCCTTGGCTTCCATGGCCAGAAGCCAAAAAGCACCTCTTTTTCAGACCTGGATCACAAGGGCCGGGAAGAACACAGGGCAAACCCACCATGAAATACATATTAATATTATAACAACCCTTTCAGAATTCACTGTTGCTATGTCAACAAAGCAGCTGGGGAAATTGGGTCTTTGGGAAATTGGGAAATGAGGTCAGCTTTGGCAACCTGGCAAATGTTTCCTTCTCTCAGAACAATTGCTCTGTGACACCAGTCAGCCTTTTCCTACCTACCCTTTCTTCTGCTTATTTCTATGAAAATTGAGAAGCAAAACAACAGCCATTAAGGTTTGGGATTAGGGAATTTCTGTGTCATGGAAGAAGAAAGAGAAACAAAATGATTTTTCTCTCCCCACCAACCTTAACCCTTTTCACCTGTTTATGCCCTTTTCTCAGTTCCAACCTGGACTCCACCAGACTGAAATGGATTCTGTAGCCATCTCTGTGATTTTAGTTGAATTACTGACTTCATCTCAGTTTCAATTACCTCCTCTTCTAAAATGAAAGTATATTCGCAGGACTGACTACATAATTTGTGGGGCGAATACAAGATCAAAGTGTGGGGTCCTTTATAAAAATGGTTAAGGCCAGGCGTGGTGGCTTACGCCTGTAATCCCAACACTTTGGGAGGGAGGCCAAGGCCAATGGATCACTTGAGCTCAGGAGTTCGAGACCAGCCTGGCCAACATGGTGAAACCCTGTCTCTACTAAAAATACAAAAATTAGCCAGGCATGGTGGCACACACCTGTAGTCCCAGCTACTCAGGAGGCTGACGCAGGAGCGTTGCTTGAAGCTGGGAGGCGGAGCTTGCAGTGAGCCGAGATTGTGCCACTGCACTCCAGCCTGGGTGACAGAGCGAGACTCTGTCTCAAAAAAAAAGGTTAAGAATTTCAAGACAATGATAGCAGACCATTAAACCAAGCACAGTGCCCTAAGCATGGAGCCACTTGTGAGGACACAGGTTGCAGGCCCCTGAAGCTGGGCGTCTGTATTAATTAAGATTCTGGGTTTACAAATGAGAGAAGCCAAGTCATGCTTGTTCTGCAAGAATTACTTCACGGAACGGTTACTGTGGTGTATGGAATCTGAGGGAGAGGTGATCAAGTGAGGGGTTTTGGCCTGTGCCGCAGACTCAGCTGGGATGAGCCCCCAGGCCCCTGTCCTCTCATCTCTGCCCTCCTCAGAGTAGCAGCTCTGTCCTCTGCCTTCGGATGTACACTGAGGATTGAGCAGCCCAGGCAACTCCTGAGTTTTCCATTTTAAGCTTCAGCCACCAGAGAGACTCACTGACACGCTCTTGGTCTCCTAAATGCAAAAAAAAAAACCTGGGAAGGGCTGCCCTTCACATTAGCTCAGGTGCCCACCCTAGACCAATCAACCATGGATGGGGCCCCCAGTGAGCTTCAGAATAATGGTGGGGAAGTGGGGGGGCAGACTGGCAAATAATCCTTATAGGTGCCTACCTGTTATAAGAACATGGATGTCTGATTTCATCTCACGGCTGCTACAGATCTATTGGTAGCAACTGCCTCGAGGAATGGATAGAGACTATGGCTGGGGCCACGCTAGACTTGATAGGGCAGGCCACCCTGCTGTCCATGAGAAGCGATTGCCCAGCTGCCTGCATCTGCCATCCCTGGACTAGATGCTGTTGAGCACAGTGTTCTCTCACAGCCCTAACATTCTATGCGTATTGCCTCTCTCTGCTCATAGTCATCCCCCAAATCAACTTTCAGGAAGCCTTCACATGTAGGGATAATTTATTTCATTCAATAGATGTTGGTGCAATCTGATTAAATCTTTTAAAAATAAATGGATTTATTTTAAACACACAAGAGAAATGCGCTAGCTTAGGCAATCCCAAAGCGAATCCTTTTGTAAAGCAGACTCTTATTTAAATTGAATAGCCACCTAGCTCCTTCACAAATACGAATTTTTATATAGAGTGCTTTGCTTCACTGAGATAGACTGAGACTCCAACTTGCAAATGCAACCACTGAGGAAGAAGGTGGTGGGTCTGCAGCTTATAGAAAAATGTATCAATAGGCCTTGATCTATCCCACCCCCATCTAAGCGCAAGAGAGGGTTTCTCCTTCATTGGTACATCTTCTGGTGACTTCTCCCCTTCAAGGATGCCTGAGTGTTTATTTCAGCATGTGTCCACTTGTAGAGAAATTTTTTCTTTATGTGGTGGTGTGAGGGTGAGCAGCAGATGCAAATAAAGGTGACAGCTTTAGATATGCACTGTCTAATTTGGTAGCTATGAGCCACAAATGCTTTTTTCTCTTTCTTTCCTTTCTTCTTTCCTCTTTCTCTTTGTCTGTTTTTCTCTTTCTTTCTTTTTTCATTTTTTTCCCATTTCTTTCTTTCTTTCTTTCTCTTCCTTTCTTTCCTTCTCTCTTCTTCCTTCCTTCCTTCCTTTTCTTTTCTTTTTTTCTTTATTCTTTCTCTTTTTTTTTTTTTGACTGGGTCTTGCTTTGTTGCCCAAGCTAGAGTGCAGTGGTGTAATCACAATCACAGCTCACTGCAGCCTCCACCTCCCAGGTTCAAGTGATCCTCCCACCTCAGCCTCCCCAGCTGGGACTACAGGTGTACACAACCCCACCCAGCTAATTTTTACATTTTTTGCAGAGACGGGGGTTTCATCATGTTGCCTAGGCTGGCCTCGAACCCCTGAGTTCAAGTGATTTGCCTTCCTCGGCCTCCCACAGTGCTGGGATTACAGGCATGAGCTACGGCACCCGGCCCCACATGTGCTATGGAGCCCTTGAAACATGGCTGTACTGAATAGAGACATCCTGTATATGTGAATACCCCACAAGATTTTGCAGACTTCGTATGAAAAAAAGGAAACTATCTTAATTTTACTATTTATTAATTGCATGCTGATTTTTTTTCATACATTGGGTCAAATAAATTGTATTATTAATTTTACCTGTTTCTTTTTAGTTTTTAATGCAGCTACTGAAAAATTTAAGGTGACTGACGTGGTTCGTACAGGCAGTCAGGAGGCCACGCTCAACTAACTGGTTGCTGCTTCTCCGTGTGGTCTCCAGGCTTCTCCGTGTGTTCTCTCCAGAAAAGGAATGGTGGCTCCATGGTGGCTCAAAGGTTTAAAGGAAGGAAGCAGAAACTGCCAGTCCTCTTAAAGGCTGGGCCCAGAAATGACAGAAAGTCACAGAGTCTGCCCGGGCTCAAAAAGAGGGGACACAGACCCAGTTCCTGGTGGGAGGGGTCTCAAAAATTTGGATGGGCGTCTGTATCTCCCTCTGCATCAATCTCATAGAAGGTTCATGCCCCTGCTCCAGCAGATTCTCCTCTGAGCTGAGTACAGTGATCATCAGGGCTGAGAAGCGCTGAGAAGGGTGACTGTGGGGCAGGGAACTCTGGTCACCCTGGTGGCCTCTGACTCTGCTCCTCACCCACCATGCAGACACAGGAAAGTTGCTGGCCCTTCTATAAAACAGGGATGTTTTCATCACCTAATGAGCCATAAGGACTGTGCCAACTCAAATCTCTGCCTGGAAACGATGGCCCTAGGGAAGGGCCCTTGCCACCAGACCTGAGGGACACTGCACATGGGGGAGAGGGCTCTCACAGGACCGCATGGCGTCTTCTAGAATGACAAGCTAGTGCTCCCTCAAAGGAAGACAGGAAGGGATTCATGGGCATTCCCATTCAGCAGATGACGGAAAACATAAGTGTCCCTCTCTTGCTCTTCCTTGATTCTGTTCTAACCTAAGGCTTATCTTCTAAAGGGCTGACCTTCTGCCCACTCTTTTCCTAATGACTGGTAGGAAGCAGCCCACCCTATTTTACTCATTGCCACATCGAACCTGAGCCCACCCTGCCCATTGTTTCATCCGCTTCCCTCCCCCTCCCTCCAGGCCTGTGCAAGAAGACTTATTTCCTGTGTGGGAAATGAAGCAGAAAGTGGCAGTGGACGAGCCACCGTCATTTCTGAGCCGCACTGCCCACCTAGCATGGTTTGGGCTCTCAGAACAGCTAACTGGCACCTTTGCTCCCCGGGGCAGTATTTGAAAGTAGCGTCAGCTCCCAGTACCCAGTTAAAATTCACACCTTTTATCCTCCACAATCATTTGAGATTCATATCATTAAGTTTGATTCTGGGAAGATGCCTCGATATTCTAAATTATTTGTCAGCCTGGCACGGCAAAAAAATATTTGTGAAATCCATTTCAAAAGATGTTAACACTGGTGAAACCCACATGCCCCCAGAGGGATTATACAAATTTCCATGTCAAATATTTGAGGCAAAGCACTTGTAGAGAAACAGTGTTTTTTTGTGTTTTGATGCCTTTCATTTCCATAAACTAGATTACTTTCTGAAATTACTTTCACACAGAGAACAGTTTCTATTGAATTCCAGTCAGTGAACTCCTCTGAGTGTGAGGTGAATAAAATATTTTGGGGCTGTGGGGCTTCCTTCATGCATATACACCCGTGTCATGTAAGGACAGCAAACCAAGTTGAGATGTTATCTTCAGCGCTCATGTACCCCGATCTGCTGTCTTACAGTAATTGCTAAACAACTGATTCATTTAGAGCCTAACAAGGACGCTCTCCAGCTTTTCTTCCCCTGTCTCTCCTACCTGGCTAACAATGACTCTGGCTCTGTTGTTAACTGCAGATTTGCTGGCAGGCAGCTGCTTGCTACAGCGAGGTTCTCCAACAGTCAAGTTTTATCTGCTTCTTGCAAACACTGATTCTGCCAAAAAAATTCACACAAAAAAATTTGATCCCAGCAAACATTGTCCTGTTGTCCTAGTTCTGTCAAACCCACAAAATTAAAATGGACTTCGTTTTCTTAAAGGGGGGAAAAAAAGAAAAAAGAAAAAAGTAGTGGAGGAGCCAAGTAGAAGAAAGCTGCTGGGTTCAACGTTACTTGAAACAGACAGACATTTCCCATAGGTGGGAGCTGCGAGCTGCTGTATGGAGACAGAATGTTGATTCCTATACAGGTGGGAACAGTCACTTGAAGTTCTTATCTCCCAGGCATACCAGGGAGCATTCTCAGAACTGGGAAATACATTTCTTAGCAAATCTCACCTTGAGCAACTTTAAAATGACCAACTAATGATCACGGGAGGGTAGCTCCAGCTGCAGCCAGAGTGTGGCCCTGAAGACATCAGAGAGCAGGGCACTCCCACCTGAGAGGGAGGGGGAACAAAAGGAGAAGCCTAGAGCAGGCAGGGCTTGCTTTGTTTGTTGGTTTGGTTTTTTTAGTTTTATTTTCTTTTTCAGAGAAGACAGTTTCAAGCTCTCCTCTAAGTAAGGTGGGAGCCACTGGAGGGCATGAACTGAGGCGTGAGATGTTATGATTTACTAATGAACAAGATCACTCTGGCCACTGAGATAGGAGTGGGACCACAAGAAGGAAGGGTTAGAAGGCTGTTGGAATCACCAAGCCAAGAGATGATGGCGGCTTGAACTAGAGCGATAGCAGAAAAAGGGGTCAGAAAGGATTGAATTCTGGATATATTTGAAGGTGAGCCAACCCCTCCTGGGAGTGAGAATAAAGGAAGAGTAAAAGATGACCCTAAATTTGTTGTCCTGAGCAGCTGGACAAATGAAGTTGCCATTTACTTAGATGAAGAAGGCTGCAGATGGAAACCAGGATTTGGACTTACCCGATGCTCATTCTGGGATGTCTATTAGACTGTCCAGTGGAAAAATCAAATAGGCAGACAGGGTAGTCTACAATGGAATATAACTTTGAGAGTCATCTATTCATAGATGTATTCAAAGCCTTGGAACTGGATGAGATCACCAAGGGGGTGAAAGTAAAGATAAGAAGAGGCCCCCCAGGCGCTGCAACATTAAGACATATTTTCAGCCTATCAAAATGTAAATACAATGCAAAATCAGTTAATTTTGTATGCACAAAAACTATCTGGTCACTTAATAGGCCCTAGAGGATTGAAACACAGAACGCGTGGCTTTGGAAGGAGACACAGCAAAGTCACAAGGATTTGGTTGACACTTAAGGGAATGGGAAGGAGGAAGGAGTGGTATCTATCAACTTCAGAGCAGGCTCACTCCAGAAAGCAGAGGTTTTAGCAATAGCCAAGGATGCAGATAGGGCAGCCCAGGTGTGCTGGGAGGTCAATGGGCTGCTTGAAGAGAAAAGGAGACCAAAGCCCAAGGAACAACATCTGCTTTGCAAATTCAACTTGGTCCTCTTGTTTCTCCTTGCCCTTCTCTATTTCACCGCCTTCACTCCTCATGCCCATGCACTGCAGGTAGGCATGCACATGCCCACATGCTCTCCCATATTTTCCCTCCCTTCACATCCAGGAAAGAGGTTGGTAACAGAGTACAGTCTATGGAAAGAGGCCTCCTGCTGGGTGGACAAATGCTGGAGACCAAAGTAGCCACCCCATCCCTTTCATTCTCCATCCCCTCACTCTGCTTCACTTTTCTGCATCTCCTCACCGCCACCCCAACATTTCATGATGGATTTGTTTATTGCCTTCTCAACCACTGAACAGGAACTCCAAGGGGGCAGAGACTTTGTTTGGTTCACTAATGCATCGTTAGTTTCTGGAACTGTGGCTAGTATTAATACATAGCAGGTGCTCAATAAAATTATGTATTGAATGAAATGAATGGTGTGCTGAAAGATACTGAGTGTTGCAATGCCAACACCAACGAGTTATGTGACTTTGGACAAGTTTCATCATCTCTCCTAGCTTCAGTTATTTGAACTACAAAATGGAAAGCATATCCACCTCGGTGGGTTGTGAGAATTAAATGAGATTGTTTTTGTAAAGCACATGGTCTGTAATGGGTACATAAGGAAACCTTTCTTCATCCATGCCCCCAACTTCCATCCAAAGAGAGTTGCAGAGAATTCAATTCTGGTTTTAGTGATGCAAACTAGCTTTTGGCATCGTGGGTTCTCTCTACCTTTTTTAGCTTTCTATGAAGTAAAAAAGTTTTAAGTGGCAGAGAATGAGTTTTCATGGTAAGAACTGCATTTTATAAAGTACTTTAGGCCACGCATGGTGGCTCACACCTGTAATCCCAGCACTTTGGGAGGCCACGGTAGGAGAATACCTTGAACCCAGGAGTTCAAGATCAGCCTGGGCAACATGATGAGACCCTGTCTCTATGAAAAATTTAAAAATTAGCTGGGTGATGTGGCGTGTGCTGGTAGTCCCAGCTACTCGGGAGACTAAAGGAGGATCGCTTGAGCCCAGGAGGTGGAGACTGCAGTAAGCCGTGATGATGCCACTGCACTCCAGCCTGGGTGACAGAGCAAGACCCTGTCTCAAAAAATAAAACAAGGTACTTTAACAGTAATAACCTGTATGAGGGAATAATCTCAGAAGATAACCATACATTTTCTAAATGACAACTTTGTACCTAATAGACATTCAACAATATTAGATGAATGAGTAAATGCACAGTGAGATAAATAAAAATCCAACTTAAATGTAAAGGCTTTACTAAATCTTGCTCTCGATTATCACTACATTTTTTTTTTAATGGAGATAGTGTATTGCTATGTCGACCAGGCTGGTCTTGAACTCCTGGCCACAAACTATCCTCCTGCCTCAGCCTCCCAAAGTGTTGGGATTATAGGCATGAGCCACTGCGTGCCTAGCCTAAGTTTTATTTTTGTCAAAGTAGCCTATACTCTATTTTCTTTTTCTTTTTCTTCTTTTTTTTTTTCTTTGAGACGGAGTCTCGCTGCTCTGTCACTCAGGCTGGAGTGGAGTGGCATGATCTCAGCTCACTGCAACCTCTGCCTCCTGGGTTCAAGTGATTCTTCTGCCTCAGCCTCCTGAGTAGCTGGGATTACAGACATCCACCACCACACCCAGCTAATTTTTGTATTTTAGTAGAGATGGGGTTTCACCATGTTGGCCAGGCTGGTCTCGAACTCCTGACCTCAAGTGATCCACCTGCCTCAGCCTCCCAAAGTGCTGGGATTACAGGCGTGACCCGCTGTGCCCAGCCTATACTGTGTTTTCGAGAGCTCTCATTTTGTAGGTGGGCTTTCCTTGGAGTAAATACTAAAAGGCAAAATTTACATTTCTGCATTGAAAATATTTTATATTTCATTCTAAATGTCTTTAATTTTTTCAGCAAAAAAGGTTAATTTATTAGTAATTATGCATGAAATATAAGCACTTCAAACACCCCCCATTCTCCCCTGGCCTTTGTGTGTGTGTGCTTTCTATATTGTACAGAGGTTGTTCCTCTCTAGCTGTAAGATTCCCACTAATGCCCAAGGAAGTTCTGGGCACAGACTAAATAAGAGGAAAAGTTGCCAGGAGCAAGGTTGTGATGTTTGCCATCAATAAGAGAATAACAGTGTGCTCAGGAGAGGCTGTGGGAGAAGCTCCTTTAGGCTTAGGCCCAGAAGGGAGGATCCAGGACACCTGGAGAAGCTGTTGCTGGTGGTAGAACTCACCTCCAGAAGATTCAGAGAGGTGGGGGTGAGGTCTACTTTGAGAAGACTTTTTTTGGGTTAAAATTGATTAAATGACTAATTCAAAATCTGTCAAAAAGAGAAAAACAAAAATAAAAAGCTTCTTCTTGGCTAAGACATCCCATGTCAGATTTCTGCCTGCAGCAAATTTTCATGGCAAAGGTAGGAAAACGGCGAACGAAAGGCAGTGCTATGGAAAATGACAGCCTGTGGCATGGTAATATAAACACAGCTTCGATGGGGAGTCAGATGGGGCGGGTCCTATCCAGAAACAGTGCCCACCCGGCCTGTCCTTGTTCCAGCCCTACGCACACCCCTGCCCTCCCCTCTCAGGCTTCGAGTCAGCTCTACCCCAGGCCAGGCTTTCCAGGAAAAGCAGTTACCTGTTTTCCCCAGGGTGTCTGTGGCTGCAGGCATTGCCTCCCACATCTCAGGAGAACTAAAAGAGCCTGGAAACTGAAGTGTTCCTGTGGGATGGGGCTGGAATGGGTAGGGGTAGAATCATGGTAATATTATCTTTGAGGAGTACAGTTTCACAGGCAGTGGCTTTGATTCTCTCTTCTGATTTAGTTAGGGCAGGAGCCAGGGCACCTGGAGAGCTTTGTGTGGAGATGGAAATTTTTTTTTGAGACAGAGTCACTCCTGTTACCCAGGCTGGAGTGCAGTGGCGCAATCTCGGGTTGCTGCAACCTCCGCCTCCCAGGTTCAAGTGATTCTCCTGCCTCAGCCTCCTGAGTAGCTGGGACTTCAGGCGCGTGCCACCACACCTGGCTAATTTTTGTAATTTTTTAGTAGAGACAGGGTTTCACTATGTTGGCCAGGCTGGTCTTGAACTCCTGACCTCAGATGATCCTCCCACCTAGGCCTCCCAAAGTGCTGGGATTACAGGCGTGAGCTACCTCGTCCGGCCGGAGACGGAAGTTTTGCAATGGCAGAGCCACTCTGGCTGCTTGAAGAGCACATTGCTTTGTTCTTTCACTGACAGAGTTCTAGTGGCCACAGTTTTGGGGATCTGGGGTGCTAACAGCTTAATACTAACAATTTTATATTCATTATCATTTAATCTACAAAACAAATCTCTGAGGCAAGAACTGCCCTTTCCATGGACGAGAAGACCAAATGAATGGAGACTTTCAGGTCCTTGTCCCACACAGCTAGTAGTAAGTGGTGGACGATCCCAGATTCCAAACATGATGCCAAATTCAGGCCCCGAGCCCATTTTCTGTGCTGTAAGTAGGTTTTTCTCTCTCTGTCCAGTAGGTAAGGAAACACAATAGACTTCTTCAAACAGAAGAAGGCTTTTGCTAGATCAGCGGGCAGCCCTGCACCATGCTTCTTTGGCTGCTTCAATTCCAACTCCAATACAGCTGGGGGTCCTGAAATTAACCTGAAGAAAACACATGGTATCATAGAGCCATTGTGGCTTGAACTTGCTCAAGGTCATAATGTGACCCTGACCTATACTTAACCCTAGTTCAGTCACATAGGCCTGAGAGGGACACCATTATAGGACTTAAAGTCGCCTGGTCCTCGCTACTCTTAAGGGAAAAGAAGCTATCTGAGCGTTTCTCCACAGATGATCTCGGGAGTGGCCACTTGGTTAATCTTGATGGCCAGAGATATTGACCTTATGTGGGTTATTAGCTAACAGGATTGGTTTTCTTATTCCTAAGATAATATGGATGCTTCTAATTGCTTTGTATGGATCTATGACCACCTATTAGAATAGACACCCCATATGTAGAGCATGCAAACTTTTTCTGGTTAGGTCAACAATGGCAGCCGGGGAAATCTTAAACCTCTCTGACTTCTGATTTTTGCAGTCATATGGAAGACTTTTTTGACATAGAATAGCAAAGGCAGCCTGGATTTCCTGGGTAAGCAGACCACCTCAAAGGTCCACATAAAGTCACTTCCGAGCAATTTAACAGGTAGTACTCTACTGACTCAAAATGTCTTCTAAAACACCTAGGCATTTAGCTAACAGCAAGATAATACACAAAGCTCTTCTCAAAGGTAGATTTCCAGTGCATAGCTCAGTTTTTGGATGTAAGTAGTTGATTAAAAATGGTTAAAGATGGCAAGGTCCAGCTCAAAGACCTGGGCAAGGACAAAGAGTCAAATCTGGCAACTGGGCCTGGGTGGGTGTAGCCCTTGATTTCCCATGTCCTCCCTGAGTGGGATTATGCCTGCAGTACCTGCTCCATACTGGCACACTTCCTGCAGCTGGGTCAGCTCCAGAAGGTCCCACCCTGTCACCTCAATCCCACCTCTGTTCCCCATCCCCACCCTGTCCCCTTGGTCCCACCAGCCTTCACATCCATCTTGGCCTCTGCTCTCCCATGATTCTTCCACACTTCCTTCCCCCACCTTCCTTCACCACACACCACCCTTAGTCCCAGCCTTGGAACCAGGGCCTTCCCTTTTCACTCTGCAGCAGGAGCGATACCTTAACAAGCTCTTTGCTTGGGAGAGGAAGTATTAGAATTGTCTTAGAACAAAAGCATTTGAGAGCCAGTGCCCTAATCACTTGCAAAACTTTTCAACAAATGTAAAAAGGAGGAAGAGACCTTAGCTCTAGCCTGGGCTCCACCACCTACAGAAAGGAACCCAGGAATCCAATGGTGGGACTTCTGGCTCAGAAGAACCCCGAGCCCATTGGTTAATGAGGTTGGCAGTCCAGGGGCTGCCTGCCGTTGCCTGTATTCCAGCAAAGCCTTCTTCTACAGGATCTCAAAGGAAGGGGTGACACAGGAGAGAACAGTGGGGTCGCATCTGCCCCTCCCTAGTGGCAAATGAGGTTGTGCACCCTGCCTGCCTGTGTAGGATTAAACTCACATCCCTCAGTAACGAAGCGGCACCCCCTTCCCAGGTAGCATGTGGTTGTCCTTTCCACACAGTGTCACATTTGGAAGCTTTGTCCATGTTTTTCAGGTAATTAATTTGTTGTAAAAACAAATATCTAGAGAGAGCAAATTTTTCTCAGGGATGCAAATAACCGTGGATGTCTGTGTTTTGTAAAGATGGCGAAACACTGCTGGTTTCATGAATAGCTTTATTGCATGTGTGAACCATCAGAAATGTAGCCTCACTCCCAATCAACAGGAGCGATTTGTAATCACAAACTTTGTGACAGAAAGACAAATGCGGAAATCTCAGGACCAAATTAAGCACAATTAGTATCCATACAGGAAACTCTCCAGTAACCTGGCAATTTGCAGCCTGGGAAGGACACATGCAGCATTGTCTTAACAACAAGTTCATCAAACATGTAATTAGCCACCGGCCACCAGCCACCTTTGCAAACCAAATCTGAGCTGCTGCCAGTCAGAGACTGGTCTGCAGATGCCTCTTGGCTGGAAACAATTTTGAGCAGAAGTTTAGGTGGGTGGATGTGCAAATTCAAGGCGCACCAGTAGGGGCAAACAGCTACACCTCTCTGGCTTTTTATTTCATGGACTCACAGTATTTTTCCTCGTTTTAATGAACTTGGATTTCAGGGCTCAGTTTCGCTCAAGTTACTTTCTGAAGCAGGAAGTTCAGGGCATCACTTTATGTCACAGTTTAGCCACCACTATGAAGATAGTTGGCCTGTAAAGGATGACCTTGATTCAATTACATTTTTCATCATCAAGAATTGATTTCAAGCACTTCCAATAAAAAGAAATATTCAGAAAATGCCAGGATTCATAGCCTCATAAAAACCAGTACAGTAAGAAAGACCTCAGGATCCCCACCTTTCAATTCCAGCATTACAGAAAGAATTAACTGAAAAATATTGTCTCCGCAAATAAAAAATAATAGTGCATCCAATTAAGCATGACCAATAAAGATTAAAGTCAGTGGCTTTTCTTTCTGGACATATCTGTCAATTCACTCTAGGACCAATATAGACTATTTCTCTCAGGAGGTAAGATTACAAAGGAAGAAAAATGTTCTCAGAGCTCAGTTGGTAATTAATCTTTGCATATGACTTCCTCATAGTTCCCATTAATTATCAATATTCAATCATGCATTAAAAATGGATTTTTCTTTGACAGAATTTAGCTGTTTATAAGATGATATCAAACTAACTTCTAATATAATCACAGGGCTTGGCCTTGCAAACCTTCATTACATTTTTTACAAATCTTTTAGTGAAAGGTTACATACAAACAGATTAATAATAGCCATTTCAGCAAAATCAATGTGCAGAAAAACAATATCAAAAGCTAACATAAGCATATCAACCAACTGCAACGTGTGGACTTTATTTGGATTCTGATTCGAACAAACCACTTTTTCAAAAACATGATGGCATTCTTAAGATGATTGGAGCTTGAACAATGACTGGATATTTTACATTAAAAATAATTTTTAAGTGCTATAATTGTATTGTGGTTATGTTTAAATATTTATGGATGAGATGATATCTAAGATTTGCTTCAAAATAATATGGGAGAGAGTGGGTGAGGGTTTAGATAAAACAATATTAGCCATTAGTTGACAAATGCACATGGGGGCTTTTTTTTGTCTCTTCAGCCACATATAAACAAAAATGTAAAACAAACATGTAAAGTCGACACCAGCATGTCTCTCTCAAGATTATTTATCAGGTAGCAACTGCTTAATAAAAATAAAAGCAGGCTGGGTGCGGTGGCTCCCTCATGCCTGTAATCCTAGCACTTTGGGAGGCCGAAGCAGGTGGATCACTTGAGGACCTTGAGGTCAGGAGTTCAAGACCAATCTGGCCAGCAAGGTGAAACCCCATGTCTACAAAAAATACAAAAATTGGCTGGGCGCGCTGGCTCATGCCTGTAATCCCAGCACCTTGGGAGGCCGAGGCGGGTGGATCATGAGGTCAGGAGATCGAGACCATCCTGGCTAACATGGTGAAAACCTGTCTCTACTAAAAATACAAAAAATTAGCCGGGTGTGGTGTCGGGCGCCTGTAGTCCCAGCTACTTTGGAGGCTGAGGCAGGAGAATGGTGTGAACCCGGGAGGTGGAGCTTGTAGTGAGCTGAGATAAAGCCATTGCACTCCAGCCTGGGCAACAGAGCAAGACTCCGTCTCAAAAAAAAAAAAAAAAATTGCTGGGTGTGGTGGTGTGCACCTGTGATCCTAGCTACTCAGGAGGCTGAGGCATGAGAATCGCTTGAACCTGGGAGGTGGAAGTCTCAATGAGCCAAGATTGCGCCACTGCACTCCAGCCTGGATGACAGAGTGAGACCCTGTCTCAAAAATAAATAAATACATAAATAAGCAAATTTTTAAAAATAAAATAAAAATGAAAGCCAATTCTTTTTAATAGTCAAAACCCTAAGCCAGAACTATCAGACCAGAGACCTGCCAATTGAATCTGGCTTGCCATTGTGTTTTGTTTGGCTTGCATGGGGTTTTATCAAACATTTACATTTGTTACTAACGATCAAATCAGAATCTTTTGCCAGATTGCTGGCTTCTCTTGAAAAGTCAAAAGATGAGGTGACTCACACCTGTAATCTCAGCACTTTGGGAGGCCAAGACAGGAGGATCCTTTGAGCTTAGGAGTTCAAGACCAGCCTGGGCAACATAGTGAGACCCTGTCTCTATTAAAAAAAGAAACGAAGAAAAGAAGAAGAGGAAGAATAAGAATAAGCAGGAGGAGGAGGAAGAAGAAGCAAAGAAAGAAAAGTCTAAAGATTTGGAAGTCCTGGGCCCACATTCCCACTTGGCAGCAATTGGTGGGAGCTGAGTGGAGGCTGCCCCTGTTGGATGGGGCAGGATTCCTAAGTTGTCAGTCCCCAGCAAGCCCACATAATGTTTACATTCTCTATGTGCTTAGGCTTTGGACTCTGCTCTTAGAACAGCCCTCCAGACTTCAGGAACCCACTGCCTGCAGACAAAGGATTTTAAATCAGTTTTTCAGCCATTGTCATAAGTTACTACAAGCCACCCACATTTTCAAACCCAGACCCTTTTGTCAAAATGGCAAAATTCTCTTACCAGAGGCCAGAAAGGGCTTTTAGACCATCTAGCCCAGTGGTCCCCAGCCCTGGCTGCACATTAGAAATCACCTACGGGGATTTAAAACATTCCAATGCCCAAACTTCAGTTGAGGTCTTTAAATCAGACTCTCTAGGGATGACATGTAAATTAATCTGGCCCTACCCAGCCTAGCAGTCTGCCTTCCATGCTATTCTATAGGAGCTCTACCTTCCACGCAATCTTAGCTGCTCATGAGTGTCTAAATGTGTCCCAGATTTCCCATGCCCTCATAGATGCTATTCCTACCATCAAAAACATCCTTTGCCTATTGCAAAACTTTCAAGGGTTTAGGTGCCATCTCCTAATGATGCCTTCCCTGATCTCACTCCCACCAAGCAAGATCTTTTTCCCTCTTCTGATCTCCCCCATACGAAGTAATTGAAAACTTTCTTATAATGTTTACTCTATTCTGCCCTATGTTACAGCGATTTTATACACCTGTCTTTCTTAATCCCTTTGAGGCCAGGGGTTGTGTCTTCATTATTTTATCTCCCCCAGCACGATGTCTTAGAAGCAAGTATTCCAGGATGTCAGTGAACTGAATTAATCTAGGCCAGGCATGCCTGTAATCCCAGCACTTTGGGAGGCTGAGGTGGGAGGATTGCTTGAGCCTAGGAGTTTGAGACCACCCTGGGCAAGGAAGTGAGACCCTGTCTCTATAAAAAATAGAAAAAAAATTAGCCAGTGAGTTGGCATGCGCCTGTAGTCCCAGCTACTTGGAAGGCTAAAGTGGGAGGATTGCTTGAACCCAGGAGGTTAAGAGTGCAGTGAGCCAAGGTTGTGCCATTGCACTCTAGCTGGGGTGAGAGAGAGAGAGTGTCCCTGTCTTTTTTTTCTTCCCTTTTTTTTTATTTTTTGAGATGGAGTCTCGCTCTGTCACCCAGGCTGGAGTGCAATGGCTGCATCTCAGTTCACTGCAACCTCCACCTCCCAGTTCAAGGGATTCTCCCACCTCAGCCTCCAGAGTAGCTGGGATTACAGGCACCTGCCATCATGCCCAGCTAATTTTTTTGTATTTTTTGTAAAGAAGGGGTTTCATCATGTTGGCCAGGCTGGTCTTGAACTCCAGACTTCAAGTGATCCACCTACCTCGGCCTCCCAAAGTGCTGGGATTACAGGTGTGAGCCACTGCGCCCGGCTGAGACCCTGTCTTAAAATAAATAAATAAATAAAAATAAAATTAATTTGAATTGCATTAAATCATTGGGACTTCATTAGCTTCATACTCTTCAGTAATACCCACATCAAAAAACTAGCTGCTTGGAGACTTTCCATGCTCAGCAGCTATAGAAACTCTGTTCTTCTTACTACCCAGGCAGGATTGAGGGCCTCTAAAAGGAATGCCACGGTCCTTCCTCAGCCTTTGCTTGCACTCCTACAGTGGGTGAGAGTTCCCAGCAGAACTGGCGCGTGGTAGGTCCTCCTCAACCAATGGTAGTTGTTGATATGTTATTGGTGCTCAAGTATCCGGCCAAGTTCAAGTGCAGAATGAGCAGCATGAGCTTCCTGGGGCCCCACAGCAGCTGCTGGTCCTCAGAGAAAGCTCAAGGCAGCCGTGCTTATTATTATTTAAATCAGGTAGCCTTTTCAGAAACTGAAGAAAGCTGTGGACTCCCTCCTGGAAAAGGTACACAGACATCCAGAGGTTGTGTACCATTTCAGGGACTTCATGCACAGCCCTGCTGAAGCTCCTCATTAGTAACCCCTGGCTAAGACACTGCCCACAATGGGTGACCCTGTGCACTGAAGCTTGAGAGAGAAAGCCCAGTGCCAGCCCCAGGAGGCACATGGTTGTGGGCACAAGCACCACCTCCTGGCCATGTGGCCTTGGATGTAGATCACCCCATTACTCATAGGATTTTTGAGGAGATTAAAAATGAGACTTCTTTTAAACACCTGTCACCTGTCATAGTGTAGGTGCTCAATAAAGGTTATTTCCATCCTCTCAGGCAGAAAGGACTCGAACTCTAGCTAACTGATCACTAGGCCAAGAGAACATCAACAGTCAACATATTTGGCTTGTCTTTTCCGGGAATCAGAAATCTAATCAAGTAAGAGGACTTGTACCACATCCTGAAGGTCAAGCCCTTAAGGCCTGCCAGCCTGGGGTGGAATGAACTGCTTTCAGAGGCTGACTTTCCTTTTACTGCAGGATGGAGATAATTTGGCATATTTGAATTGCTATTGAAGGTAAACAGAGCACTTGTGAGTCACTGGAGAATATAACTGGGTGCCTGGTGGATGTGTGAATCCTATTTTTACATTACACTGTGGTCCTGTTCTCCAATACCACACTCCAAACAAGAAAATTAAATTAAGCATTGTTTAAAATGCCTCAGACAATAATATAAATTTGTATTAAATGAATTTAGTGTCATTTTCTTGTTTGGAGTGGAAGGTGGGAAAACACTGGAGTGGTGGAAAGAGTAAATAGCTAACTTGATTAATCCTATTGAAGGAGAGGATGGAGCCACACGAGCGACTTTTGTGTGTGTTTGGTTAATATTTTACTGAAAATTGCTATTAGCTCTAACTGATCCGAATCAAAATCCACTGTGTAATATAGCCAACAACTTAATAGCTAAAGAATGGGATGGAAGGCTTGGCATGATACCACAATATTCAGGGAAGTGGCAAAAACAACAGAAAAATAAAGGGGCTAGGGAAGGGCTGCAGCTGGGGATTTGAAGCCCAGCAGAGGGAAGGTTCCAACCAAGTAGGGAGGTGGGATGATTGTGGGAGAAGGTCGGGACAGGTGGGTGCATGCCTGTTCAATGGCTGGCTCTACTGGAAGTCTGCTTTTTGTCATTCACAAATGACAAGGAAAGTGTTTAAACATGGGGGATAGAGAATCTCAAAGTGAAACCCCAGCCCTACCCACCCAAGAACCATGGTTATAGCAGCTGCCATGTTCCCTAGAATCCAGCAAAGTCTAGAGCAAGAAGAGGGAGAATTCCCATGCTGTCCTCAGCCTATGGGGTAATTTTTGTTGGGTGGTCTTTTTACCCTTAACCTGAAGGAGGGAGGGTTATTTTTAATTTCCTTTCACAGGGGTGTGGAGGGAGCCTGAGAGCAGGGGTCCAGTGGAGGCTGCCATGTTGAGCCCTTGCCTCAGAGCCCAGGTCAACTTACCCATTACCCGGGCCTCAGCCCAGTGAGGCGGAGCCACTGTGGGCAAGGGAGGATGCTCTGAAGGGCCAGCTGGGCCCACAGTCTGGGGATTTCCTCCTTCCAGAGACAGTACAACCAGGAAAATGAGGGCCTTCACTTCTCCATTGTTCCATTCTAAGGTACACAGCCTTTGGAATCTGGCAGTTTGTGGTTGAAATCCTGATTTTACCACTTATTAGCTATGAGCAGAAAATTATGTGTAGAAAATGAGGGCTATTGTGGGGAATTGAAGAAGATGACAACTATAAAGAGTTTAGCACTTTACTTTACAATACCAGGAAGTAAATGTCCACTTTTCCTGTTACCATGACTTCCAGAGATTCTCAGATTCTCATCCAAAACGTTGTGGAACAAGACAAGAAGAACTGATCATATTTGGCTACTCAGACTCTATCTCACATGTTCCAAAAAGGATTTCAAGTGACTTAAAATGTGAAAAATAATATCAAGTGGAACATTAAAGGTAGAAACAAGACAGAAACCATCCGGGGAAGCAGAGGAAGCTGGTCTTCCAGGAACTCTCTAAGAGGAGTTAATTAGTGTTGCTGAGGATTGATTTTGGCTTTAGATGTCCAGGTAACTAAGGCAAGGAGGAAAGTACGTTAGGTTGCATGGTGTCCCTACACATACACACACACACACACACACACAGATGCATGCACACACACATACACACATGACTATAGAGAAATTCTTCCTTAAAAACTAATTTCCAGGAGAAATTTATGATGTGAATTCTTGAATATAGTATATTGAGTAACAGGATAATGCTTTCTATCATGGCTCAGATACTCGAAGAGGACTCTTCTACCCACCCTTATGCACTGTGAGGTCATGATGCCTATAGCTAAATTACAGCATGGAGGGGAAGGCAGCGGCAACTGAGATAATGTAGTACTAGATATTTTGCTCTCTCCTGATTTACTTAATAAAGTGAGAGAATGTGAAGGATCTAGCAGAATGGATAATGGAAATGTTCTTTAGCTATCCCTCTAAAAATCTCTGGCTCCTATTACAGATTCATGGTAGAAATCTCCAGTAAGTACCTACAGTGACAATATTTGAGGGTAGCAGTTAAACTACGAGCCACTGGTTTTAGTTACCAAATGTGAGGGCAGTAGGAAAACATCATACTGATCCAGCTATGCTTTACGTATCTAGCAGAATATGTTAAACATGTTAGCACATCAGTATAATGTGGGTAAAGAAAAGAAAATAGGGAACAAAAGAGAAAACATAAGCATAATTTTTTATTTTAACAAGCTCAACAAGTAACACCTATCATGAAACAGTAGCCATTCCTTATAAAACCAAAAAGCAGGCTGGGCACAGTGGTGCATGCCTATAATCCCAGCACTTTGGGAAGTCGAGGCAGGAGGATCCCTTGGTTCCAGGAGTTCAAGACCAGCCTGGGCAACAAAACAAGACCGTATCTCTATTTTGTAAAAGAAAAACAAAATTTTTAACTAAAAAGCAAAGGGGGAAAATGAATCTAATCACTAATTCAACAGTAGCCTCTAAGATAACACATGAATCAGTAAAAGCTAGTCATGAAGTTATTCTAGTTAGTTATCACAAAAAAATTGCAAATGTAGGCATGAATTCCAATCTTTTGAACAAATTTGGGAGTCTATAAACAGTCTTGCTAAAAAATAATGGTTTTCCTTCATTCAACAAATGTTTGTTAGCATCTATCATGTGCCAGGCACTGTTCTAGGTCCTGAAAATACATCAGTGAACAAAACAAAGATCCCTGCCCTGGAGAAGCTCACATTCTCAAAGGGCAGACAATGACAATACACTTAACAACAAGTGAAACATGTAATGTTGAAAGGTGATAAATGTTGCAGGGAGAAAAACAAGAATAAGAGGAGTTTGGGGGCACAGGGGATAAAGGGATGGGGCAGGGTACAGTTTTGAACAAAGGGGTCAGGTAAACCTTGTGGAGAAAGTAACATCTGAGCAAAGCCCTGAGGAGATGAGGGAGGTCTAGATAACTGGTAGATGAATTTGTGTTTCACAATGAACTGGAATTCAATTTCAACATATCCAAATTTCACCCTCCAGTCCTTCTGCCCGTCGCTGTCTACTGCCGTTTCCATATTGGTGAATGATGCCACCATTCATCCATGGAGCTAGCAAAAAACCAAGGCACAACAGAGCACACTAGAGCAGAGTGGTCAAGAGTAAGGACTTGAACCCCAACTGCCTGGGTCCACCTGGCAGTTCTGCCATTGGCCTACGCCTCTGCCTTCTCATTTATGAGTTAGAAACAATAAGTTTACCACCACATTGAGTTATTGTGTGCAGTAAATGAATCACTATGTGCAGAGCACTTTGGCTAGTGCCAAGAACATAAAAGGCTTCCATAAATAATGGCTCTTTGTAACTCCTCATAAAACAATCACTGAGTCCCATTGCATTTTATCTCCTAAATGCCTGTCAAATTCACTCACATCTCTCCTTCAACATCACAGTCCCAGTCCAAGCTACCATCATCTACCCTGGCTTAAAATCCTTCCATAGTTTGGCCAGGTGCGATGGCTCATGCCTGTAGTCCCAGCACTTTGGGAGGCTGAGGCAGGAGGATCACGAGGTCAGGAGATTGAGACCATCCTGGCCAACATGGTGAAACCCCGTCTCTACTAAAAACACAAAAATTAGCTGGGCGAGATGTCGTGTGCCTGTAGTCCCAGCTACTTGGGAGGCTGAGGCAGAAGAATCACTTGAACCTGGAAGGTGGAGGTTGCAGTGAGCCGAGATCATGCCACTGCACTCCAGCCTCCAGCCTGGCGAAAGAGCAAGACTCTGTCTCAAAAAAAAAAAAAAAAAAAAAAAAAAGAATAAATAAATAAATAAAAATTAAAAAAAAATCCTTCATTAGTTTCCCTTGCACACAAACTCTGATGTGTTCAACAAGGCCCTGCATGGTTGTGCCCACCACTGCAACCTCATCTCACAGCACGCTCCTGGTCATCCTCTGACTCTGACCTTCCCATTCCTCAGCAACACCCCCCCCCCCACACACACATACACATTTCTCCCTCCTATCACAGAGCCTTTGCTGCTGTTTCTCCCATCCTCCTTCATCTAGGTGAGTGCTGCTCAACACTCAGGTCTCAGCAAAAACATCCCCTTCTCCTGGAAGCCTTCCCTAACCTCCTCAACTGAATTAAATCTCAAATATTACTGATTGTCCTCATTCAGTGTGCTCTCCTTTGTAGCACTTGCCCAGAGGCTGTTTACATGTTGCTCTTCCCCACAGCTGGTCAACTTCCTGAACACCATGCTCGCCTTTACCCACAGATGCATTCAGGGCTGGGAACAGCCTGCCCCCTGGTATGGATGCTCCATAAACACTCCCTGAATGAATGATAGAGGCCCAAACACCTGCCACCAAAGATATGTGAATTGTCCCCAAGGAGCACAATCCTCAAATATCTACCTGAAGGGCTCCAGTTAGCAAAAGATACAATCTTCTTTTGAGAAATTTGAGTCTAGCTATGGAGAAACAGTTGAACCTTTACAAACAGCATATTAGCAGGACAAACCAAGGCTATACAAAAATAATTAAGGGGTCAGAAATTGCAAAATCATTGTTCAAATAATGTCAGGTGTGGCTCCTATGAAGGAGAGGAGTTTTGAGACAGGTTTTAAAGGAGGTAGGGCTGAAAGGAGGAAAGGAGCACGTTTTTATTCAGTATTCAAATTTAGTATTATTCTTATTTAGTATGATTCAATCTAGGGCACCATCTCTGGAGTCACAATGCTATTCAAACCTGTGTGATCATGGACAAGTTGCTTTCCCTCCATGCATCTCAGTTTCCTCATCCAGGCTGGGTACAGTGGCTCATGCCTGTAATCCCAGCACTTTGGGAGGCCGAGGCGGGCAGATCACCTGAGGTCAGGAGTTTGAGACCAGCCTGACCAACATGGAGAAACCCCGTCTCTACTAAAAATACAGAATTAGCCAGGAGTGGTGGTGCATACCTGTAATCCCAGCTACTCGGGAGGCTGAGGCAGGAGAATCACTTGAACCTGGGAGGCAGAGGTTGTGGTGAGCCGAGATGGTGCCATTGCACTCCAGCCTGGGCAAGAAGAGTGAAACTCAGTCTCAAAAAAAAAAAAAAAAAAAAAAAAAAAAAGAAGAAGAAGAAGAGAATAATAGTACTTACCTCCAAAGGATATGGTGAGGGTTAAACCAGTCTGTGCTTGTAAAGTGCATGTACTAATACTGCGTGTGTGCTTGCTGCTATTTTTATTGGTTATTGCTATATTACTCTT
Organism: Homo sapiens; assembly: GCF_000001405.40. Lineage (NCBI taxonomy): Eukaryota > Metazoa > Chordata > Mammalia > Primates > Hominidae > Homo > Homo sapiens. The sequence goes on from NC_000014.9 coordinate 56,726,184, forward strand.
ACTGGTAGAAGGAATGGGCAAGACAGAGGCAAAGAAGTGCTAGTTAAATGCTGCAAATAGACTTTAGCATGTCCGGCTAAGGATAACAGGTTTTTACTGAGAAAGTTATGAACTCTAGAACAAAGTACTCTGTTGTTCAGTCAGCATTAATCTCAACCAGCACAGTACCTGGCACCAGTATGTCCTTAATAAAAATTTGTGGAATTAATTATTTTTTAACCATTTACTGGTTATGTGCAATATTCTGGGCACTAAACTACTTTATATGGATGATTATATTTAATCCTCACAATAAACCTACAAGTTAAGCACTATTATTATCTTTGCTTTTCAGATGAGGTTTAGGAAAGTTAACTTACCCAAGGGCACATGGCCAGTACCTGGCAGATCTAAATATGAACACAAATACCCCGATTCCAGAGCTCTTAACTGGTATTCCAGAATGAATGAATGATCAATCAGTTAATAAAGGGTTTTAGTACTGTCAACAGCAAGAATCAGAAATAACCATGAGCAGGAAATGCAAAGGTATTACTTGAGATTTAAAAAAAATTTAAAAAAGGTTCTTAAGAGGTAAGATAGTGGAGACAAAGAACTTATTTAGAAGCAAATATGGAATACAGGTACTGGGTGATAAAGGCCTGGAAGTGAGATAAAACAAGGTCTCCTGGGCAAGACCACACTGAGGTTTCTCAAGTCCTCCTTTGCATAAGGGGACTGGTGCCGGGTACCACCTCTTGCTCTAAAATTTGTTGTTTTAATTTGGGGGAATTGCTGTAGGAATCTAACAAAAACTATGAGCCTGTTCTTTGGAAACACACATGAACAAGTGTTAACATCTCCAGAGGAGCCCAGGCCTCCTGAAGCCAACACAGACTCAGGTTAGGAGCCCTCGTGGTCTAAATCCAAACTGGCAAACTCAGGGCACCCACCAAGCTTGCTAGCTGATGTTGATATCTGAGGGATATAAGCCAAGAGGAGCCCTCCTGCCAATGCATATTCACTGACAGCCAGACTTCCCTGCAGTGAGATAAGGCTATGGAGTTCCTAGGGGAAGACAAGGAAGCTGGTAGTTCTGGGTTGAAAGCAGGAGGATGAGAATGTGTTTTCCTTAAGCCCCAGGCTTTCTTTCTTTTCTTTTCTTTTTTTTTTTTTTTTTTTTTGAGACGGGGCCTCACTCTGTTGCCCAGGCTGGAGTACAGTGCTGCGATCACAGCTCACTGTAGCCTCGACCTTCTGGGCTCAAGGGATTCTCCCATCTCAGCCTCCAGAGTAGCTAGGACCACATAGGACCACAGGCTTGCGCCACCCTGAGTGGCTGGGACCATAGGCTCATACCACGCCCGGCTAATTTTTTTTTTTTTTTTTTAGATACGAAGTTTTGCCATGTTGCCCAGGCTGATCTTGAACTCCTGAGCTCAAGTATTCTGCCCACCTCAGCTTCCCAAAGTGCTGGGATTACAGACATGAGCCACCATGCCTGGCCGAGCCCCAGGCTTTCATAAAGTAAAGAGAACTCCGTTTGAAGCCCTGCAGATATGGAAATAAGAAGGGAGGTCACTTCAGGGACAGCATTCTCAGGTGACAACATGACGATTTTTGTGAATTTACAAGACTCACAATCTAGCATTTAAAAAAGAGCACCTGGCCAGGTGCAGTGGCTCACGCCTGTAATCCCAGCACTTTGGGAGGTCGAAGCAGGAAGACTGCTTGAGGCCAGGAGTTCAAGACCAGCCTGGGCAACATAGTGGGACTCTGTCTGCACCAAAAATTTAACAAATTAGCCGAGTTTGGTGGGGTATGCTTGTAGTCCCAGCTACTGGGAAGGCTGAGGTGGGAGGATTGCTTGAGCCCAGAAGTTTGAGGCTGCAGTGAGCTGTGATCACACCACTGCACTTCAGCCTGGGTGACAAAGTGAGACCCTATCTTAAAAAAAAAAAAAGCATCTAAAATCAGCACCAAAAGAAGTGTTTCAGTTGATATTTCTTTGCTTACTGGAGATATCTTCAACCCAGTTACAGTCATAAGAAACTTTAAAAACAACCCCAGAAAATAGGAGCACATAGAATTACCCCAGAATTCAGTAGAAATCTATTCCAAGAACACAGTAAACAATTCTGAGTGAAAAAAGCATAATCCATCTTATACAGTTTCTACTACTGAAAGGAACTGCCCACATTAAGTATTTCACATATCCAAGTATTCCTTTGTTCAACTTTAATGAAAGAAGATTGAGGCTTAATCTAAAAAATTAATTTTAACCCATAATGTTTCCAAATATGTTTTCAATGTTTGTCTGATGCCAAATATCACATGTCCTATAACCAGACATTTAAAGGCATTTTGGACTTTTGTTTATAAATAAAACAAGTCATCCACAATTAGGAATAAAACAATTTTTTTGTTGTTGTTCACCAATATACTACTCCTTCCTATAGCTCTGAAGGGAAATGAAGTATATTTCAATAGGGAAAGCAGAAAACCTGCAACTGAAAAAAAATTTCTCTTTTACAGAATTAAATTTTAATTAATTAATTAATTAATTTATTTATTTATTTATTTTTTTGAGTTCGAGTCTTGCTCTGTCACCCAGGCTGGTGTGCAATGGTTCAATCTTGGCTCACTGCAACCTCCGCCTCCTGGGTTAAAGTGATTCTCCTGTCTCAGCCTCCTGAGTAGCTGGGATTACAGGCATGCACCACCAGGCCAGGCTAATTTTTGCATTTTTAGTAGAGATGGGTTTTTGCCATGTTGGCCAGGCTGGTCTCGAACTCCTGACCTCAGGTGATCTGCCCGCCTTGGCCTCCCAAAGTGCTGGGATTACAGGCATGAGCCACCGTGCCCGGCCTAAATCTTATTTTCAACAACCAGAAGAGCCTTTGGGTTTTTGCTACTTTTGTTTGTTTGCTTTTACATTCTAGTGTAATCCTTTAGGTGGTGGGAAATGGGAAACGTAGGCAATTAAGTGGTCATGTGTTTTACATGACCCCCCAAATCTTCATTGACTGCTTATGGTCACTGACCACTACATGACGGGTTCGTCCACCCTGCAAAAATGCTGACATGCCCTTGGTGCAGCTGCGTCCAACAGCTCTGTCTACAACAGGAATGCGCCCTCGGAAACTCCCCCTCCAGTATGAGCTACTTGGCTCTCTTTTCCTCTCAGTCATGCTCTGGACATCTTTATATTGTTGAGTTTCAACAGCTTAGGGGAGTTTGCTCCCTGATGTTTCTAGGATTCAGGCATCCTTTATCAGCCAGAGTTCCCAAAGTGGAAGGAGAAGGGATTCCTGGGAAATTCTAAGGTAGAAGGTGAATTGGAAAGATTGATGCTACAGGGAGACTCTGCTACTACAAACCATGTGTCCCCCTCCACCCCCCCGTAAGCGAGAAGCAGAGAGTGTATGGTGCTCAGGCAAGAACTTCATGCTTCTCTGAATGGTTGGCAATTCCTAAAATAAATGTTTTGTTCTTTCTAGCAAACAACTGCTTTTATTGGACTTTACTCCCAGGTGAGCTTATGGTCCCTGGATAATAACCTTTAAAAAAAAAAAAAAAACAGCCTCAAAAATGTGATCCCTGGATGACCAGTGTCCAGGAATCTGTGTAGCAACAGGGACACCATTTCAGAAAGCCCTAGGCAGAGAGGAGACCGTTTATCTTGATGCACTTCAATGAAAATCATCATGCTTTATATTGCCATGAAATAACAATCGGAGCTGGGGGAAGGCACACAATTTCCCCTGCCCAGTTGTCCAAAATGGCAGCCCTGCAGAAACCAATTATGCTAATAATATTTTCATACTAAAAAGGAACTGTGCCATTGCTGGAGATTTCGTTTGGAACGGATGTTGTTTTTTTCCACTGGGGAAAATTTAAATGCAATTTTGTTATTTTCCTTTCCTCAAAAATGGATCTCAAATGGCAATAAGCCCCAGTTACAAGAATCTTCTAGTGAATTTTGAAGGCTAAAGTGTAGGTAACAGTGCTTGCCCCAAGCTGCTTTCAGCTTCTGGCAGGTTAGCACGAGTGCCCGGAATTCACCTGCCCACCTTGTTCTGCTCTGGACTCATCAAGCTCCTTAGTCATTTTCAGTCTGTATCCAAACTTGCAAATCAAATGCAGTCTTCCGTCTCTCAGGATCACAACTCACACACAAACTTCCAGTGGAATTGTCCGAGCTGAGGCTGGTTCTGGCTCATGCATAACCAAGGAGGATGCGTTCTCCCCTAACCAGGCCACAGCACTTTAAAATCAAAACAAACCACCCAAGCCCAACACAAAACAATCTCTGGGCTCTCACCACTTTCAGCCCACTCTCATCCCCTCAGGAGTGATGCGGTCAAAAGCCCTTCCTTCTTCAGAGTGATTTCTAGTAACCTCCAGAGTCGTTTTTCTAATTAAATAAACCTCATCTTGTCTAGCTTCCTGGTCAGCATTTTGAACCCCCTACAGATGGGTCTGAAGGATTAACAGCAAATCCTCCTCGACCTAGCTCTGGCAGATGGGCGGCATGTGTCTGATAAATACTCGGACTGGGCTTGCTTCCTCCTGTTCCTAACAGATAGACAGAACACCCAGCAAATTAATTTTAAAATGGTGCCCCTCGTAACTCTTAGAATGGCAAAGGAGGCCAAACACAAATGATATGAATTTCATATGTGGAACACATTATCACCTCCCAATAACTGAGAAAAAGGACCTGTTGGGTAAACAGGACCTGCGGGGAGGCTTGGTCAGCAAGCTTGCGCTCAGCCTGGAGAGCGAGCGGTCTACGCATATACTCGCGGAGGCACCTTCCTGCTCCACGTCCGTATTTGCATGTGGCCCTTTCCTGCTGTGAAAATGTCTTTTTGCTTTTGCGTTTACTTTGTGGTGATCCAGGAGCCTTTGGAATTTGAGGGTAGATATACCCGAAGATAGAACTCGTGTGGCTTTCATGTTAAAAAAAAAAAAAAAAAAAAAAAAAAAAAAAAAAAAAAAAAAAAAGACAGCTGAAGAGGAAAGAGCAAAACGTCTTCCCTAATTGTTAGAGATTTTTACATTTAAGAATTGATGGCTATCTCAGTCTATTCCAACTTGGAAAGAGAAAAGCAATGCTAAATTCTGGGAGAAGGGAGTAATACATGTAACTTCATTTATGAGATGCCCTGCACTCGAGAAAGCATTCTTCCAGCTGCGCCTCACTTTGCAAGCTGCTTGGAATAGCTGGCCAAGCTCAGCTCTGCCAGTCAGAGGTGTGTGCTCCCTCTCGTTCACTGGCTGTGTAACCCCAGGCCTCTATGACCTCATTTTGTAAAATGCAAGGAATACTATTAAGAGCTGTGATTTACACCCCCAGTAACTGGACAAGACAGGTAGAAATGTTATTTTTCTCATTCTACACAAATGAGGGAATGTATTCTTGTTGAGAACATACAGTAGTTGCTCAGTAAATGCTGAATAAAAGAGTAAAGGATGGAAAGAATGAAACTCAGTCACAGGGATAACCTCCCTAACAACACACAGCTGCTTTCTGGAAGGGACAGAAGTAGAACCCAGGCTTCTAGATGGTGCATCATTCCTCTACAGAGACAATGTACTTTGCAGCTACAACTTGAATTTCCCCAAGTGAAACAGGTGGCAACTTGCTGATAACTACTTCATGGTTGAAGCAGCCTGGCTCACAGACATTGAGGTGACTAGCCAAAGGTAATACAGGAATTCCAAAAACAATTCAAATCAAGAATCCAGGTCTCCTGGCTCTAGCTTCTGTGTCACCATAATCTCTGTGACCTTATTAGCTTTATTTTTCTTCATACCTAGGGTGATCAGATATCCACTTTTGCTCAGGACAGTCCTACTTTACACCATTGACCTTGTGTAATTATTAATAATTCCCTCTTTCACACCCAAAAGGGAAGTAGTTTGGATGATTAAAACTGCATGATAAATCACCAACTAACATACATACTTTTTGTTTATTATGATTATTATTGTTGTTGTTGTTGTTTTTTAAATGGAGTTTTGCTCTTGTTGCCCAGGCTGGAGTGCAGTGGCGCAATCTCGTCTCACCGCAACATCTGTATCCTGGGTTCAAGTGATTCTCCTGCCTCAGCCTCCCGAGTAGCTGGGATTACAGGCATCTGCCACCACGCCCAGCTGAGTTTTTTTTTTTTATTTTTAGTGGAGATGGGGTTTCACCATGTTGGCCAGGCTGGTCTCGAACCCCTGACCTCAGGTCATCCACCTGCCTCAGCTTCCCAAAGTGCTGGGATTACGGGTGTGAGCCATCATACCTGGCCTTTTTTATTATTTAATTCCCCATTAGAATGTCAGCTCCGGGATAGCAGGAATTTGTATGCTTTTTTCAGTGGTGTATCCTCAATACTTTAAATGGTACTAATACATAGTAGGTGTCCAATAAATATTGTTATGTGTTTTCAATGAGTGAAATTTATGACCTCAGAAGAATATTAAAGAACAAACACAATAAAATGGGTTTGAGGTTTAACTCTGGCTCTATGTGTCTATGTGGCTTTTGAACAAGGCCCCAAATCTCCTGAGCTTCAGTGTCTCCTGGACGAAATGGGCCTAATAGCAATACCAGCTCTGCCTACTAAGGGTATAAGCAAATGTGCTAATGTATATCAACATAGATGAAAATGTCTTAGAAATTCTAAACTATCCTGCAAATTGCTATTTGATTTTACTTCAACAATTATAGAACAGTGGCTTTGTTAGAAATAAGATAGCAGTAGGGATTAAAATGGAAGTGGTAGCCAGGTGCGGTGGCTCACGCCTGTAATCCCAGCACTTTGGGAGGCCGAGGTGGGCGGATCACCTGAGGTCGGGAGTTTGAGACCAGCCTGACCTACATGGAGAAACCCCATCTCTACTAAAAAATACAAAATTAGCCGGGTATGGTGGCGCATGTCTGTAATCCCAGCTACTTGGGAGGATGAGGCAGGAGAATCACTTGAACCCGGGAGGAGGAGATTGCGGTGAGCCGAGATCGCACCATTGCACTCCAGCCTGGGCAACAAAAGCAAAACTCCGTCTCAAAACAACAACAACAACAAAGAGGAAGCGGTAAAGCTCATATTCAGACATTTTTAAAGGACTGGGGCACACTGTAACTTTTCCTTGGCTTGTGCTAAAGCCCAATAAGCTAAGGAGGGCATTGTAAAAGGATATTTTACAAGGCTGCGTTTAAAAGGCAAGTTTTTGCAGATTTCTTCATAAGGAAGGAGGAAGCAGGGAACACTGCTCTTAAATGAACTGTTTCCAGGCCCAGCTGGCTGCCTACCTCTGCCTCTCCAGGAGTCCCAGGGCAGCTCTGGAGCCTGACCGTCGGAGCAGCTGCGTGGGTCCTGCTCGCTCTCCACGGGCCATCGTACACACTTGAAGCCAAACCACTGCAGGTCCAGGGCTTTCTACCCTCTCCCAGGGAGTTCCCAGAGCAATTAACAAAACAGAAGGCCTAATTAGGAGCAATTGGGATTCACTGCCGACTTTAAAGTGATCCTGAGACCCTTTTGAAGGAAAAGTGAGGTCTTTTCCCAGGATCCTCCAAGCAAGAATTTGTCAAAGATTTGTCTAAGGTGGCAGCCTGGCAGCTAATTCTCAAGCCTCTCCCGATGGAATCTCTACTCTTTGAAGGGTTTTCCTCCATCTAGAAAAATCTAAGTAGCGACGCAAGGAAACATAATTTTGACAACTTGAGGCCTCACCCTTTGCAAATGACTTTCTTGGCTGTTAATTTGTGTATTTTCTTCAGTCTACAATGAATTTTGCTTTTGACTTTTTTCTCTTTTTCAAGGCCTGACAATTTAGAACATGTAAGTAGTGTGCCTGTGGCATTCCCTCAGTAACCCTTCAAACAGCATGCAATAGTGATTCCCATGTGCTTTGCACCACCAGAGACACCCAGAAGAGTAAAATCACTGTAAATGGCCTTCTCTGCCTCAACATCACTCATAGGAAGAGAGATGCAAATTAAACCTATATTGTCATACCTGTTTTCACCTGTTAGATTAGCACAGATTTAAAAACATCTTGCAGTGTGTTGGTGAGACTGTGGATATAGGTACATTGCTGGGGCATTTAAGTTAGGGCAGCCTCTTTGGAAAGCAATTTGTGGATATCTTTGACCCAGCAATTCCCCTTCTAGGAATTTTTCTTATGGACATACTAGTTTGTGTATGAAATAGCTTCTCCATATCAATAGGAAACTGTTTACAATGCCTTATCAGTATAGCTGTTAAAAAAAAGGGAGGGGGAAGCTTTATGCATATAATATGGAATGATCTGCCAGTTATAGTTCTAGGTTAGGAAAACAAAGGGCAAACATTTGTGTGCAATATACTACTATGTTTCTAAAATGGTGTAGGGTGATAGAGTGCAGAAACACAGGCAAGTAAGTTTGAATGCACATAAAATGTCTCTGCAATGATAACCCTGCAACAGTTGACATTGTTTACCTTTGGTAAAGGGAACTGGTAGTCTGGGAACAAGTACAGAAGGGAGACTTCTTTCTATACCCTTTCGTTATCTTTTAAGTTTTGCATCCTGGGCAATTAGCTTATGCAAAACAAGCAAGTAAGAAAGTAAAGAAATGTCTTAAATGGTGATTTGTGCATTCTAGATGCTATCACTCTAGGCACCAAGATTTGCTTGATCTGCTGGTTGTGAAGCACTGTATTCCCATTTTTCATGATTTTAATGCAAAGAAATGCCATATTGCACTTCTGAAGTGGTTTCAGGTCCAGGATTAACACAGGAAAATTGGTTAAATGGTGCCTCTCCAGTAAAACAACATTCTGTCTAATATCCTAATTCTGTAAGAAAAATAAAAATAAGATTAACAAAGAGATGAATTTAAGGTGTCTGGAATCAGATATACAACTCTAAAACCAGATCCTAATATATGATCTAATAAATGATAACCAAATCCCCAAAAAAGTGTATATTTAAAGCAGAAATTAAGTTATTAAGTTTACTTTAGTATCTCTCTCTCTCTCTCTTTTTTTTTTTTTTTTGAGACCACCCAGGCAGGCTGGATTGCTGTTGGTGCAATCTCGGCTCACTGCAACCTCCACCTCCTGGGTTTGGGTAGCTGGGATTACAGGTGCTCACCACCACATCTGGCTAATTTTTGTATTTTTAGTAGAGATGGGGTCTCGCCATGCTAGCCAGGCTGGTCTTGAACTCCTGACCTCAAGTGATCTGCCTGCCTCAGCCTCCCAAAGTGCTGGGATTACAGGCGTGAGTCACCACACTGGGCTGTCGTATTGCTCTCTTCTTTAAAACTCTTTCATGAGTCACTCTTTTTATCTTCTGAATTTTTTGACCTTTCATTTATATTTTATTAGGTAGCCCCACAGTACATGTTTATATTGAGCACAATTTCTGTGGCTAACCTAAACATATGAGGCTTAGAGAGACAGGCTAGCTTCAGATCCCAAAGCCATATTTTAAGCCATATTTACTAGCTATGTGACATCAAGCAAATTACATAATTTCTCTGAACTACTGTCCCTCACATATAAAATGGGATGGTCCTGATACACAGAAGAGTTGTGGGGATGGAGTGAGATCATTCACGCAGAATGCTTGGTGTGGCTGGTGAGTAGCAGCTATCATCTTTGTCATTTTAGTTCCTTGGTCAACCTCCTTAACTCAATTATAAGTGATAGTAAAGCTGCCATTTTTTTAACCAGCTCTTTTCTGGCAGCATTAGTGACCTACAAATGGTGAGCACTAAATAAAAGCTGGCTAACTCATAGCTCTTAGAGATAAGGGCCTCATTTTTGCCCAACCCCTTGTGCAAAGACATTAGCCCCGTTTTTTATTTTTTAATTAAAATTTTTTTTTCCTTTTTAAGGCAGAGTCTTGCTCTGTCACACAGGCTACAGTGCAGTGGTGCTATCATGATCACAGCTCACTGCAGTCTCGACTTCCTGGGCTCAAGTGATCCTCCCACTTCAGCTTCCCAAGTAGCTGGTACAACAGGCGCATGCCACCATGCCCAGCTAAGTTTCTAATTTTTTGTAGAGACAGGGTCTCACTGTATTGCCCAGGCTGTTCTTGAACTTTTGGACTCAAGCAATCTTCCCACCACCTCCCAAAGTGTGGGGATTATAGGTGTGAGCCACTGTGCCCAGCCTAGCCTCATCTTATACAAGGTAAATGGGACCCTAAGAGAGTTAAATAACTTGGATTTTTACTTCTTTCTTTAAAGCATATTTCTTTTGTTCTTAGAGAAGTACAAAAGCTAACTGAGTATATTTATTCTTTCACATTGTATTCAAATCCACCCATTACATTTCTCATTACATCTTTTATTAGGTTCTCTTTGTTTTCATGCTATTTTCTAAGACATGATGAAAAAATACCCTCATTGATTTTTTGAAATGAGACCAGATGATCTCATGGAGGTTCTCAGAGTTTTGGTGGGGGAGGATGTTAGGGAGTGGGCACAGTCTTTATCTGGCTGTTTGGGACACCAGGTCGCCCCTGAAGCAATGAAGACAGGGTTTTTCCTATATATGGTCTTGGCAGCAAACAACTTTTGAGAGGCCTTCTCACTGATGCCCAATCTACTAGAGTCCCAGGTGAAAGATAGAATGTTCTTGAGAAGCCTGGGATGAGAAAAGTCTCTAAGGCCTTCGCCATAGATGCAAACTCATTACTACTGCTGCTATTTTTATGGTTGTTATTATTACATTACCATACTGCATTTTATTCAAGTCCAATCAGCTCTATTTTACTTAACTTATATCAATTACTCTTTTGTATATTTAGGCCAGAAAAACTGTAAAGAGGGATTTAGGTGAAAAAAACACAATAAATTCAGCTCTTTCAAAGGATATCCAAAGCCACATATCACTCTCCTTCCTCATCTTTCACACTCATGCTAACTTTCAGGTGTTCCTAAGGGAAAGGGACACTTTTATAAAACAACCTGCACAATTAGTCCTCTGTTAAGCTCTGCAGTATCATCTGTCCCTACCCTGCCACACTCCAACCATACTGAACCACTTCAAATCCCCCCGAGCATCATGAAAAGCCAGTCATTAACATGGTGGCTCTGGAATCGAAATTGTTCACATGGTAGCTCTGGATCCCAAAAGTCATTAGCTTTTGTCATTAAATATAGTGGTTCTGGAATTGAACACCTGGACATGAATCCCAGATCTTCTCACTACTAGCTCAAGGACCGTGGGCAAGTTTCTTAAACTTTCTATGGCTTTCTATGGCTCATAGAAGCGTTTCTATGTTATAAACATTGATAAAAATGGGGATTCTGACAGTATATGCATGCTTCATAGAGAGGAGTGTGTGTGTGTGTGTGTGTGTGTGTGTGTGTACACTTAGAGGAGTGCTGTGCAAATAGTAAGTGCTCAATACATATTAGCTGTCATTACGGTATAAACGCCAAGATTTTGCCCTTGCTGTTCTATAACTAGCAACACTCCCACTTTCCTTGTGTGCCCCCCACCTTTGACTTTTCCCCATCCTTTAGATCTTGGCTTAAAGGTCAACTTTCTCTCAACATCCTACTTAACACAGCCAAGACTAGGTGCCCTTCCCTTGGGATGCCCTAGCCCCTTGCCACCCTTAGGTAGAGCATACTACCCTCATTTATAAGTATCTGTTTACTTATAAACAGATGGTATCTCCATTATATCACAGGTTTCTGGAGGATAACGATTTAGTGGGTTCATCATTACATTTGTGGCACCTAGTCAAGTGCTTGGCACACAACAGGTCACCCATATTTGCATAAGATAGAATGTTTAAGAACCTTCTCCCTTGAGGCACGGATCAGCAAATGTCTTTGAAGCGAGCTTCCTATTAGAAGACCTCTTGACATTCAAAAATGGTGAGCCAATCAGAGATGGACAGCTAGGATAGACCTTGACATGAATTTAAAACTTGAAAAAAAAGGTGACTGTAGATTGTAGAGATAAACCACTATCGAAATACCCTAGGTAGTAAGTACTTAGTCCTCTGTGTATTTTGGATCCTGCCAGTTGTTATGTTGACAGATATTCACTAAGTCCCATCCACAGAGGTGAATAAACACATTCATGGAGGTGAAAGGGGGTGGTGCTGTTAGAACCTGATCCTCTGGGCTTCTACATGCCAGACTCACCTTCATAACCTTCTCTTACTCCTTGACCATCCTTTAGTCCTTCCTCCCATTAGGAGGAACATAACCTCAGGAAGAGAGGCTTGGCATGAGCACCCAGTGGGTCTTGCCACAAGTTTCCTCACTGTGGTAAGAACTCAACTTCCCTAACCTAATATTTTGAAAAACTGACAAATAGGCTTCTTATTGGCTAATAACATAGCAATATGGTTTTGTATCCCCAAGCTTACAAATAGATCTTTAGTAGCCTGATATGTATGTGTGTTTGTGTATTAAAGAAGGTAGATTTCTAGGCAAATATCAGGACACCAGGTATAATCTTGCCACTGTGTTATTTTCATACTCTCTGGCCTCAGTACCAGGAGTACTAGGATTTCTCCTAAGTTTTTGCTTTGTTTTCCTCCCTCAATAACATAACCAATTGCCTTTCCCTTTTCAACCCTGCCACTAGAAAATAAACACTACTGCTTTTCTAAGTTAAAACTGCTTTTTGGAACTGTAAAATATAAATGAATCATAGATACACAGAATTTTAGTCTCTTGTAGATGAGCTAGTCTGCCCCCTTACTTTTCAGCTGAGGAAATTGATCCAAACCGAGGAAGTGGGAGGCCGCGCACAGCCTGTGGTTTGTGCAGCACCCTCCTTTTTGATGCTCTCTCACTTTCTTACTCTTTAGTTCATTTTGCTCACCTATTCTTAATTTATCTTGCTTAAGTAAAACCATATCTTCACTGAAATGTTGGTTTCTTTTCCTTTTGCCCTGTTATTTATTATTTATTTATTTTTATTTTTTGAGACCGAGTCTCTCGCTCTGTCGCCCAGGCTGAAGTGCAGTGGCGCGATCTCGACTCACTGCAAGCTCCGCCTCCCGGGTTCACGCCATTCTCCTGTCTCAGCCTCCTGAGTAGCTGGGACTACAGGCGCCCGCCACCGCGCCCGGCTAATTTTTTGTATTTTTAGTAGAGGCAGGGTTTCACCGTGTTAGTCAAGATGGTCTTGATCTCCTGACCTCGTGATTCACCCGCCTCGGCCTCCCAAAGTGCTGGGATTTCAGGCGTGAGCCACCGCGCCCGGCCTGCCCTGTTCTTAAAGTAAGAAACTGATGTCTCTAGGAGCCCTGGTCAACTGGAATTGGGGACTTGGTGCTGCTGGTTTGGTTGAGCTGCCGCTGCTAGGCCATCTGAACCCACAGCAAGCTGATGATAGACTGCAGGAAAAGCTCCATTCAGATAGCAAGGGTCCTTCACCAGCCCCATTCCATGACGCACTCAACGACCCTGCCTCCAAGGTGAGTACACAAAGCTCATTGTTTTCTTTGGGGACCCTTTGCCACAGTTCCCTCTCACTGTGCTTTGAAAATTACCACCAGAGTCTGGTCATTATGGCTTCATTAACTATTCCTTGTAATTGCACTCGTCATAATTAATTCATTTGTTATTCACATGGGTGACATACGGACACTTTAATAGATTTTCCTCAGGGAATTTCACATATTAACTGATATTGATGGTGCTTTTAGAAAAGGCTTAAAGCGGAATCCCAATATAAACTATTTTGTGTAAGTAGAGATAAGTTATTTTATTATAAAAATGAAGTAAATATTTTTAATCCTTCAATCTTTTCAGATGAAAAAAAGTTGAATAAACTAGCCCTTCCTCCCTCTACCAGATTTTTCTAATCTATAACTTAGAGTGCCAAAATAAAGTCATTATTATAAAAATAGATGGTGTATTTACACAAATGCATGCCAGAGTATTTAAGTAAATAATATGTGAATTAATTTCCGATTAAAAATCTTTCCTTTAAGACTTCCTCATTTTTTTTCAGTATCATCTGTATTTTAACATCTTACTGCACAGCTGCATTTCTCATGTTTAATTTATGTTGGAGTTCTTTTGTGACAAGCCCAACTTATTTTTTAAATGAAATCAATTTATTTTAGGTAAAACATTGATGACCCAAATATTAAAAACCCTCAAATTATGCATAATCCCTCCCCTACCCCTGGGCTTCCCCACAAATACACATCTCTGTCCCCGCCTCCCCCTTATTGGTAGAGCTGAATGGGAATTCCACGCTGCTGAATATTTAACCAAATACTTTAATCATTGGTTATCTGGTAGAAGCATCAAGCCTGTGCTGACAGACACACAATTAAGTGGCAGAACTGAGGTAATTATCTATAAATTCAGTTTAAAAATGAAACTCAATGGCCAGTTTTGCCTGAAATACCCCAACAGAGAGAGTTCCTTTTGGTTTGCAAAGTGTCCCTTTGGTTTGCATTATTCCCATAATTGCCTTAATTCCCACTTGACTCCGTGTGAGTGGAATCACAGACACACAGAATTTTAGTCTCTTGGAGATTAGTGAATCCAACCCCCTTATTTTTCAGATCAGAAAACTGAGACCCACAGAGGTTAAATGACCCGTCCCAGTCATCAGAGGGTGGTAGCAGAGTCCAGTCATGAGCCAGCTCCCAGCTCAATACGATGCCACCTTGTCCCGGCTCCATTACCTCTACAGCGAGAAAATGGTGTTGCCAACAAGGTGAAAGCGACAAGTAGTTAGTTATAATTCTAGTAAACTTTAAATGAAGACAGCAAAATTCCACTCAAACCAAATGCAACAATTCACCTTGGCTGAATATCAAACAACTTTCTCTATACATTTTCCAGGAACGCTAAAATAACTAGCTTTGAAAAATAAATGAGTCTTCACAAAATAAACAAAAATAATTTTAACCATTCCTGTTTTTTTTGAGACAGTTTCACTCTTGTTGCCCAGGCTGGAGTGCAATGGAGTGATCTCAGCTCACTGCAACCTCTGCCTCCCAGGTTCAAGCCATTCTCCTGCCTTAGCCACCCAAGTAGCTGGGATTACAGGTGCCCACCACAATGCCCAGCTTTTTTTTTTTTTTATTTTTAGTGGAGATGGGGTTTCACCATGTTGGCCAGGCTGGTCTTGAACTCCTGACCTCAGGTGATCCACCCACCTCAGCCTCCCAAAGTGTTGGGATTATATGCATGAGCCACCGTGCCCGGCCTTCACCATTTCTAATAGATATCCAGTGAAAAACCTACAAAAATCTTTTAAGACCCACAGGGAAACTCAGGTCCAGGATGTTGCACTAGCTGAATATCTGGCTCAATGTGAAGGCACGCCAAGCCAGGTTAACAGTTCAAGGACCTTCAAGCACAGCCAACATGTTACATCAGACCGTTATGAAAGAGCCCACACTTAGGCCCAAAGTTCTCTATAAAGGAGCTCCCAGCCTGTTAGTAGGTGCTTTTTTCACTCTGCTAGGGCATTAAATTCGACAAGCACATATCCTTTGTTTTTGTTTTGGGTTTTTTTTTTTTGTTTTTTGGTTGTTTTGGGGGGACAGAGTCTCGCTCTGTTGCCGAGGCTGGAGTGCGGTGGTGCCATCTTGATCCACTGCAACCTCTACCTCCCGGGTTCAAGTGATTCTCCTGCCTCAGCCTCCTGAGTAACTGGGACTACAGGCACGCGCCACCACACCTGGCTAATTTTTGTATTTTTTTTTAGTAGAGACACGGTTTCAACATGTTGGCCAGGCTGATCTCAATCTCCTGACCTCATGATCCACCTGCTTTGGCCTTCCAAAGTGCTGGGATTACAGGTATGCGCCACTGTGCCTGGCCTATATCCTTTGTTTTTGAAACATAAAAGTTTTTTTTGTTCTTCTGCCAAAAAAGTACTTTCTGTTTTAAAGATAGCTCAGGATACCAAATGCTTAGTTTATCTGCCTTCTCTACCTTAAAGTTGAGCACATGATTTTTTCTTGTTTATTGCAGTATTTCTCTGATTTTTCAGAGCCATGGAGCTCACCTGTACGGTGGCTTTTGAGTATAAACTATGCAGGAAAGGTTGTGGTTGTTCTGCATTCTACTGGCTAGAATGGAGGACCCAGACTAAGGTCAAAATTATTATGTGGAGATTAAACTGTAGAATTTAATTATGTGTTCTGTTGCTCCTGGTACATTTATTAATTTAGCAGTACAAACTGACTGGAGCTAAACAAGCAGGACTGATTAATTTGCAAAGACATCTAGGTAACAGATTGTGATCAAAGTGGGGACCTGATCCTGTTAGATTGAAATGTGTTGTTCTGTGCTGCATGAAGGACATGAAGCAGCATGGTTTATCTTTATCAATGCTTTCCTCTGAAGGAGGGGAACAAGCTTGCAGATACTAATCAGGGCTGAGGCCCTGCCACTCAATAATTACCCACTGTCTCATCATAATCCCGGAACTAAGCCCCTGCCCAATCCATCTGGGACCCTTTTCCATCTATTGCACAGCTCAAGAATACGTGTGTAAGCTATTACCTCTGGTTGTGCTATCTGTCCCCTGAGTATAGATTCATGGCAGTGACCAATTAGGTTGCCGTGTTCTTTTTCCCCCTTTGCTTCCAATTCATCCTGTACTTCTCAGCACTGGTAATGAAGCAGATTCATCGGGGTGCAGAAATCCACTCACCTCTAAAAGCTGTCTGGACACAGTCACTGATAAACATCATATGATGCCTAATATTGTAGGATACTTTAAAAAGAAAGGTGGCAAGATCATACCTCTGTATTCTGAGGCTTCTTTAAGCCACTCTCGACCTGCCACTGCCTTCTGCCAGGAACAAATCACACATGGAGGAAAATATTCCTGACCCTAATCCAGAAATCAAACAGCTGAGAAGTGAAGAGGGCAAATGTGGGGATAATTGAATCCTGCATCCCTGAATGAGAACCCAGTATCATGCCATGGTTATGAGCCCAGGGTCCTGAAATCCAAGACACGTATGTGGAAACTCAGGTTCTGCTGTTGGCCGGCCAGTCCCTCAACCTCTTAAAGATTCCATTTTTGCCCTCGCTAAAACAGCGTCTGCTTCATCAAGTTGCTCTGAAAGTTAACTGAGACATTCCATGTAAAGCACTCAACTTTACAAATGATAAAACCTTGATAAAAGTTAGCTACCCCTACCATTTTCTGAATTCCTATTGGAGTTACAGCCAAAACCAAAAAAAAGTTAGCTCTTGATCAAATTGTGCTGACCATTATCTACTAATTATTTTGTGTGTATACAATTCATCTTCCCCAAAAACATATACATTCCTGAAGGGTAAAATTCACATCTTGTTCTTTTGTATTTCCTACAGGTGACCATTTATAAATGCTTACTCATTCCTGTATTTGAACATAAGAACACAAAATTCTTCATAAACAATTTTGAAGGTGACAGGGACAAGTAGTTAGTTATAATTCTCAAATAAAGAAATTAGGCCAGGCCCAGTGGCTCACTCCTGTAACCCCAGCACTTTGGGAGGCCAAGGCGGGTGGATCACCTGAGGTCAGGAGTTCAAGACCAGCTTGGCCAACATGGTGAAACTCCATCTCTACTAAAAATACAAAAATTAGCTGGGCGTGGTGGCGGATACCTGTAATCCCAGCTACTTGGGAGGCTGAGGCAGGAGAATCACTTGAACCCAGGAGGTGGAGGTTGCAGTGAGCTGAAATCGCGCCACTGCACTCCAGCCTGGGCAACAGAGCGAGACTGTCTCAAAAAAAGAAATAGAGGCAACGATGATGTTAATCAAGTTAGCCAGCAGATTTGCTGTTATTAGTGGCAGAAATTCATAAGGTATGGGTTTCAAGTTACAGTTAGTTGTAGAATCTGCAGAGGAACTGCATGGGGCCCACTGCATGCTCTTGGTCAAGGCAAAACCTACCTGAAACGGCAGGGGCTGTTTTCAGTGTACACTCTGTCAGGGCACAGGCCCAGCTCTTAATTAGCCAGGACCCCATTTCAGATCTTTGCTGATACTGACAGGGTTTTAATTAGTTAAATCTACAAGTTGGCTCTTGTTCTCTGGCAGAGAGGAAAATATGCTAACATGTGAATGTGCCACATTTACACTTCCAAAACACCCCTTCCCCGAGGCTTTGAGGAAGTACCCTGAAGAAGGACCACCCTTTGGAATTTATACCAGCAGCCCTGACAGCTGTTTTGTATTTATTTCTACGGTTGGGCCATTTCAATTTGGGGCTTTTATTCATTATATAAGCAAATATTTGTTAAAGGATCAGGCACGGGATGAGGTATGTTTGTCAGGATTGTAATTAAGGTGGTGTGTATACCAGGGTTGCAAGAGGACAGAGATGGGTTGGGTCTTCAACCCACTGTGGCTGTGTTACTTTGAAAGACTCACAGACCTCTCTGGGCCACATCTGGCCCACATGCTGATGCATGTACAGTCCTCATTCCTACTGTCCTAAAAGGTAGAGAAGAAATAATTAATTTGGATAAAACATTTTAAGGCCCTAATACATTAGCTTTTGGCAAATTATTTGCCTGCAGTGTATACTAACGCCCTTTTATTTTTCAGATTGTCCTTTTCAAAGTGAATAATAATTTTTTTTTTTCTGAGACAGAGCCTGACTCTGTCACCCAGGCTGAGTGCAATGGCGTGATCTCGGCTCACTGCAACCTCTGCCTCCCAGGTTCAAGCGATTATCCTGCCTCAGCTTCCTGAGTAGCTGGGATCACAGGCACGCACCAGTACGGCTGGCTAATTTTTGCATTTTTAGTAGAGACAGGGTTTCACCATGTTGGCCAGACTGTCTTGAACTGCTGACCTCAGGCAATCTGCCCCCCTCAGTCTCCCAAAGTGCTGGGATTACAGGTGTGAGCCACTACACCTGGCTGTGAATAATAATTTTTAAAAATTTCTCAAAGAATATTTTGGTTTATAAGTTTTTAATTATTTCTAATACATTCACTATTTCACTTCTTACAAAACAATTTTAGATGTTATCAATGAGTACTTTGCTGAAGACATAATTATTTCTCTGAACAGTTTCCTGACTTTGCCAGTTGGCCCTACGCTTGCCCCCTGAGGAAAACCAGCCTCAGAAGTGTGGCACTCACTTCTCAGCTCCCCTCTGGGCATTCCTGCATCCCCCAGCATTACTTGTAAATATTTCAAATTCTTGCCACACGAGAACACGTAGCATATTCACACATACAGTATTGACTCTCTTATAGGTCAACTCCTTCATTTCGTTTAATAGCTTTCATCTTGGAAACTGTAGAAATTCATCAGTTTAGGCTCCTCTGGCCTCCAAGTAGGATGTGTCTACCTTGATAAGGTGGGGAAACTGAGGCTGTTGTAGTTACAAGTCTTTCCAGGGAGTCAGTCCTCTTTCTTATGAGGAAGTTGGAATGCCTGAATCCCAGCCAGGCCCCCACACTAGAGAACTCCAGTTCTCCATGCTTATCTTGCCCACCTTCTCTGTAGCTGGTGACATTACAGCCTGCGCTCTACATCAAACACACCTGTGGCTTCTGTAATGTGACCTTCCCCGGCTCTTTCTCCTCCTGGACCTCCGACTATGAGTGTTCCTTAATCCTCCATCAGTTTCTTTCCAAATTTAAGCCCTCCAGAACTTGCTCTTTCTAGTGTCCTTAGTATCATCCCTGTATAGAACTTGGAAGTCTCCTTCTCCAGTCCGGCCCATGCGCCTGGCTCTGATTCTATTTTACCTCTAGCTCTTTCTAGATGTCTGTGCCTGGAAAAAGCCTCATCTCCTTAAGTTCCATATGGCCCCAAATAAGCCCATTAATGCCTCTCCCCACATACACACACCCTAGGAACGTATTTCCTCTTCCAAACAACAGTATTTTACTTCCAGCAGTGGCGCCACACAATTTGACACTTCCCCTTTCTCTAATTGCTTACTTTGTGTGTCTGTTTTGCCTCCTGACTAGACTGCAATATCTTTGAGGGAGGAGGTTCCGTGGAGCAGGAGGCCCCCGGAGAGTCCCTAATAAGTGCCAAATGCAAAAAGGTTGAAGTCACCAGTTGAGAAAATCCACATAAAATACACCTGAGCTTTTGGCCTGTATAAAATCAGCATGATGTTTTCTCCTGGGAGAGGTTCACAGCATATAATTTTAGTTCCTATTCTCCCCAATGCTCAGGTTACTCCAGGAAGCAATTTGGGGTGAGAGAAAAGCAGAGGCCCTGCTGAATATAGGGAAACAAAAATGCTCTAAAATATCTTCCACAGGAAAACTTAGTTCCACCTGACTGAACATTCCCATGACACAGGTAGACCTCGGAAAGTCCCACAGTCCACAGGCAAGGTGGAAATACCTCGTTAAGGCAATGCAGCCTGGGACTGCAGAATCAAGCAGGCCTGGGTTCAAATCCAACATTAGCTGCTTATGGTCTTGTGCACCCTTGAGAAAATCACTTAACCTCTCTGAGCCTCAATTTCCTCATGGTAAAAACGGAAGTAAGGCTACTTTGTAGATTTGTGTAAGGATTATTACTAGTAATAATTCAGTGAAGTCCCTAATACAGTGCTTGGCACAATGAATGGTGACTGCTATTTATGAGGTGGATGATGAGGAGGAGGGTGGTGGCGATGAGGATGATGTCCAGGACACACCTACCCACAAGAGAGG
Source organism: Homo sapiens (assembly GCF_000001405.40). NCBI lineage: Eukaryota > Metazoa > Chordata > Mammalia > Primates > Hominidae > Homo > Homo sapiens. The sequence goes on from NC_000014.9 coordinate 56,746,803, forward strand.
TCCATGTATATATTTGGCATGCCACATGCCTACTCATGATTGGGGGGCCTGAGGATCACAGCTGTGGAAAGTGGCCTGCATGTTCAACCAACAGGTGCTCCAGAAACTGACTTTCTTCCAGCCAAGTCAAATGCTTTTCCACAGTGCCGCCCTGTTTCAAAAGAAAGTTGCATGGGGGAGATGTCCCTGAGTTTCTGTTATTAGTGAAAAATGTGACACTTACCTGTGTTTTCTTCACTGTGAGGTTTTTCTCCTCTGGGCAGAAATGTCACTAAAGGATGGAGTCCTTGGAAGCACTGACTGTAGTAGTGGAGGGTACATCTCTGCAGTGATTATTCCTGCCTAAGATTTTTGCAATGTCTATAATGCTCCTGGTCATCTCAAGAATTTCTAAAAATTGTTTTGACTCACTTTAATGAAAAAAGTTTTGATTCGCTTTAATTAAAAAAAATAAAACTCCAAAGGCACTGCGTCTCCACAGACCTTTGCAATTACTGGCTCCTAGTCGGCAGGTTTGGTAGAAGAGGGAACGAGGAATGAATATTAAATCATAATCTCATCAGTAGATTTCCTTTCTCATTTTTTTTTTCCTTTTCCCAGTTAATGGGCAACTTCAGTAGTCCAAATGCTCTGAGTAGACCACTGGCCCACATGGAAATACTCCCTGGGATTAGTGAAAAGACTAGAATTGTTCTCACAATGCTACAGATGGGGCATCTCAGATTCATACTACATATTATCTAGTTGGGTCTATAAAATGACATACTTAGGATCCTGCCACCAGCTCTTGGGATGCACTGCTTGTTCATCACCCCTTATACTCTCCCATCCACTTTCCCAGACATTGCCCTGCTCTGAAGAAACCAACCACTCATCTGCTATATTCACCTTTAAGAAGTTGCCTATTCACATCCTGTCATCTCCCTGTCTCTCAGTAATAAAAGAGCAAGGGTCAGTCACTGGTACTCCATTCTTGGAGAATTTTCCACCTAATTCTAGACATCTTCCATCCATTTATTCATGCATTCATATAGCTATGACTGATGACTGATCTCATCCATCTATACTGGGAGAATCCAGCCCTTAAGCACAGAGAAGTCTCTCCTAAGCCACACCACTGTGAAAAATACTTGTCTTGTTGAGACGTTGCTTGGCTAAACGTACTTTAGGGACAGACTCAGAAGGTGTCTTTAATCCTATACAGTGTCACAGACTTCAGTCCATGTAAGTTGAAATTATATCCTTTAAACTTTAGGGGTAAAACATCTCTTAGACTTAAGGCAGCATGAAATGACCATTGAAGGAGAGCTGAGAGGTGTTCGATTTAATCACTGAGCTTTCTGGTTGGGGGTTATTCTAAAATGGTTTGTGATGATTTTATCAGTCCACTTGAGTGAAGGTTGAATTTTCTATTTCCTAGGAACTGCCAATTTCCCATCTGTTGGATTTGAATAATACACAATGTGCCCAACATGATTTATCATCCCTTTACTCTCATAATCAATGTGCAGTGCATTGCACCTTGGCCTACAGATGAGGTAGCCATGGGTTCGGGCTGATTATTGTCTTCATATACTTCCCATTGCCTGACACTTCTCTTCCTAGTTTCAGATTATGTTCCTCAACTTTGCTGTGATAGAGAATGTGCTTATTGGTGGGGATTTACTCCAGTCTGGGGCATTTGTTAGACTTTCAGGTGCTAATCCAATTGCTGCCTTTTTGTTTCTTTCTCATGGACCACTGTCTCATTGCCTTTGTTAAGGATTGAAAGCCTCTAGCTCCACTCAGAAAGTGTGATGAGAAATCCAAATCCCACCAAAGTTGAGCTCTTTGTTAACATTCCAGAGTCTGAGAAGGGAGCTTGCATAGGACTGAGTGGACATGTGTGGATTTTCCCCTCTAGGGAGCAGAGTGCAAATCCTGAAATGTACAATAGTTAACCTAAGGATGGGTTCAATGTCTTAAAACACCTGCCTTTACAAGCAGGAGATGTCTTTGAGACATCTTTCCCAAGTCAAAATTCATTTGTTCTTTGTCCTCTGAGACAACTCATAGACTTAAATGATGTTCTCAATCGAGAAACCCTCCCCAAAAGGTTAAGTTATGGTGACGGGTTGGGACCGAGCATACTTTAGTGGGCCTTGCTGAGAAACATTTCTCCGCTGATAGAGAATGCGGGCAGCCTCTGTCTGTGGTTCGTGCATATAGACAAAGGTGAGGACACCACAGTCTGCATGATAAAAACCCCATAGGCAGGAAAAAGCAGGGGAGTTCATGACTTTCTTAAAACTGCTGCATCTTGCCCCCGACACCAGGGAGAGCAGTGGCTGTTAATTCAGTAGCCTCACTTCATATCCCATGAAGTGGGACCCACCACAAGTGGAGCTCACCTCACAAATTCTAAGGAAACAGCATCTTTTTTTTTTTTTTTTTTTTTTTTTTGAGATGGAGTCTAACTCTGTCTCGCTGGTTGGAGTGCAGTGGGCAGATCACTTGAGGCTAGGAGTTCAAGATCAGCCTGGCCAACGTGAACCCTGTCTCTACTAAAAATATAAAAAAATTAACCAGGGATGGTGGTGCATGCCTGTAATCCCAACTACTTGGGAGGCTGAGGCATGAGAATAGCTTGAACTTGGGAGGTGAAGGTTGCAGTGAGCCAAGATCTTGCCACAGCACTCCAGCCTGGGTGACAGAACAAGATCCATCTCAAAAAAAGAAAAAAAAAAAGAGATCCCTGAAAAGGAAAGCATTGGCCATTAATGTTAGTGACTGGTATGAGGTTTTGTTAGGAAGGAAAAGACAAGGGTACTAGAAATACGAGGAGGAGGGTGAAAGAATAATATCCAAATGATGGTTGTGGTGAGGTGACAATGCTATGGTTGTTTGTCCATCATGTTCTTCCCAGCAGGACGATGTCACCCTGAGCTATTCACATGACCTAACAGGTCCTGCTTGTGGCCAACAGTATGGTGTCTGGCAGGGGGAGGGCCCACAAGCCATGGCCAAGGAACAGATCTAAATGGCCCACACACAGGGATGGAAACTGACAGCCTCAGCCACAGACATCACAAAGATCACACAATTGACTTCCTTGCCGAGTTAGCTCTGAAAGGACGGATGAATGTGGTCAATTTCAGTTCAGGGAACTATACAAAGCCAGGGTCAGAAATAGCATACACAAAAACCCAAGTGTCTTCCCTCCCAAATATTCACCCCACAAGCTAAAAGTGTCATTGTCCTTCATAATCAAAGATGGCATCAGAAAGTTCTGGGTATGACCAGTCAGATTAAAAAGTAAACACTTGTTTACTGTGTGCAGTAGACACACACTGATCTGAAGTTGGACCCAAAATACCATATAACTTTTGGCCAAAAAAAGCTGCTCTATTGCTTAAGATGAATGATAAGCTGGACTCTTAGTAGGTACATTCTTCCACTTATCTAATATAAGGCTGTGAAGTTTGATTTGTAGTTCAGTGTGCCCTTAAGTTGTTTTTTTTTTTTCTGTTGATCTTATTTCAGTTGACTGTGCAGCACCTTTCTGATGGTATTTTCACCCATTGTCTCCGCAAGTCAACCTCCAAGATCAGGGTGAGACAGCAAGTAGTATTTCAATGCTGGCAAACCACAATCCATGACATGGTTAGAGATTCATTATTGCTGTGCTATATGCTGGGCTCTAAAATTTAATGTAGCTTCCAAAACTCCCCAGCCTACTTTTAGGGGCTGGTTTGAGCGCTGCAGAATAAATTTCATCAAGCCCCGTCTATTCAGATAACATAACCTTTAAGTAGTCTGCTAGAATGGAAAAAGCATGAGATTTGAAGTCAGGCTGCTCTGTTTGTCACTTGCCAGCTCTGTGAACTTAGGCAAATTCTTTTTTTTTTTTTTTTTTTTTTTGAGACGGAGTCTTGCTCTGTTGCCCAGGCTGGAGTGCAGTGGCATCATGATCTTGGCTCACTGCAACCTCCACCTCCTGGGTTCCAGCAATTCTCCTGCCTCAGCCTCCCAAGTAGCTGTGACTACAGGCGTGTGCCGTCATGCCAGGCTAATTTTGTGTTTTTAGTAGAGACAGGGTTTCACCATGTTGGCCAAGCTGGTCTCCAACTCCTGACCTCAGGTCCGCCTGCCTCGGCCTCCCAAAGTGCTGGGATTACAGGTGTGAGCCACCACACCCGGCCAGGGCAAATTCTTTAACCTCTCTGAGTCTCAAGTGCCTCTTCAATAAAATGGTAATCACAATAGTTTATGTAACGTTTTTTATAATGCTACTTTAAATACCATTATAAAATTAAAAATAATAACTGCTTTATTGACCACCTACCGTATGCTAGACATTGTACACATTTTATTTAACTTTTACAACTCTTCCTTGAGTTTAGTATTATTCCCACACCCTCTATTTTATAGAAGAGAAAACTGAGGCTTCTAAGAGTCAGATGATGTGGCGAAGGACATTAAGCCAGCAACAGGTAGAATTTTGATTAGGACACAGAGATTTCTCATCCAAAGTCCATGATCTTAATTCCTACATTACCCTTCTAAGAAGATTAAATGAGGCAATTTAGGTAAATGTATAGTATTTGGCCTTCGGAAGTTGCTCAGAAAATGTTACTTTGCTTCCTTTTTGCCTCCACTTTTGTTCTTAGCCTACTGAGTTATAGCTTCCCTTTCTGTGCTCAGGTAATTCATACTGTACTTGTATTTGGCTTACTTTCATTCACATTCACTTAGCAATAAATATTTATTGAGTGTCTACTATGTGTCTTGCCCTATGCCAGACACTGGGTATTCAGTCATGAATACAAAAGACACAATCCCCCATCCTCAATGCACTTGTAGCAATGCCAACAGCGTCCTCCAGGAGTCTCTGAATGTGGAGGCTGAGCCACGTTGCACTTCTTTAAGATGGATTAATACCATAGCATTTGCAACTATGATATTATGTTACCTTGGACACCAGGCAATTAGCAAGTAATTAAATCTCCCTTGGTCTGAATACACCTGCAACCAAACTGTCTGCTAAAGTTCTGTTACACTCACTAATTAGCATGAGTTGAATGACAGGATAATCAGAAAGAAAACACCTCCTCTTAGAGACTAGGAGTAAATGACAAAAAAGTGAAATGTGATTTTAACACTTTTTTGCTTGGATTTATATTAATGTAGAGTGGATGGACCCATTGTTTATCAATATTAATGCCTCTGGCAATAAATATGTGCCTAGGAAGGATTGACATATGCTCATATTTATATTCATTCTTTCAATATCACAAAAAGTTTGAAAATAACTGTTGCTTAGTCACTATCTGAATGCTTCCAACAGTAACAAATAACTATCTCTCAGAGCTAATAGTGAAGGTACTGACACCTGATTAAGTACAGGTGTACTCATTCAAGAAGCCGCAGTATTATTTTTATGACCACCTACTACAAAGATACTATAGAAAACAGAGGATTCTCATGCAATTTCTCCCCCGTCAAAAATATTACCCATATCAACAGGGACTGATGTCAGCCAGATTAGCTTATAAGTCAGGATAAATTAGCTTTTTGACTATAGAGTACTTTTTTTTGAATAAATGGAGAGAAGTATTCAATAGATCTTTACAAATTAAATTTCCCCCTTTTAAAATTCCTTGGCTCTTTGATTAATACATTGCTTTTAAGACTTCAGTGAGAAGTATCATATTATCCTTGTGTTATCCCCTATTTAGGAGCCTACGAATGTCTCTTAATTGGGGACAAAAGTCACCACCTGGGCTGGTGGCTGACTCATTGTGCATGCTTTGCTGGACCTGCCACTGTTGAGTCAGTGGTTCTCATCCCTCCACCCAGGGCCCAGACAAGCTCCAGCCTTTAAGAAACGTCATGTGCCTGTAATCTCAGCACTTTGGGAGGCCAAGGCGGGAGGATCACGAGGTCAGGAGATGGAGACCATCCTGGTTAACACGGTGAAACCTGTCTTTACTAAAAAATACAAAAAAAAAAAAAAATAGCCTGGCGTGGTGGCGGGCACCTGTAGTCCCAGCTACTAGGGAGGCTGAGGCAGGAGAATGGGGTGAACACAGGAGGCAGAGCTTGCAGTGAGCCAAGATCGTGCCACTGCACTCCAGCCTGGGTGACACGCCGAGATTCTGTCTCAAAAGAAAGAAAGAGAGAGAGAGAGAGAGAGAGAAAGAAAGAAAGAAAGAAAGAGAGAGAGGAAGAAAGGAAGGTAGGTCATGGATCGGGGCTGCAGCAGAAACAGTGAGTTAGAACAGACTCGGGACAAAGTAAAAAGTCCTGAGAGCCCACTCTGGGTTTTTTAATGTCTACTATTTGAGACATTTGCCAGCCTTTAAGCAAAAGCTCAATGGACAAACTTCAGTGTTCCCAGCTCTAAAGGAATTTAGCTTAATGCTAACGCAGAAAAAATTCCCCAGCCACTCATGTAACTTTATTAGACAAAGTGGAGCATGCCTGCTCTTAAAGAAGAAGAAAAAAGACGTTATTTTCTTTTTCAGAGATTGTGCTACCCTAGAAAGGGAATGCATTTGAAGTAGTAAATGTAGACATTTCAGGCAAATATGTACTTTGTCTTCAAATGAACAGCTTTCAAAATGATCTTGGTTAAGCTCCCTTTTATTTTTATCTTTTATTCCTCTACAATGCCAGCTGAGGTTACCCATCTCCCAACAGCTACCAAATGGACTAGTAATTGTAAGGCTCGGTGATTTAATTAGACTCATTCTAAACACTCACATTTTTATCAATTAGTTAATGGGCTAAAGAGAGTCTCTTTGTTGGAGCCAGGTCATTTGGAAGCTAGAGGCTTCTTGAGGGCAAGAAGCTGAAGAACAGCAGCGTTAATATCTGTAATTAACCTCACGAGTCCTGGGTTGTTCAATTAGGAATGACCTCCCTTCCTTTCCATATGCCTTTCATCAGATGGGATTTTAATGTGAAATAATCACTGAAGAAAAATGAACCAAAAAGAAAGCTTCCCAAAAAATTAGACCTGGATGAAAACAGGACAAAAAGAAAAAGTTCCCCATCTCAAGTGCTTCTAAGTTATTTATTCAACCAGAGCTGTTAATTGGTGACATTCCTAAAAATAATAATGATGAATTTTTCAGAGAATCAATGCTACTAGTAATAGATATCAGAAAATCTTTTAAAACAGGGGTTTGTGTAATCATGCAAGCTGATTCTAAAACAGGGGTGATCTATTGTGCTTCTGAAAAATTTTAACTTTTGATTCCTTTTTGTAAATTATTGCCGTCAACTTTTTTGTATGGAGAATTCCATTTACATTTCCCTGTGAAAAAAGGCTACCACCTTATGCCTATAGTTATAATAAATAAATGCTAGGTGCATTGAATCAAAGATTATTTTGCTTCTTAGCATGCTAGTCAACTTCTACTCTTGCAAGAAATCCATGGGCAGTTCACAAATTGTACATACCTATTCCTACTGCTGATTACTGATAAAACATAAAGCATCTTTACACATAAATAAGACTAGTATTGATTTAAAAAATTAATCTGTGAGGATGGGATAAAACAATTTATAAATTAAAATGCACGAAAGACCACAATGAAAGATCTATCAAAAAATTAACACTCTCAAAGAATATGCACCATTATTTTTTATTTGTAACTAAATCTTTAAATCTCTATTGTTCAGCATCATCAGCATTTTGAATTTAGTGGAAAAAGATATATTCACTTTGATGGCAAACACATCAAAATAGTAGCAGTTACAAAGATAATTTCTTTGTTTTCTGCCTGGTTAGAAACCATTCACAAAGAAAATGAAGGACTGAATTTCCTAGAAACATGAAAACAGAGAGGAAGTGACACTTGTTTTGAGGATTTTAACAGAAAAGGAGGATGGACCATCACTTGAGAAAATTGAATTCTTTCAGGCATTCATCACAAACTCTGAGTCCTATCTAATGCCCCCAGTCATCGAAATTAAAGATGCCCAAGCAGCTGGTAAAAAGTAGCAATTCCTTGCTCCTACTGTAACTGTGTGCATGTTTCAGTGGTTCTGACCAGTAGCAGTTTACGTTTATTGTTATGATCAACAATTATATTGTGCATGCTCAGTAAATATGCTGCTCTGCTGCGCTTCATAAATGTGTCCTTTGTTTCCTTCATCATTAGGCAGACATTCGTTCTGTACAATGTCCAACTTCCAGACAGGTGGAATAAGGAGGTGGCATCTGTCTAAATATTGAATGCCACGCTTCCCCCATCTGCTGTAATAACAGTGCTGGGTCTGCTTGGCTTCAGTTATCCTCTTCTGCATACAACCAGTCAGCCATATGCCCTATATACTGCACGTGCCACCAGAGTGGCAGGGCCTGTTTTACAGCCTCTGAGCAAGTAGCCAAACAAGTGGGGAAAAGATGAGAGGAAAGATGAGAAGCAGAGGTTGGAGGTCAGGCCAGTGAGGGAATCAGCAGGTGATGGTCAATACAGCCACTGAGAGCTACTCAAAGAACCAATAGAAAAGGCCTTCAAAAGTCAATGGCCAGCATAGAGCACAGTGCCAATCAAATTTTACAGGGCATACCTTCCAGGCTAGGCAAATAAGAAGATTTAGAGCACATGGCAGTTCATCGTTTATAATCCTGTCTTAGCCCAGCATGGCTTAGTGATAGTTCAGTGACAGATGATGAGCACATGACAGCTGCAGGATCTTATACAAACGCATACAGTAAAATTAAAATTAAATTAGTGACACACGTGTACACATTGGTTGTGCAACAGTTACACAATCTGTTCAAGACCCCTCACAGACTCTGCCACTAGGCCTTCCATACAGGATACCAATAAAGCACTTTGAAAAGGCACCCAGGAGTTTGTCCTGGCCAGGAAGAGCCCTTGCCTTGGGCAAAGGTAGAATTCAAAAGGACTCTTAGGCAAATAAAGGTGCTCAGGTTCCCACCTACAAAAATGGCAAAGTTTAATGATGCTTTCCATTGGCCTAATTAAAATGGACTGAGGGTTTAGAGTATTCAAAGGAGGAGAAAGAAGCCCAACATGGAAGTAAGTGTATTGGGCCTGGACTAAATCATTAACTGTCGTGCCCCTTCAATCTGTAATCTGCTGATTTCATTACTGACAATTTTTATATGCTTTTATAAAAATATGAATTCCTGTACTGGATAACTCTAATTTGAGAGTAACTTCTATTATTTTAAATGTCTAGGTCCTTTGTTACAAATTATGTGTTCCTTCATTCGTCTGAAGATTTGTTTTAGGTAATTTATCACGATAAGTGATTTTCCAAGTCACGTTTCTTATGCAACCTTATAAAGGTGTTACATATTTTTCAAACTTTAAAGTTTATTTTACTATTTTTGCTCTCTTTCCTTGACCCAACCCATTTCAAATGTATTTGTGTTTGATATTCATATTTGCTTCAACTCAGATTTTAATAAAAAACACCATGTTGGCAAACAGTAATATTAGAAGAAAACAGTTTTGGTTTCTGAGCTGCTTGTCACACCTCTGTAAAATATTCTATTTGGACCTCATGAAATCAAAACAAGAATTACAACTCCACAGTTCTGAATGTTTATAATAATTTACTCTCTATATAATTACTTTATAAATCAATTCTATATTTTAATATATAAAATAAGACATTAAATTTTTTAATTAAGAGTTTTTTTAAATACTACTTTAAATTATTAGAACATTATATCAAAACAAATTTTTATATTGTTAATCCTCACAGTACCTCTTTGAACACGATGAGTGAAAAATAACAAAGCGCCAAAAGAAATAAGCCATTTGACCAAAGTCACATGCAAGAAAAAAAAATTCATCAGTGAAGTTAAGACTCAAACAAAGAATTTGTTATCTGCCTTTAGACTTTTATTATAGATTCAAAACTTCCTCACCTAATTTTAAATTCCTGTCCCCCTTTTTAGGTACTGCTCTTCTGCTTTAAATCACCTCTGTCTTCCACACTTCTGAACATGAAGGCAACCTGAGAATCCATGTAAATGTGTCTGCAAGTAAAGAAAAAGCCAACCAGTGCTTAAGGTGAGGACTGAAGCCTGACTTCTAGATTGCTTTGGGGCCATCTCTAAAAACTTGAAAGAATTGTATTCTTTTAAGAAAAAAGAATTTTCCTGACAATGAAATCTTATCTATCAATTCTAACAGTGTTTTGGATATAGGATTTATGGGAGACTTTTACATGCTCATGATGTAGTAATAAAATCACCTCCTATTTTCCAATTGAAGAATCTTTGAACATTTCCTCTTTGATTTCTATATGATATGCAGCTTCCCTTGAGGTCAAGTTACACTGAGTATACACACAAATTATTACATGCCTCAACTAAAGGGATTTCCTTAATCATTCTTTAAGAAAAAAGAAAAATGGAAAAAAAAAAACACTTTCACAAGCAATTGTTTTGTTTTTATTGTTACTGATGTTTGACCAAAGTTTCTGCCAAATCCTAATTCTCTGTCTCATTCCCAGAAGGATTGTCAAACAAGTTTCAGCACTGGTCCTATGTGTTGTGTGGTGGTATAGTACACACAAAGGTATGGCAAACACAAATTCTATGAAACTCTACATTTACTGTGAGGTGGCAGAGGCCCTTGTTTGAAAGAAAGTGAAAAACAAATGACAATTTTGAATCTATATCACTAACCCTTTATTTTGTATATCCAAACAACAGGCTGAAAATCTGCCCCCTCCAGGGCCAGGTATTCAAATTAGATTCCTAGTTCATCCATATCATGAGTATAGTCTGTGTACCTGCTAACACAAAAACCAGAGGGTTTGTTGTCCTAACCTGTGCGAGGCCTGGAGATCTACAGATGGTCAGCAATGAGGATGTGCACACAAGGAGATGCACTCTTCTTCCAAAGGTTGGAGAAAATGGAAAATAAACATTGATAGTAACTATATATGTCCTATTAAAGAAATATACACATAGATTTTTTATAAATACTGTCACATGAAGAGAACACCCAGGCATCAAGGGTAGTCAGGTTGTTGTAAAATTTGCCCAGGGGATGGAAAGTCAGGGTTTGGGGGATGAAATGCCCTGCCTATAATGGGAAATAGTCACAATCACAGCAGGTGGTCTCAAGTTTATTGAAAAATGATGCAAATCATAATACCGAGTAAATCATAAACAAACACCATTAGGCTGATGGTTGGGTTGATAAAGTTGTGAAACCAACAGGGACAAGTGTTTTCTTTCAAGGGAATTCTGTGTCCCAGTTCCTCTCTGTAGCCCACCCATCAGGATGAAGCTCAAATCTTTCCTGGATGGGCAGCAATGGAAGGAAAAGGCAGGGTGGAACATGATCTCTATATCCCCAAACAAATCTTAAAAAAAAAAAAAAATCCTTATTATTATTATTATTTTCAGTCCCAGTTCTTCATTAGAAATAAAAGAGTTGTATTCAGGAGCCAAATTTGAAATGATGAAAATCCTGAGAGGAAAAGAAGCAGGAAAGATTTAGCAGTTCACCCTTTTATTACTGTTATGATTACTCTTTATTACTTAGCACTTACATGGCACTTTATTTTTTTCCAAGTGCTTTACACTCCTTAATTACTTAATCTTGAAATATATTTAGAAAGGCACTTGAATTTATTTGACGCTGCTATTCAAAACCTATTTTGCCCCATTTTCAGCCCCCACTCGTGGCAGTACAGTATCTTCCTGCTGGGAATCGAGGTGTGGAAAGGGGTGGCTGATAGAAAGGAACTCCTGAAGAAAAATGGAGGGGGAGGAAGGAGAGGAGAAACCAGCCTGTGCTCAAATAACAATAATCAGCAATGACTACTACTCTCTCCTTCTCTTTGGCATTCATTGCCAATCCAGCGTCTTTCAAATTTTTAAATAATCAGTAGTTTATAAAATGCAATAAATATAGATTCTGCATACCATACACACAACAGATTTTGCTAACTGAATTATGTTGCTTGTCATGCAAATAGGTAGTCCTGAACCAATTAAAAAACAAAGGCATGTTGTAATGTAGTAATGGAAATTTCTTGAGGCCAGCTCTTGGGTACAGGGTCCTTAAAGACAGAGAAGAAGAAAAAGAAAAAGAAACATGGAGAACAATATCATCATTCTATCAGCAGTTAACCTGAGTCTACTTATGCATGATCAAAGACTACAAATATAGTTTAAACAGCATGAAATAATCGCCGGGTTTACAATATGAAATGATTTTTAAAAGCAAAACCGACAACAATCCTGGTGCCACTATGTTCGGAGACTAAAGACTAATTTTGTGATGCACAGCCAAGCTGAGGTAGTGGTAGGGAAATTAGGGTTAAGAGGCTAACCTCCCTCCTGGGTTCCCTTTGAAGATTTCTATATTCTGGGGGAGACGGTAATGAAAATATTTTACCACCTCTATTGCAATTAGGTCAGTGGGCCAAAGAAAAAAGCTGCTCACACCACCACACACCAACGCAATTGCAATCCCAAAGGAGGCAGAAGGGACGGTATTCAGTTCCGTCGGCTGCATCAGAAAGGCTAAGTCCAAGGGCAGTGAACAAACTTCCTTCAGAACAGGTCTTCCTCTCTAGCCCTGGCATTTTGACAAGAGAGTGAGAGACTAAAAGAAGCAAGTCTTCCTTTCTTCTTCAGCTTCTCACACCTGAAGAGCACCCACACCAACAAGGAGAAGGAGAAAACCCAAACAAACCATACCCACAGCTTGGAGATGAGGGCTGGTATTACGAAGATAAAAAGAACAGCCTTTGCATCTAGACTCCCTTGGTAAGAAAAGAAAGCTGTAACTGGTAGGTTCCATCTATTTGGCTGCTCTATTGTTGTTTTTCTATTTTCATTTTTAATACTGATGAGGCAAAGGAGTGACGCAGAAAAAATTAGAAGGCAGAAACTTAATAAAACAGCTCTAAACATGACAGCATTTATGAAAAAGATTAATTACTAGGAGTAAAGAGGCCTGATGCCAGGAATTTATAGGATTGATACAAATATGATGCCCTGCTGGGCTGCTAGGCCCATAAAATGCAACCCTAATCTTCAGGCCTATTATTGTTTTTGCAGAAACAACAGGCTTCAGCCATGACAACAAAAGGGTATATAATAGAGTTTCAGTAGGGGAAAAAGAAATCACTCCAGCCATGGAAAATAAACACCATTAGAGAATATGTTTGTGAACACCTAACCCAGCCTTCCCTTAAAGCACCAGTGTCGACAGAGTGAAGGTGGCATTGTTGTGTGTTATCTAGAGGACGGAAGGAAAGGAGAGGACCAGTTAGTAAGAAGAAATGAGGCCACTAACGGTTCTGATTGGCAGTGGACAGAGAATTTATTCACTTGGGAAATAATCCAGCCACTTTCTTAAATAAAAGAATTGCTCTTGTAAAGGTTGTAGGACAACTTCTGCCTACCCTCACTACTTTAATTTCTTGTAAACATTTTTAAAGCCCTCTCCCCCTTACTGTGGTTCTCCTTATGCATCTTGCCCATCTCTTATAATTGATGTGTCTGACATTCAGAAACACTTTGTGAAACCACAAATTAGTCATGGCAGGAACAAGAAAAGAAGCTCAACTCGGCAATTGGATTACACTAACCAATCAGACTGGTGTCTGCCTTTGTTTGTACTCGCCACATTGATGGTGAAGAGAAAGACACATTTCATAACCAGTAATTTGAGGTTTGCACTAAATTCACATTTTAAATCATACACATTTTCTGGGGACCAACTGAAGGAAAAACAGTGTGCCATCTATGTTTTTGTGTCCATAGCATCTTTGAAAAGTATGAATGGGCATACGTAAAATCCCCTACCCTAAGTGTAACCTGTGTTTACATATGAATTATCTTGACGTTCTACATCATTCAAAGGGTTTGTTTATAACATATGGTGTCTGTTTCACACACTAACAGTGACTTTTTAATTTGAAGTCAGCCACAATCAGTGGTCCTAAATCCTCACTGTCTCCGGGATTAATTATGGGCACTAGACAGCAATAGCAATCCTCTCTTCCTGATAAGCTCCACAGACGAATTGGCAAGAGGAGAAAATAGGCCTTTCAAGGTTAGAGAGTTTTCAGAGCTGACATACACAGGCCTTTCATGACACCCATTTGGAACTGGAATATTAAAGATAAAACTCCCTCCATTATTAGGGCATCTTAGTAAAACATCACGCATGCAAGAAATGATGTTTCTAAATGCTTGCTTGCTTACTTTTCTTTACAGAAGTTTTCTACATTTTCCCCTCGGTAGAACAATTTAAAAAGCTATCTACCTCTGCCTCTATGGTGATTCAGTGATTGTTAAACAAACAAACAAAACAACAACCACAAAAGCCCATAATCAAAATAAGGAACGAAGCAGCAGACTGTGGTTCCACAAGTCGGTGGCGTCACAGCTTCACAAACCGGAACTTGTGGGAACTCAGAGTGTGTCCAGGACACATTGCCTCACTACAGATAAAAAGCCTCTAGGTGGCCGGGCGCGGTGGCTCACACCTGTAATCCCAGCACTTTGGGAGGCTGAGGTGGGCGGATCACGAGGTCAGGAGATTGAGCTCATCCTGGCCAACATGGTGAAACCCCATCTCTACTAAAATACAAAAAATTAGCCGGACATGGTGGCACGTGCCTGTAGTCCCAGGTACTTGGGAGGCTGAGGCAGGGGAATCGCTTGAACCCAGGAGGCGGAGGTTGCAGTGAACCGAGATTGTGCCACTCACTCCAGCCTGGTGACAGAGCAAAGCTACGTCTAAAAAAAAAAAAAAAAAAAACAAAACTCTAGGTCTCTCCCCACAGATGAGTGAAGCAGCCACAGTGTAACTGACAATGTACCTACCTGGTTTCCCTGTAATGTCCAACCTAAAGCTAGAATGCCTCATTACAATTTCTCCTGCAGATTTGTTTACATAATAGATGCTCCAACCAACTTTTTGGTTAGGAATATACTATCCTACCCATTCATCGCCTGCTTCTAAAGATTGGAGAAAGGGTCAAATGATTTCTTGAGATCCTTTCTAGTCCTATTTTTCAGAATCTAAGATGTTTTGTCGAAGCAGGCTGATTGTGTCATGGGCACCTTGTTTACATGTTGTTCACCTGAGAACTCTCAAGCACCTACATCTTGCTGGGCATTGACTGCACTGAGAGTGAGGGTACCATAGTGGGAATGAGCATTGGAGTTCCTACCTTTGGGACTGCCAGAAGAAAAAGGGCATTAGATCATTCTGGGGATTGGGGAAAGTTTCCTTGAAGAAGTGACTTTGGGGCTGAAATCTTAAGGAGGAGTAGAAATTACCTGAATGAGGCCAAGGAAGGAAAGTGGAAATCAGCTTTCTCCAGGCAAAGGATGCATCATGAACAAAGTTCCTGAGATGGGTGAGGGCAAGTTTCTTTAAGGAATTGAAAGAAGGCCAGTGTCTGACACCCTGGGAGTGAGGAGGGCCTGGTGCTGAAGGAGGCAATAAGTGTGGGCCGGGGCCCAGCTGCAGGGTCTGGATTAGTGCAAAACCCAAGAGCCTTTTCCCTGTGTCCTCTGCTCTTGTAGAGTCTTGTCACTTATATCATGAACAAATAAGACTGTACAATCTCACTTTGGAAACTCTCGAAGATTTAACTACCCCATAATACTCACAAACAATGTAGAATTATAGAAACCTAGGGTTTACAGTCTGAGCTGTTCAGATATCCAACTCCTGTTTTGCAATTAACACCCCACTTTAAGGCTTAACCATCTACTAATTTCAGAGCTGTAGCCAAAATGTCCTCCTCATGTGTACAACAGGTTAGCCTCT
This sequence comes from Homo sapiens, assembly GCF_000001405.40. Taxonomy (NCBI): domain Eukaryota; kingdom Metazoa; phylum Chordata; class Mammalia; order Primates; family Hominidae; genus Homo; species Homo sapiens. The sequence goes on from NC_000014.9 coordinate 56,762,591, forward strand.
GAGTTAGGAACTTCACTGGCATGCAAAGATGAATAAGCTCCTTTATAACTGGCCTATATTCAATACAATTTTGGTCTTCTATGAATAAAACTTTGGTTCTATCATAGCTAAGAATTTGTTTCTCAGTGTCTTCTTCTTAAACTACCCAAGCAATTTCTTTTTTTTTTTTTTTTAATTTTTGAGACGGAGTCTCGCTCTATCGCTCAGGCTGGAGTTCAGTGGCGCGATCTCAGTTCACTGCAAGCTCCGCCTCCCGGGTTCACACCATTCTCCTGACTCAGCCTCCCGAGTAGCTGGGACTACAGGCGCCCGCCACCACGCCTGGCTAATTTTTTTTGTATTTGTAGTAGAGACGGGGTTTCACCGTGTTAGCCACGATGGTCTCGATCTCCTGACCTCGTGATCCGCCTGCCTCGGCCTCCCAAAGTGCTGGGATTACAGGCGTGAGCCACCATGCCCGGCCTACCCAAGCAATTTCTTAAAAGGTAAATACCAGCACTAAGATACTGGACTCCTAAAAAGTGGAAAAAAGACAAAAAACAAACAAACAAAAAAAGCAAAATCAGCCAAACCTACCTATTATGAGATTGAGTTAGCCTGCCAGTGTGGACAAGGATTGAACTTGTTGTAGATACACAATTATATAAGGTATAGTTTCATATGTCTTTGGAAAGTTGACCCTATGGAAGGCAACACAAGAAAGCATCATAATAGGGATGTGTTGACTATTACACTTGACAAAAACATCACTAAAGAAAACATATTTTGGTTGGGCATGGTAGCTCATGCCTGTAATCCCAGCACTTTGGGAGGCCGAGGCAGGAGGATTACTTGAGGTCAGGAGTTCGAGATCAGCCTGGCCAACATGGTGAAACTCCTTCTCTACTAAAAATACAAAAAATTAGCTGCAGCTTATTAATTAGTGCACACATATAGTCCCAGCTGCTTGGGAGGCTGAGGCACGAGAATCGCTTGAACCCAGGAGGCAGAGGTTGCAGTGAGCAAAGATCACGCCACTGCACTCCAGCCTGGGCAACAGAGTAAGACTGTCTCAAAAAAAAAAAAAAAAAAAAAAAAGAAAAAGAAAACATCTTTTTCTTAGCCTAATTAAACATGAGCATTACTAATGTACAAGATCATTTCTTAATTCATAAGAAATTCAAAAGCATCAGCTCCACAGCTCATTGATTCTTTTTTTTTTTTTTAACTTTTTAACCTCCCTGACACCTTCACTGATTCTTCTAGGCCTTTCCTAAGCTCTTTGACTCTTTCTGAGGATGCGGTTCTTGTCTCCCATTGTGGACTATATCTTGCTAGTGGACATACTTTTGGGATTTTTAATAAATTGTCTTCTTACCCTACATTCTGTCTTCTTTTACTCAACTCCTCCTCATTCAAATTTTTAGTTTTAGAGACAAGCTCTTGCTCTTTTGCCCAGACTGGAGTGCAGTGGTGCAGTCATAGCTCACTGTAACCTTGAAGTCCTGGACTCAAGAGATCCTCCCACATCATCCTCCTGAGCAGCTGGGACTATAGGCATGCACTACCACACGTGGCTAATTTTTAAATTTTTTGTAGAGACCAGGTCTCACTATGTTGCTTAGGCTGCTCTTGAACTCCTGGCCTCAAGTAATTCTCCCACCTTACCCTCCCAAAATGCTGAGATTACAGGTTGAACCACTGCTCCCTCCTCATTTTTAAAAAACGTGTTACTGTTTGGTTTATTTCCCTTGAGCCAAATACTGCTTTTGTATAAGGCAGTATTCTTTCTCTTGCTCTATCAAACAGGGACTTCTATCTCTGTCATCTCTTCAGCACTGGCACCGGTAGCGGCCGCAGATCAGTCCTCTGGACTTTGTTTCATTTTTTAAAGTTCATGGATGACTGTTAGTACCCTTTCCCTTAAGAGTGGGTTTAATTTTCAGGAACAAGAACCCAAATATCAGGAATGATGTCATCCTTCAGTGCTACAGGGCAACTATTATAATAAAACCCACTCAATTTATCCAGAAGCCATATTTGCAGCTTATTAATTACATAACTCTACAGCAACCCTCCAGGCTATTGGCTTTTGGCCATTTCACTCTTCATTGGCACTTTCAGTAGAAAAAGAACAAGAAAAAAACAGGTTGAAATTCTCATAAAGCAGACTTGGTTCCTCCCTTGTGTATTGAGAATCTTAAAAATTTGGGGGAAAGGGCTTTAGGGATGACCTAGCCCATCCAAGACATGAGGAAACTGAGGCCCAGGACCCTGCAACTTTCAAGAACACAGCGCTGATGTGATATCAATGTGCAGATTAGAGCTAGACCGCTGACTCTGGGTCCTGTGCCTCTCTACTATATTACAGATACTCTCTTCAGGGACAGGAAGTCAAAGTTTGGAATTCTAGTTTTCTCCTAGCTTCCTTCTGACACTGTACTTATAGGGGAGTCTTATAAGTTTTCTGAAGCCCAGGATGATAACACCTGCATTACCTATTTCACAGAGTTACTATACAGGAAATACTTTAAAAGTCTATAAAAAGATTTTTCTTTTGGAGGGCAGAAGAAAATACATTTGAAACATTGTGGTGAAAGATGTCTGGTTCCCAAGAAGATGGCAAACAACTCGGGATACTGGCTTCCAGCATGAAACCTCAATTCTTGGTGGTGCCACTGAGGTGAGAGAGGAACTGATGATTCCAGAACTTAAAACCCCTAGTTCTCTTTGAATAGATCAGTCCAAGAAATGGAGGGAAGAGAAACCAGACAGGTCAGATGTTACAAACATGTTTCAGGCATGGGAGGGAGCACTTCTCTGCCATGCACTTTTTCTTCCCCTCAGTGCCCTCTGTGCACAAGCCACCACTGACTACCTGGGGCAGAAAAATATTAGTGCCAGCTCAGCACTAGCTGGCGGCAGTAGGACTCATATCAGGATAGCCCTGAAGCCCAGCTGTCATGAGAAGCTGATAACATAATCTATACCTTTCTTGAAATTTCAATCAAAATTCCAGGAAGACTTTTTGGAAACTTCAACACACTTAGTCTAACTTGAATATGGAAGAATAAAGATCCATGAATAGCTAAGATGCTTTTAAAAAAGAGGAGCCAAGAGGGAGGAGGAGTGTGATTCACCCTATGAGATGTTCAGACATTTAGTAAAGCCTTGGGAATAATAAAAAACAGTAGTTGTGTGATACAAGAATAGACCAATAGTTCAGAATAAAGAGTCTTAAAATAGTAAAATAAATATGTAATAAAACTATATCTAAATATATGAAACGTCTCTTACATACCAAGCACTTTGCATATAAGAAAACCATCACAAATCAGTGAAGAAAAAAATGGGTCATTTAGAATGATACAGTCTTGGAAAACTGATTCATTATATGAAGAAAAATTGAATTTATACCTAAAAGGACGAACTTCAGTGAGAATTAGAGATCTCAATGTGAAAGACAAAACTGAAAAGCTAACATAAGAAAAATGTTGCAGAATATCTTGGTAAACTAAAGGTGAGGAAAGATTTATTTTAAAAAATTTAAAGGCATAAACCATAATAGGGAAAACTGATGGACTCGAAAAATATTAAAATTGGGAACTTTATTCAACAAAGGACACCACAGACAGATAATGATTAGGTAACATATAGGAAAAATTTGTGTGTACTGAGTAAAACCAATTAATTTGGTTTATTAATTTCTATACTATCCAAAGAAATCCTGCAGATGAACATGAAAAAAGCAGCCGGGAGCTGTGGCTCATGCCTGTAATCCTAGAACTTTGGGAGACCAAGACTGGTGGATCATTTGAGGTCAGGAGTTCAAGACCAGCCTGGCCAATATGGTGAAACCCCATCTCTACCAAAAATACAAAAATTAGCCGGGCATGGTGGCAGGCACCTGTAATCCCAGTTACTCGGGAGGCTGAGACAGGAGAATCACTTGAACTTAGGAGGCAGAGGTTGCAGTGAACGGAGATCGCACCACTGCACTCCAGCCTGGGCAACAGAGTGAGACTCTGTTAAAAAAAAAAAAAAAAAAAAAGAAGGAAAACATGATAAACGCACAAATCCCAATAGGAAAATGGTCCAAAGATATAAATATTCAAGTCACAGTAAAGGAAATCCAAGAGGTAACAAATACATGGAAACGTAGGCAACAACACTAATAACCAGAGATATGTAAATTAAAACAATAAAATAACTGTTATGTATGTCGGATTAGTACAACATTGGAAAATCAGATAATGCTAAGTGTTAGGGGCTGAGATATTATGAACCCTCATGCACTGCTGGTGGGAGTGGAGGCCAGCACAGTTAAACTAGAATATAACCTGACACTATTTATGATGCATATGTGAGAGAAATTCTCCAAAATGATCATATACAATGATGCTTATGGCAGCATTTTCATAACAGTGGAGAATTGAAACAAGGTAAACACAAATAAGATAGATGTATATAATATTATGTAGTGATCAAATGCAATGAGCTATTAAGTATATACAGCAACATTTACAGATCTTATAGTATGGAGGAAAAATTTCAAGTGGAATAAGATCCACAGTACAGGCTGGGCGTGGTGGCTAACGCCTGTAATCCCAATATTTTGGGAGGCCAAGGGCGAGTGGATCCCTTGAGCTCAGGAGTTTGAGACCAGCCTGAGCAACATGATGAAACCCCGTTTCTACAAAAAATAAAAAATTTAGCCAGATGTGGTGGCACCCCAGCTACTTGGGAGGCTGAGGTGAAAGGATCGCTTGAGCCTGGAAAGTTGAGGCTGCAGTGAGCCAAGATCACACCACTGCACTGCAGCCTGGATGACAGAGCGAGACCCTGTCTCAAAACAAAACAAACCCCAAAGATCCACAGAACATCACTTATTTATATCAAAATACACCATTTATATCAACATACACCCCAAAAAAAAAATCCCATAGTGCACGTCTTCCAAAGATACATACGTATTCAAGAAAAAACATGAACTATATTAGAGAGGGTGCCTATGGAAACAGAGGGACGAATGGGTATGAGGTTAGGGTAGGGGTGGTGATGATGTGATGTTAACTGAAGAGTATCATTAACTCAACCGTTTGCACCTGAGCTTAAAATTAAAATAGAGGATTTTAATTTTACTAGAGAGTGGAAACGTTTCATAAACTTTTAAAAAACTAAGATATAGCTGGGACTACAGGCACGCGCCACCATGCTCAGCTAATTTTTGTATTTTTAGTAGAGACAAGGTTTCACCATGTTGGCCAGGCTGGTCTTGAACTCCTGGCCTCAAGTGATCTGTCTGCCTTGGCCTCTCAAAGTGCTGGGATTACAGTGTGAGCCACTGCACCTGGCTGGGATTTCTTTATATTCTGTCTTGTAGAACTGGTATAGGGGAACTTTGCATCTCTAAAAGAAATGTGCTAAACATTTTATTAATAGCTGGAATAAAAATATATGTCTGCTTTTCAGGGCTAGTGTTAGAGAAAACCACTAGGAGAGTGACATAGTATTTCGGGAGCATGACTAAGTGCCACTCATGGTACATGCAGATGGCACCTACTCTAGGAGATTCAGCATATTTGCACCAGGGACAAATCTTTGGGTTTTTTTCTGGAGACAGTCTCACTCTGTCATCCAGGCTGGAGTACAGTGACACAATCTCGGCTCACTGCAACCTCCACCTCCCAGGTTCAAGCGATTCTCCGCCTCAGCCTCCTGCATAGCTGGGATTACAGGTGCCCACCACCACACTCGGCTAATTTCTGTATTTTTAGTAGAGATGGGGGTTTCATCATGTTAGCCAGGCTGGTCTCGAACTTCCGACCTCAAGTGATCTGCCCGCATCGGCCTCCCAAAGTGCTGGGATTACAGGCGTGGGCCACCGTGCCCGGCCTGCACCAAGGACAATTCTAAAGGTCTAAAATATGAGAATTAAAAATAAGAGAATCCATCTCTTTAATTCACTTTATTTCTAATTTTACTATTAGCAAACATACAATGCTTAAAGTATCATTTGAAAAGTACTATCTATTTCAGTGATTTGTAGCTATTATCATAAAGCTGCTCAAATATAAATAGACTTATAACTTTCTTCCCAAAGGACTTCATTTCTAAAGAAATTTCATGATGCATGCAGTGTGGCCCCTGTATCTACAGAAGGAACTGGAAATGAATTACAGGCCTCTAAGTGATGCCCCTTTGAACTCTGAAGTCATTTGCATGGTGGTGGTTGGTGTCATACAGCATGGTTGTAGACCCGAACAGCGCTCGGCTGTGCCTCTTCTTCCAGCCCTGCATGGACCGTCACCAGTGCATTACTAATTGAACATGATGGGTGCTAGGTTATTAAAGAGAAAACTGCACTCTACTTATCAAATGCTGATTAGCATAAGCAGCACATGGGCTTGCTTTCTCTTACCCTATTCAATAAACATTTCATTCGAAAAATGAATTCTGTCACTTGAGACATGCAGTTCTAACTCAAACTTCTTACTTGGTATGTAATATTCAGAGGAACTTGATATATAGCCCACGGTTTGTACATTGCCATATTTATTTGAAAAAATTCCCCAAGCAAATCTTGATGTCTTTCCCTTTTAAAATAGGGGAAGTAGGCCGGCGCGGTGGCTCACGCCTGTAATCCCAGCACTTTGGGAGGCCGAGGCGGGTGGATCACAAGGTCAGGAGATCGAGACCATCCTGGCTAACACGGTGATAACTCCGTCTCTACTAAAAATAGAAAAATTAGCCAGGCGTGGTGGCGGGCACCTGCAATCCCAGCTACTTGGGAGGCTGAGGCAGAAGAATGCCGTGAACCCGGGAGGCGGAGCTTGCAGTGAGCCGAGATCGTGCCACTGCACTCCAGCTTGGGCGACAGAGTGAGACTCCGTCTCAAAAAAAAAAAAAAAAAAAAAAATAGAGGAAGTAAAAAAAAGACAAATTATGTAAGGTATTGGCCCAAGGCTGTAAAGAGCAGCTGACCCAGGCCCCTTGGGCAACAGACCAGAGCCCAGCTTCCAGGAGACCCGGGAGCCAAGGCAAACTCCTCTCAGAACAGCTTGGCACAGGCTAACTACAAAAAGCCTAGAGGAACCCAGCCCTCAGCTCCTGGCCTCATCTCTGGCTACAGCTGCAGCAACTTTCCAAACCGTGAATGCCTTCCACACCCTGTCTCCCGCTTCCTCTAAATGGAATTGAAGGTAAGCAAGTATAAAGGAAATTAGGTGAATAAATAATGGACTCTTTCTCCTCTGCTGTAGTTGATAGCTTTTCGTGTGTCTGCGTAGCTCACAATGGTTCCCTCACTTCTGGAAGCAGTTCTCCTACCCTGCCTGTCAACATAGTAACATGGCTTGTACTTCATTACCCACCAGGATCTTCATGGATTGGATTAAGGGTAGGAGCATCTGTCCCAAACTAATTTCATTCCTTCCTCAGAATTTGGAAGTGGATCAGAAAGGCAGCAAACTAAATTCCTCTGATACTTGGAATCATAGCATAAACACTCAGGAACTGTGAGGAGGCCATATTCCACTACACAGACCACAGAGAGAAAGAGAAAAAGAGCTGGCCAAAGAGGAAGCAAACAAGAAAATTATTAAGTGTAAATACCCAGAAGAAAAAGAAACACAGAAGGCCTCGGGGCTTTGCACTTCAGCTTTGTGACTGCCTCCTGCATCCCTGACTTGAGTCTAAAAGAAAACCCTTAGATCCTGAAATATCCTTCCCACTTTTGTTTAAACTAGTTTTAGTTTCTTTTCCATGGAATCCATGAGTCTTGACTAATTAATATAACATTTTTCTTCCAAGTAGTTCAGAGTGACTGAAAGAGAGTTCCAGAAATCATCAATATCTATGAGAAGCTAGGGCCAAGATGTCCACAAAAGTTTAGAAGATGGAAAGCAGATGACCAGGCGGTAACTCTCTCAGCAAAGCAAGAAAAAAAGGTTATTAATAGCACCTGCAGAGGAGAAAGACCAAAATCAAAATCAAACAAAACAGAATAAAAGCAAGATTTATGCCACAGAACCCAATAAGGGGCCAGGATTCAGAGGCAGCAGAAAGAATAAAATAGGGGTGGGACCTTTCCATGGAAGAATACATTCTGTAGGGGTCACATGACCATCCCTCCCTCACATCAGCAGGAGATAGGAGGGGTACTCTTTCAATAAATCAAACCAGGGCACTCCAGACATGGGCTCTCCAGGCAAGGAGGAAGGCAGGGCACATTGAAAGACAGAAGGAATGACAGTTTGCAAGCTGAGTCAGGACCATCCAAACTTCTTTTCCTGCTTTTCCAGAATGCCAGGGACATGGCTTGTTTTTTGTTTGTTTGTTTGATCGTTTTTTGGGACAGAGTTCCCCTCTTGTTGCCCAGGCTAGAGTATAATGGCACAGTCTCAGCTCACTGCAACCTCCGCCTCCCAGGTTCAAGCAATTCTCCTGCTTCAGCCTCCTGAGTAGCTGGGATTACGGGAGCCTGCCACCATGCCCAGCTATTTTCTTTGTATTTTTAGTAGAGACGGGGTTTCACCATGTTGGCCAGGCTGGTCTCAAACTCCTGACCTCAGGTGATCCACCCACCTTGGCCTCCCAAAGTGTTGGGATTACAGGCATGAGCCACCACTCCAGGCCACGCCTTGTTTTTTAACATGTTAAATACAGCCAATGTAGCCCGGGCACCAACCAAATGGAATGGACACTGACCTGAGCATTGAGGCAAGGTCCTGCAGGCTTTAACTGCTTTGTTGCTAGGTTGTGGGAAGGGGATCTCAGTGTGGCTGGAATGAGGCAGTCTGAGAACTTGAGGCAGTCATTATACACCACTAGCAATAGGAGTTTCAATATGTTAACAACCAGCATGGCTGCACTGGTGTGTCCAGTTGACTGTCACTCCTGTTCACATCTCGTAGGCAGGAAATTCAAGAATTCTTTTCTGGAGAAACTGAACAGAACCAGAGAAAAAAATACTGAAACCTTAGAGTCCCCCAATATAAAGACCAGGTTATGTCCAACCATCCTACGGTGGACTCCAATAGTCAGCAAAACTCTACCTACGCACATAGAGCTTCGAATTGGCTTTTAGTGCCACATGTTTAAACATAAATGGACATCCAAGGATCGCTCTGCTTTAAAGATGGAGAGCAAACAAACAACAAAAATGCAGAACTCAGAGGAAACAGAGACAAGGCAGAAAAAGGGGGGAGGGAAAGCCCCAAACTTAAAAAAATTAAAAATTAATATCTTCAGAGAGCTGAGTGAAAAAAATGCATACATAGAACAAAAACAACTAAAAAACACATTCATTCATTCAACAACTATTTATTGAACATGTATCAGACACTGTTCTGATGATCACAATCTATCTGCTACCTCTGAAATTGTTCTCTGGCTGGCTGCCCATCCACCACTCCATAGCTACAGTCCTAAAGCAGTCTTCATCACCTCTCAACTGAATTTTAGCAGCTGACCTCTAATTCTTCTCCTTGCCTCCAGTCTTGCTCTCCTATAATCCACCATTTACATTTAGTATGTAAACTCCCAGGGTCTATGGGATCTCCACAGCCCAGAGAAAAAAGCGCAGAAGACTTAGCCCTACAGACACAGCCCCTGTTTATTTGGCCTCTGTCACTGCTCCAGCCTCATTTATCACTCTCTCCTCAACTCAACAACATCAAAGCACTTGAATTTCCCCTAATATCTTTTGACATTTTTGAGGTTGCATAATTTTAAGTTTCTTCTGCCTGAACTTACCTCCCCAAACTTGTGCATCCTTCAAGCCTCACTTTGAGAGACACCTCCTCTCATCTCACCCTAACACCAGGCAGCATTGAACACCCGCTCCTCACTGCCTGCACCACTGACGTTATGTTCTTCCCCTTGCATGAAGTGGTTGGCTTCCTGGTCTGTTGCCCCATCTAAACAATGTACTCCTAGAGGCCCAGGACCTTGTCTCATTTGTCCTTTGGGTCCTCAATAGTCCAGGGCTCAATGCCTGGTGGAGAAATGTTCTTTGAATGAATGGATAGGTGAGTGGATGAATCCAGAGATGAAAGTAGGAATGGGCACATTGAAAATGCTACCCTCCTTAGAACACAGGCCAGGTCCTAGGCAGAAGAGAGTCCATGGAGTCTCTAGAACGAGGAGTTTGGTTTAGATATGCCACAGAATAGGAAGCCATTTTAAAAATGATGGTTTGTAGGTCTTCAAGTAATTAAAGCTATGAGTTAGAATGATGAGTCTGTCATGAAGTCCAGCGTGGATCCAAAAAATTGAAGGGGGAAGTGTGGAGAAAGCAACATGTACGAACCCCATCTGTGTGTGTCATGCTTTACACGATACCTCAGGCAAGACTCATTCCAATCTGATGAAGTAGGAATCATTACCCCCCTTTTAAAGATGAAGGAACTGAAACAGAGATGTTAAGTAACTTTCCCAAGATCAAGTAAATGATGATAAATTTAAATCCAGGTCTAGTTTGCCAAGGTAACACACCATGAAGATCACATTCTTTTCAGAACTTTGACTGGCATAAAAATCTAGGTTATTTCCATACTTGACCCAAAATATGTGAAGTGCTCTGAAATAAACACCATTTAAATGAATTTCTGGCTTTAAGATCGGGTTATTTTCACCTATAACTAAGCAAGAAAACACATGCTGCCATCACAGGAATACTGCCAAAAAAAAATTAAAAGAAAAAAAGAAAAGAAAACACGTGTCTGCACATGTCTACTTAACTTTATTGGCCATAGTTTACTCATCTATAAAGAAATAATTACCCCATAGAGTTGTTATATAGATTAATGAGTTAATAAACTTAATGTACTTCGTCTTGGCTGGGCATGATGGCTCACACCTGTAATCCTAGCACTGTGGGAGGCTGAGGCGGGTGGATCAGTTAAGGTCAGGAGTTTAAGACCAGCCTGGCCAACATGGTGAAACCCTGTCTCTACTAAAATTACAAAAATTAGCTGGGCATGGTGGCGTACTCCTGTAGTCCCAGCTACTCGGAAAGGCACGAGAATTGCTTGAACCCGGGAGGTGGAGGTTGCAGTGAGCCAAGATCGTGCCACTATACTCCAGCCTGGGTGACAGAGCGAGACTCTGTCTCAAAAAAAAAAAAAAAAAGTACTTTGCCGGGCATGGTGGCTCATGCCTGTAATCCCAGCAATTTGAGAGGTGGAAGCAGATGGATCACTTGAGCACAGGAGTTCGAGACCAGCCTGGCCAACGTGGTGAAATGCCGTCTCTACTAAAAATACAAAAAACTGGCTGGGCGTAGTGGTGTGCACCTGTAGTCCCAGCTAAAAAGGAGTCTGAAGTGGGAGGATTGCCTGAACCCAGGAGGTCGAGGCTTCAGTGAGCTGTGATCATACCTCTGCACTCCTGCCTGGGTGACAAGTGAGATCCTGTCTCAACATCAACAAAATAAATAAAAATAAAAATAAATTTAAAAATAAAATACTTAGCTAGTACTTGATATATATCAACACTTGATAAATATTAGCTACTATTGTTATATTTCTTTTATTAAACTGATATCATTCATCTAATAAGAATTCTAACCAACCATTTAAAATGTTCTCTTTGAACACAAAATTTCTTTACAGCTTGCATTAGATATAAGAATTATTTTGCAATGTAACATTTTAAAAGAAATTATAGGAAATATATAACTGAATCTTCTGTGTATACTCTTACTATAAACAGCTGTACTACAAATATGTTAAAATTACACATTAGAAGTCAGTCCATCAGATTGATTTTTAAAGATATTGCATGAAATATGAAATCAGACACATAATGATGTACTGCTTTTGAACTTCTTATAAGCCCAAAAGATACCACAACTTGTTTACTTGACAGCTCAGCCATTAATTTCAGAAAGGCTAAAATGAATAACTACCCAGGTTACAGTTGCCTTGCAGGAATCCCTCTGCTATAATCTCATAGTTTTTTCACCTAATTAATTTCCCCTTTCCTTGTACCAGAGTTTCATGAGTGTATCTTGTTTGGAGGAGATTAAGAGTCACACGCTTCATTAGCAAGGTGTAAATTATCAGCGAGGCCCTCTCCATCCACCTGCTTAATCGGGTTAATGAAGCACCTCTGCAGGGCCTTCCTGGGGCCGCCCTCACTGAGCTCTCTGCAGATTTTACCTCCCTCAGCTGCTTGAAAAACAGGGAACTGTTTAAAGGTGCTACTCGCCTGCTCTGTTTCCAACAAGGGAAACCTTGTCTCTAAAGTTCAGCCTCGCTTTGGTCTTTTGAAAGACAAAAATGTTGCTTGGGGAAAATTACCAACAGGTGTTTTTGCTTTTTCCCTTCTGTCCCTTGCTCTTTTAGTTAATTTGCCACAAATGGGGCTTGAGTCAGCTTTTGAGATTAGGTTTGTGACCATTTTGTATAGAGTCCTAACTTCCTTCTAGGCCTTTTGAATATCAGTGCAAATGTTAGGAAGGTAGAGCCTTCATCATTATTTCTTCTGGTCATCTCAGTTTCTGAGATTATCAAGGTACCTTTTCTTTTTCATTGCATTTCAGTTCGTGAAGGTTGACTTAAAACTTCTACAGACATTTTTAAAATTGTGATACAACCCAGTTAGCTATGTTTAAGCTGGTCATTTCTAAAATATCCTTACGCATAAAGGAATGTTCTGGTGGTTCTTCCAAGCCCTCTGGGAAATCTGCACGCTGACCTGGGGCATGCTTATCTTACACCTATTAAAAAAAAATAAAGCGAGGCCGGGCATGGTGGCTCATGCCTGCAGTCCCAGCACTTTAGGAGGCTGAGGCAGGTGGATCACTTGAGGTCAGGAGTTCGAGACCAGCCTGGCCAACATGAAGAAACCCTGTCTCTACTAAAAATACAAAAATTAGCCAAGCGTGGTGGCACGTGCCTATAGTCCAGATACTCAGGAGGCTGAGGCAGGGGAATCGCTTGAGCCTGGGAGGCACACAATGCAGTGAGCCGAGATTGCGTGGCTGCACTCCAGCCTGGGTGACAGAGTGAGACTCCGTCTCAAAAAAGAAGAAAAAATAAAGAACTACAGGTGTGCAATGTAGACATTTACTGGGAGACTTAAATAGGCTTCTGGTCTACTCTCCACTGCAGTCTTTCCTGATAGGTACAGCCGGCAGCTTCACAGCTTCATCAGGTCCACGTATAGGCTGAATGGGACAAAAGCGATGGGAACAAACTCTTGGGATCCCTCATTGGCGTTTCCTCAGGCCAAATTTTCAATGAACTTAAAATTAATTAAAAGTCAACTTTGGATGTTAGCGACTGTCTTGGGAATTCTATCAGAGAAAGAAGCCCATTCATTGTGCTTAAATCACTTGGCTTTCTGAATGAAATCTCTTTTCAGAATTTGTCGTATCAGTTCCCTCATGTCCAGTGAGAAATGCTCCTCCTCCTCCTTTCGGAAACTCCTTAAAGTGCAAGAGAACATACAGGGAGGGAAAAATCCTTTACTAGATCAAGTTCGCCCTCTGACCATCTGTATACACTTTGATTTAAAGGGAATCAGATAGAGGGGGTAGGTGGAGGTGTAAAGACAGGAATAGAAAGAGATCTGTGAATACATTCAACATGTGTGCTTGTTTTAGCTACTCAGGTGGAAACCACTAAGTATAAGCATGCTAAAGCCTTCAGTTTCTACTGTAGTGTTTATGCTCTTCAGTTTATATAACCCTTAACACATTGAAATTTGAGTTTTTAAGATGATGTCTCATTTGGTTAACAGTAGCCCTCAAACAAACATACACACACATGCACAGAACATACACAAACACATGGATGACACACACATGCACAGACACACATATACAATTCTGTGCTTCACAGAAATCCATTCTTCAGTCTTATAATAGGGTAATTTAAGGCAAATTATGTGACTGACAGATTGGTCCATCTGTAATGTCAACACTGATAATGCAAATATAGTAGGGATTTTAGACCTGTAAGCTTTTTCTTTTATTGTTAACGGAAAATTAATCAAATGACAGCTGAATCTGTTTCCATTCAGCCTTGTGAAACAGTGTTATTAATGTTGGGATCTGTTTATCTTCACTGTCAATCCTGGTTACAATTATTATGTTGTTAAGATAAGAAACCTTTACATTTACAGTACGTTCCTCGTTCTTCTTTTATAATCACTCCCATTACAGACACAACTATCCACTTCTGATGTAATAATTATCTTTTTAACTGTGTAATCTCTAGGACAACACTCATTAACATGCACCACGCTGACCTCATTGTGTGTGAGCCACCAAGAAGCATCCGGGGCTGCTTGGCAGTCAGGGGGCAGTAGCCAGTTTTGCCACCCTAAATGTGCTAGGAAAAAAATATTAATATATTGCTTCCTCTTTCCATAAGGAAAATTTTTGCCTTTCTTTCCTTTGTAAACAAATGCAATTTCTCATTGCCACCATCATAAATCTAAGGAGAGAAAGTAGCCTTAAATCCATACCTGGATAATGGCTCCACATAGGACATGTTCTCCGATCTGACTTACAGCTCTTTTCCATGTTTGTGAAGACAAACTAGCATCTCCAATCAAATTAAGTTTTCTGAACCTGCAGGCACTAGTCATGTTTGGACCATTCCCCACACAGGGAACCATATTTTCAGCCCCATGGCAACTTCAGCAACAGTCTCTGGTAACATAGACTGACAACTATAGGCATTATAAACAGTGTGCAAGTAATATCAAAGGATAAGTGAGAAACTGGATGTTTTGGGAGAACCACCTGCAATGTCAGATGATTCCTAACAATGTGATTGTGATCATTTGACGCTGAACGGCTCAGAAACTACGTAAGTTGACTCTATACTGTTCTTTTTCATATGTACCTTGTATGTATGTTTCTAGCTATTGAACTTTTAATAGCCACTGGTATTTTTATGCTTTTAAATTTTTATTAATTAAATAAAAAGCAAATGCAACTTTGAAGTCTCCTGATTTTCTGCTACCCTGAAAACATATTCTGACTTTTCAGATCAGGTGATTACTTTCAATTATGATCAAACGCCCTCATATTTCTGATAAGTGAGTCTGTACTAGGAAAGAAGAAGGAAAGAAAGCATATGATTTCTGAGAATGAGACTTTCCCACTAAGGTAATTTTGCATATGGAAACTGCCCAGCTTTAGCTCCTTTTACTAAAATTTTATAGCAGTTGCACTCAAATCATCTCTATTCATTTATTTGTTCAACACTTGACAAACATTTACTGAATGCTAATACTCTGTGCTGAACACTGCACTGGACAATAAACTTATGTAGACAAAAGACAATCCCTACCTTCAAAGACATGGCAGTCTAATGATGAAGACAGGTAAGTGATTACCACAATGTGGGGTACTAGTATGACAGGGGTAGCCCCAGGGTGCTTTATGAGCACTCAGACTAGGGCAGGAAGGAAATAAGGATGGTTTCCTTGGAGAAATGAAGCTAAGGATTTTAGAGTACAAAGATATCTTAAACATCTTGTAATTCAACCTTCCTTCTATAGACTATGGAAATTCCTTCTACAAAACATAGGACCAAAATTTCATCCTGTTTCTGCTTGGCTTGTTCATAGATGAATCGCTCACTGCTCTGCAAGTCCATTCGTCGCACTGTTTGGAGGCCTCATTGTTAATAATTTATTTCTTGGGATAAGTCAAAATTGTTTCTCCTTGTAACTTCTATCTATCACCACCCTGCTACCTTTCACCACAGAAAATAATTAAATCCCTCTTTCCTTTTTCAATGTGTCCTATATTTAAAGACAGTAATCATATCCTCCCTATTTTTTTCTTTGGATTTAAATATTCCCAGTTTCTTGTAATGTTCTTCAAATGAGAGAATTTACAAGTCACCGTAATTGTCAAAGTCCTTCACTTTGCACTTCTGCAGTTATAATTGGGAGACTGTATTTCTACTAAGTCAGCCTACCATTGCATTTAATGTTTGTTACTTGATTGAGAGGCTCTCACTCTTTCCGTATTCCAGCAGCTTTAGAGCCAAACCACTTTTTTTTCTTGCAACTGCCCCCTAAATCTTCTCTTCTTACTACACACTCTCTCTTAAAGGCATCAACATACTTTCAGGCACCTAGACTTGAAAACTTAAAAGTCCTCATGTGGGTATTTATTATATCTCAGTTGGACTAATTAAATGGCTGCCAACTGGTCTTTCTGCCTTAAATCTCTCTCTGCTATAATCCATTCTTCAGCTGCCACCAAAGTAATCTTCATAAGGAAGGCTCTGATCATGTCACTCCAAGCTGATATATATGCTCTATCTTCTTAGACTTCCCCTGCACTTCTCATGGAAATTTTTTTAACCAAATATATATTTTTACTTACCACATTCTATTCGTAATCCTATTATATACCATGTGGGTAATACCTGTGTGATTATATTTACAACCTTGTTTAACACTTCAAGTTCACTTTGTTTATTACTTATATTCTGTGTATTGATATATAATTATCCAGGGTCATAAGTATTGGTTTTTACTCTCAATCTTTTTTCCTCCCATTACTGGACATTTTTTCTAGTATGATTTTTCTTCAAAGGCCACAACTGTTGTTCTCCATAGTAACAAGGAAAAATATGTATATTGTAAGAGAAATACAAATAAAGCGCTATGGAAGATTCAGAGTGAAAGAGATTGCCTCCAGCTTGGGGCCAAGACAGACAGGAGGAGACCCAGGAAAATCGTCATGAAAGAGTCAGAATTTGAGTTGAGCCATGAAGGATGGATAGGGTTTTGGGACTGGGTTACAGAAAGCGCATTATTGGTTTTGGAATTTGCAAAAGAAAATAAATGGGGAGTGGGCAAAGAATTTTGATAGGTCTCATTGCCAAGAACATAAAGTACAATGAGAAAAGAGAGATAAGGCCCTAAGAGGAAAAGAGGCATCAGATCACAATGTAGTTGAATATCAGATGGAGGCATTTGATGCCATTAAAATAACAAATTTTCTTTTTTTTTGAGACGAAGTCTCGCTCTGTCACCCAGGCTGGAGTGCAGTGGCACAATCTTGGCTCACTGCAACCTCCGCCTCCTGGGTTCAAGCAACTCTCCTGCCTCAGCCTCCCTAGTAGCTGGGATTGCAGGCATGCACTACCACACCTGGCTAATTTTTGTATTTTTATTAGAGACAGGGTTTTGCCATGTTGGCCAGGCTGGTCCCAAACTCCTGACCTCAGGTGATCTGCTTTCCTTGGCCTCCCAAAATGCTGGGATTACAGGCATAACCCACTGCACCCGGCCACAAATTTCCAATTTAGAGTGATCAAAATTCCATTTGTGCCTCCAATGCAAGCTTTGGATTGCCTATCTTTTCAAGGCCACTAAAGATATATACGACGGGCCAGGCACAGTGGCTCACACCTGTAATCCTAGCCCTTTGGAAGCCAAGGCAGGAGGATCCCTTGAGGCCAGGAGTTCCAGACCAGCCTGGGCAACATAGCAAGACCTCATCTATACCAAAAAAAAAAAAAAAAGAAAAATGCTGGATGTGATGGTGCATGCCTGTGGTCCTAGCTACTTGGGAGGCTGAGACAGGAGGATGGCTTGAGCCCAGGAATTCAAGGCTACAGTGAGCTATGATTGCACCACTGCACTCCAGCCTGGTGACAGAGCAAGACCCTGTCTCTAAAAACAAAAAAGAGTTTTTAAATTTAAAAATATATATAAATACTAGGTGTGGGTTTAAATTGTGTCATGTGTTCCCATTTGAATCAGTTGAAATATGTAGAGGTTAGTAGGTTTGATGACCCTTGCCACATATCACTGTATAATACAGGAAGATGGAGACACTTCCCAATTTGCCATCACATGATGACTTTAGGCACAGATGCCTTTGTACTATTCAGTGCGGTGTCACTGATCATCATAATGTGTCTCTTCCTCCTGGGGACAGCTACAGAATTTCTCCCAATTGCTAAGACTTGTACATAGCCTTTAAGATTCCTCTGAGTATGCTCTCTGCATCCTCTTCTGAGAATCTCTGGGTTCACCCTTCAAAGAAAGAATCTCTTACCTGTTGCATGGCTCTAATGCTGCCAAGTTTCTCCTCCTCCTCCTGTTCCTTGTCCCCTATATTATATTTCTTCACTACATAACTCCTGCCACTGACTTTTTGCCATTTCAGTGTATGTGATATTTTTTTCCATCTGACTTCTATCTAGTCAACCTGAGCACTCTAACCTCTCCAAAAAGGTAGTTGAGTTTCTTTGCCCTAGAACATGGATTTTTAACCTAAAGTTCACAGGGGCAGCCCCCAACACATACATATCCAAGGTGTTTGTGCATAGAATTCTGGGGGTCCATGAAATTGGATGGAAAAAAGTCTATAATTTCATTAACTTCTTATGGAAATTGAGCATTTTCTTCCATTTTGAATATAGGTAACAAACTATTGCACTTTTTTTGTTTTGAGACAGGGTCTCTGTCTGTAGCCCAGGCTGGAGTGCAATGGCGCAATCTCGGCTCACTGCAATCTCCACCTCCCGGGTTCAAGCAATTCTCCTGCCTCAGCCTCCTGAGTAGCTGGGATTACAGGCGCCCGCCACCACGCCTGGCTAATTTTTGTACTTTTAGTAGAGACAGGGTTTTACCATGTTGGCCAGGCTGGTCTTGAATTCCTGACCTCAGGTGATCTGCCCACCTCGGCCTCCCAAAGTGCTGGGATTACAGGCATGAGCCACCACACCTGGCCTTTTTTTTTTTTTTTTTTTTTTTTGAGATGGCGTCTCACTCAGTCACCCAGGCTGGAGTGCACTGGCATGATCTCAGCTCACTGCAACCTCTGCCTACCAGGTTCAAGCGATTCTCGTGCCTCAGCTTCCCAAGTAGCTGGGATTGTGGGCACGCGCCACCATACCCAGCTAATTTTTTGTATTTTTAGTAGAGACAGGGTTTTATCATGTTGACCAGGCTGGTCTTGAACTCCTGACCTCAGGCAATCCACCTGCCTCAGCCTCCCAAAGTGCTAGGATTACAGGTGTGAGCCACCACACCCAGCCAGCTGTTGTAAAAATTAAATGAAGTTTTATATCTATGTAATTAGCACAGTGTCTGTTAAATAGTAAGCATTCAATAGATAAATAATAGCTATTATTAATGATAATTATAGTTCATTATTATAGTTGATAATACTATTAGGTTCGTGCAAAAGTAATTGCGGTTTTTGTTGTTACTTTTAATGGCAAAAACCACAATTACTTTTATATTAAATAACAACTATGAGTCTATGTGACTTCCTCCTCAACTCTGTCAAAATTTTTTTTTTTTTTTTTTAAGAGACAGGCTCTCACTCTGTCGCCCAGACAGGAGAGCAGTGGCTCCATTATAAGCTCACTGCAGCCTCAAACTCCTGGGCTTAAGTGATCCTCCCACCTCAGACTCCTAAGTAGCTGGGACTGCAGGTGTGCATCACCACACCAGCTAATTTTGTTGTAGTAGAGACAAGGTCTCACTATATTGCCCAGGCTGGTTGGAAACTCCTGGCCTCAAGAGATCCTCCCAGTTTGGCCTCCCAAAGTGCTAAGGATTACAGTTATGAGCCCCTGCACCTGGCCTAAGAAATGTTTTCTAATAGACTTTTTTCTTTAGAGCAGTTTTCAATTCATAGCAAAATAGAGCAGATAGAGATTTACCTCGAGATATGTTTTTTTTGTCTAAAAACATTCATCATTAAAAGTATTCTGCAAAATAATGCTAATGAGAAATTCAGTTCATTTCAATTCAACAAATATTTATTAAAGAATTATTGTGTGCTGGGCTATATACTGTGTGCAAGATGATGATGATGATTATTATTATTTTGAGACAGGGTCTCACTGTTGTCCCGGCTAGAGTACAGTGGTATAATCATGGCTCACAGCAGCCTCAACCTCTCAGGCTCAGGCGATCTTCCTACCCTGGCCTCCGAAGTAGCTAGGATCACAGGCACATCACCACCATGCATGGTAATTTTTTTTATTTTTGTAGAGTCGGGGGTCTCCCTAAGTTGCCCAGGCTTGTCTTGAACTTCTGGGCTCAAGCAGTCCTCCCACCTTGGCCTCCCAAAGTGTTGGGATTACAGGCATGAGCTACCATGCCTGGCCAGTGCTGAGATTATAAAATGGTAAGACCTGGCTTTCTGCCCTGTGTAGCTCATGGTCTAGCTGGAAAGATAATCATGTAAACAAACAGTTATGATAACTTGTAATAAGTGCTAAATATTAGTATTTGCAAAGTGCTGTGGCAACTTGGTAGACAGAAGGATTCTTTGGCCAGGCCAAGGAATGAATCGCTGGAGCTGGAAGGCCTCACAGAGATGATGCTATTTGAGCTGTCTGGAGGGATGAGTAATGGTTTATTAGGCAGAAAGAGTACAGAGAATTGCCACAGAATGCCAAGAACAACAGTGTTTCCAGAATGTAGGGTGTGGGAATATATAGAGATGAACCTGAAAGGGCATTTAACCCCTGGGCCAGGTCAGGTGTTGTAAAACTTGCTACTCAATGTGGTTCCAGGACCAGCAGCATCTGTATCACCTGGGAGATTGTTAAAAATGCAAATTCTTGGCCCCGTGAGGTGGCTCATGCCTGTAATCCCAGCACTTTGGGAGGCCAAGGTGGGTGGATCACTTGAGGTCAGGAGTTAGAGACCAGCCTGGCTAACATGGTGAAACCCCTGTCTCTATTAAAAATACAAAAATTAGCCAGGTATGGTGGCACATGTCTGTAATACAAGCCACTCAGGAGGCTGAGGCATGAAAATCACTTGAATTGAGGAGGCAAAGGTTGTAGTGAGCTGAGATCATGCCACTGTACTCCAGCCTCGGTGACAGAGCGAGACTCCATCTCAAAAAAAATTACAAATTCTTGGGCTCCACCCCTGTGTCTACTGTATCAGAATCTGTATTAGTGAAATCTCCAGGTGATTTTATATACATATTGAGGTTTGAAAAACACTGCTGTAAAACCTTAAATGCCAGGCTAAGATGTTAAGCCTTTATTCTGTGGTCCATGTGTGTTATAGATCTGGTTTCTAGAAAGTAAATCTAATAGCAGCACCAACCAACAGATTGGAAAGTGGAAAGCAGAAAGCAGGGGGCTAGATAATAGATGCTTTCCACAATACTCTATGATAAAGTTTTTACTGGCCATCTTCCCCAGGTGAAACTGGCAACCAGTCCTGGTTTCATGGCTGAGCTCTGCTAATCTGAAGAGATGGGGTGGATAGTTAATGGGGGCTTAGAGCATCATCATATCAGCCATTAACTGGAGGGGAGGCAGTTTTTCCTTGATACTGCAATTACTTGCCCCATGCCTGGAATGTTTAAACTAGATATTATCTTGTATTTTATCACTGCTATTTTAGAAAAAAAAAAGAACAAGAAGAAGAAGAAATTCTGCAAACTTCCATCTCCATTAATATAAGAACTAGTTTGTTAGGCTAGGCACGATGGTTCATACCTGTAATCCCAGCACTTTGGGAGGCCGAGGCGGGAGGATTACTTGAGCCCAGGAGTTTGAGACCAGCCTGGGCAACATGGTGAAACCCTGTCTCTACAAAAAAATTTAAAAATTAGCCAGGTGTGGTGGTGCATGCCTGTAGTCCCAGCTACTCGAGAGGCTGAGGCAGGAGGATCATTTGAGCTCAGGAGGTTGAGGCTGCAGTGAGTCATGTTCACAACACCGCACTCTAGCCTGGGTGATACAGAGAGATCTTGTCTCAAAAAAAAAAAAAAAGAATTAATTTATTAGATGTTTGATGTAAATTTCAATGGCCTAATGAACTAGTAGCACTTAAAACTAGTAAGTTTTACTAATAGTGACAATTCAAAATATATTAACTTTCATTTCTTAGCAGAATACCTGTTCTTCTAAAATTAAAGAGTATTTATTATCTTCAAGAAAATCTCCCTTCTTGACCAACATTGCATCCTAATGTATACCTGTGATTCTTTCTTTATTGTTGGTGTAGCCAGCAGAGTGATGTCTTAGAAGTATCCATAACCCCATATTTTATAGCAGAAATATATCGGAAGGAGCCCCACAGCAGTTCAGCCAATGGACACACCTATCCACTCTTCCTACCTGACTATGGACAAGTGGGAGAATTAGAGCTTAGTTACTAAACCAAGTTCTAAATATACCATCACCACCACTCTCTCTCTCGTTCTCTCTCTCTCTCTCTCTCACACACACACACACACACACATCTTTCTTCAGAAATTTCTCCATTGGTGTCATCTGTGAACAAGGCTAGCCCCATAGCAGATGCAGAAGAAATGAGGACATACATACTAAATTAGGAAAAAAGACAAAAATATAATTTCACTTTATTATTAAAGCAAATACAAATGTGTATAGAAAACCACCTTGTAACTTGATTTGAACATTAAGTCCCTTGTTACATAACAATGTATTGGAAGCATGTAGGGAGCATGGCCTGTTGACAGGGTTCAGGAATGTCACTACAGATTGTATCACTTGAGAAAGATTTGGGAACAGTCTAGGCACTCCCTCTCCGAAAGAGCTATGGAAGCTAGACAAAGCTCTCTAATGCTAGTAGCATGCCAGGTTTTCTAAGAGATGTATTTTCACTTTTTTTGTTTTCCTAGTGGGATTATTACTAGTAGGATCTACTAGGATTACTACTACATCATAGAAAAACAAAAACAAAATCAAACCCTGTACTATTTTTCTCAAAATCAAATAGTTTCTAAGTTTAACTAGCAGGTTAGAACTTTGGCATTTACCTGGCATATCCCTTACTACTTATAATACCATGTTTTCTCCTAGTTTGATTTTTTTTTTTTTTTTTTTGAGATGGAGTCTTGCTCTGTTGCCCGGCTAGAGTGCAGCGGCGTGATCTCAGCTCACTGCAACCTCCGCCTCCCAGGTTCAAGCGATTCTCCTGCCTCTGCCTCCCAAGTAGCTGAGATTACAGGCATGCACCACCATGCCTGGCTACTTTTTGAACTTTTATTAGAGACAGAGTTTTACCACATTGGCCAGGCTGGTCTCGAACTCCTGACCTCAGTCTCCCAAAGTGCTGGCATTTGGTGCCCAGCTTCTAGTTTGAACTTTTAGTAAAACTCACCATACAGATTAGTTTAAACATATTCAATATTTTACTAAGTCAGCTCACTTCCAGTGAATCAAGGGTCTAACAATGACTACTGAGGTTTAAATTGGGACATAAGAATAGTACTTTTTCCAATTAACTTTCTAAGTAGAACAAAGCCATTAGCCACTCTGCTCCTGTCCTTATCTCCCTTGTCTTGGTGACCAGGGGAAATGCCAAACATCCTCTGGTCCTGACAAAGACAGAGTGGGAGAAAGGTGATGAGCTACGGATGGACTGGCAAGTCCATGCCAGCTGTAAAAAGGGAAATTTTAAAGCCACAGCAGTCTTTTTGAGAACCCATTGATGCTAGGCACCACAAGAAGGAAACCTGCATTGGCAGATTTTGTTATTTTTTTAACTTGACCCTGACAATACCTGCTGGGTTACCTGCACTTTCTGCCAAAGACGTGTCAAATGAGGGAGGAAGTTTGCACACCTGGTGAATTAAACCTTACAATACCATTTGGAGAGATGAAAGAGAGAGACAGGCAACTACAGAAAAGAACAGAGCCAAGAAATAGAAACTAGGAGGGAGGAGGAAGAGTAAAGAGACAAACAATTTGAAGGAATTCTTCTATGATATTTTCCAAGATCACATTACACCACAGGGACAGTAATAATTAAGTATTATAGTAGCCCCAGAGTGGGACAATTCACTACTCTGGGTTTGAGTTTTTGTACCTGGAACTCAAAAGCAAACTGCATCAGCCACTATGTCTATCTTAGATTTTGATGACCTGTTTGGCTGGGCTGCTTCTCTATGGCGTTTCCAAATGCATATAATTAAACATTAAGTGGTCTCTTAATGGACTGTCTTTTCCAAAAGGGCCTTTGTTTAATTTACAATCACCATGTCCGTAGAAAACACTAAGTAATTGCTTTTGCCCATTCCAGTGACATTTTGGCCATTCCTTTAACAGCCCTGTTTTTCTTTCTTTCTTTCTTTCTTTCTTTTTTAATCAGGAGTCATTTGAGGCAATTGGAGAGGGTGAAGGAGTGGGTAGTTTCAAAGACATTTAGCCAAAGCCAAGCTTGTTAGCAGCAACTGTCACACAACAGGGCCAGGACACATGACACCATATGGAGCTTCAGCAGCCACAGACACCAAGACCCACATGTGTTCTCAGTGCGGAGCACCTTGTGTGCACCAACCTCCTTCCACACATCTGGGACACCCAGAGAGAAACAGAGACTTGGGTAAGGAGTAGCACACACTGTGCTTCCTTCTCTCCATTAGAAGCTGAATTCTATTCAAATGTATCTTGAAAAATAAGTGTTATTATTCATTAGAGTGCTGACCAACATGAAGCTTCTGGTATTATTTCCATTTCCATACACCTTTAAACCCACTGCTGTTTCCTTTGGACTCAGAAGTTTCTGGCTCCTGTAATCACCACCCATCATTATGTTCTCCCTTAACAACAGATGTGAATTCCAGGGAAGCTGAAACCTTGCGTGTTCTAGACATTGAATGGTGTGTGGTACAGAGAAGACCCTCAAATATTTGCTGAATGAATAGATACATCTTTATCATGGCCTAATTTTCCTAAATTCCAAAGAAAGTTTAAGTGGAAACTTAATTTTGAGTATGTCTGACACCTGAGAACCCTTTCCTGTAGCCATTCTAACATACACTTTAATGTCTCTAAGGCCAGAAAAACATGATTTTTTAACTCATGTAATTGTGAGTAATGCAGTTAGTGTCTGCTGTTTGCAGAAATTTACAGAAGACACGAGAAGTTAGCATGTGTTTGGTTATTCTTTTCAATCTCCTGAGGAGGTCAAAGCTGAAGTATATCTTCAAGGTAAATGCTGACTCTTAAGTAACTACATTTCCCATGTAACAAGTGCAAATCCACATGAACCTACAGAAATCCCTTTGGCAATAACATCATTAATGACACAGCTGTCAAGAGAATTTTAAAAATAAGTTTTTAAGAAGCATACTGTTAGATAAAATGTAGATAGAAACTCACACCTAACAGGTCATTTAATAGTAAGCCCAAACCTCTGTTAATGCTGGACAGTTCCCCATGGCTTACTTCCAAGAGTTCTTCCTTCCCTAGTTTTGAATGTTCTAAACTGAAGTTTCTGTCACTTGGCCTTGAGGGACTCTTCTGTAGCTTGTGAGAGGTCATCACTGAGAGATTTCTTGTTTTCATCTCTTTACTCCAAATTAGCCCCTTGGATGACCCTGGACAATTCTTCTGCCTGCCTGGTGGGTGGTGCCTTTTTAGACACTTGTAGGTGGTTATCAGGTCCTTGCTCCATTGCAAACATCACAAAAAAGATCTTGCCTCCTGCTTGTGCCCTGGGACACGTTTTGATTTTGCAATCTCAAACAAATTGCTTGTTTGCACGGACCTGTGTGCTGAAGAACTGCTGAAGCTGGCAACTAAAGAAAGCTTTGCTTTTGGCAAATGTGGTCCATTTTGCCTATTCAGAATTTCTTGAGATATTAGCCCCTCTAGCCACTTACTCATTTTCTCTGTAATTCCTTAGAGAGCTGAATTGCCATCTTCAGTAAATTCATTTGAACAAATTCACTACCCTGTTCTCTTCTCCTTCTGCCATTATCCATACTAGTTGATTTGCATAAAGTCTTTTTTATTCCCAATTATTTTCTTACTTCATTTATAAACCAAGAGCCCATTTACAAGTCTTCATTACTTTATTACTAAACTGCTTTACACCACTTTTCTTATTAAATGCCAATATTTAGGGAGGAAAGTATGAAATGTGTTGGCAGCTCTGTTTGAGCCACATTTAAAAGGAAATTAAGACCATGTTTCACAGTGTTTTTATAGATGAGAAGGGTAATAAACATTGCCCACAGGCTGAATTAACCTACGTTCTTTGGTAATAAACATGCCAGTATCATTCTCAATTAAAGAACAGGTTGTTGTTCAGAGTGCTTGAACTAGAGCTACTTGCAGTGATGGAGAAATACTTTAAATCTTAGATGGAGAGGACTAAAGTGTGATCTAAAGACAGTGGGGTGGTTTGTTTGTTACAACTTGACCCCCTTGTAAAATTTGTCTTTGTTCTTACTTTGTTCTTACTTCCTTTTTTCCTAATATATTTGCAGATTTCTAAATTCTTATGGTTTCTTTGACTGTTCAAAAAAAGATACAGAATAGATGTGACAAAGACAAATACAATACAAAATGAATTTAGCCATGCAGTTATGCTACATATGTAGCTTGATATGTGGTATATAATATTATATCATCTCTCTTCTTGAATTCTTCCTACCATATCAGTGTTCCTGTCCTTTTAGTAAAATGAAAGAGTCAGCATTAGTTCATCAAGATTTCTGCTCTGACTCAGTGTAGCTGGCTAGAAACTGACTACAGTGAGAATGACAATAACAAAGGTATCTCTAGCAGGCAACATGAATTGAGCACTTACAACCTGCCAGACACTTAATCCTCACAACAATCTGGAAACTAGAAAGTGTTATTTTTCCTATGTTGTAGACAAAGATCCTCAGGCTCAGAGTGCTTAAATAATCTTCATGTGGACACATCTACCATGTTGTAAAGAACCTTGGATTTAAAACCAGACAATCCAACACTAGAGGCTGAATGCTTAAACACTGTCCTTAACTGCTCCCCTGGTGAAACTAGAGGCCAATATTTTAAATAATTTTTTTAAAGTACCAATTTACATCTTTTTTTTTTTTTGAGACAGGGTCTTGCTGTGTCACCTAGGCTAGAGTGCAGTGGCACGATCTGGGCTCACTGCAGCCTTGACTGCCTGGGCTTAAGTGATCTTCCCACCTCAGCCTCCTGAGTAGGTGGGACCACAGGCGTGCATCACCATGCCCAGCTAATTTTTAAAATGATCTGTAGAGACAAGGTCTTGTTATGTTGCTCAGACCAGTCTTGAACTCCTGGGCTCAAGCAATCCACCTACCTTGGCTTCTAAAAGTGCCAGGATTACAGATGTAAGCCACTGGGCCCAGCCCTAATTTACATGTTTTAAAGCACCTGGAAATCTTATCTTCTTATTAAATACTGTTGTATGAGGGTTTCTATAATGTTGAGAGCCTAGAGATATAGACCAAAACAACATTCAATTTGTATATGAGGTTGGGATAAAATAAACCAAGGCTCAGGAAAAGCTCAAGATATTCAGGAAAGATAAGCAGGATGAGCCCAGATTGCACTTCTATAAGGGAAGGTACAGACTTCTATTGGCACCATACCTACTAAGTTATCAATGAAACACACAGGTGTAAAGGTTCCAGAACTAAAATGAAAACTGGCCTCTGGAAAGTGGTAAATTTGCCAATTTGGACATATCTTGGAAAGGCTAAGTAAATCACCTTGTCCAGTGCCCTGCTTATTAGTTAAGATATATGCAAATCATTTCAGTATGGGGGATCAATCATATCACCATCATCACTATCATCATCATCATCATCATATCACCATCATCACCATCATCATCATCATATCACCATCATCATCATCATCATCATCATCCTCATGAAGACATGGCAGCACTAGGCCAAAAGAACAGAGGCCTAGTCTCCTCTCCTTCTAGGCTCCGGGCTCTAGCCAGACCACCTCTCATGGAGCAGATACTAAGGAAAGACAGTTCTGAAATTGTAATCCCTTCCAAATACTCTAACCATGGTAGTTTACCTCTTATCTAACCAGGCAAATGCTGTGACTCTCTTTATGCTGTTTGAAGCTTATATCAGCAAGACACTGGAGCCAAAGCCAGTCTTAAGCAGTGACAATACTTCAATGTTTATTCCATGCCCTATTTCCTCACAATCACTTAGACAATCATACAGCGTTACAAAATGCACCACGTTATCAGTCAATCAGTGACTTTTTATCATAAGGAGTGTTCCTTTACCAATTGTATACAGTGCACCCATACTGTGGCTACTCTGTTTTCCCATTAGTAATTATAGCTTGTGTTTATTGAGTGTATTATTTTTGGGAGAAGATACCAAACAATGGGGTAGGGTTTGCAAATACCAGTTAAT
Organism: Homo sapiens; assembly: GCF_000001405.40. Lineage (NCBI taxonomy): Eukaryota > Metazoa > Chordata > Mammalia > Primates > Hominidae > Homo > Homo sapiens. The sequence goes on from NC_000014.9 coordinate 56,790,705, forward strand.
TAAAAAGGTAGGGCAGCAAACAAAGAATCTAGGAATGAAGTTATTGAACAACATAGTGGGATGTCTTTGTGACATCGTTTGCTGAAGGCTAAAATTCTATATATGACAACTTGGTCTTTGATCCTATCCAAAAGAATGTTTTGCCCATTTTTTTTTTTTACTTTTAACATCAATAACCAACTTCCAACACATGAATCTTAAAAAATGTATTGTTAAATTGACACCTCTTCAATTTTTATCTGTCAATCCTCTCTAGAGCAATCTAGCAAAATCAAATCTAATCATTTAAACTATGATATTGGGGTAGCAAGGGCAGAATAATTCCACCAGGCAGTAAAAGCACATTTCTATAACTTCAGGCTAGAGCTAAATGCCCTGGGATATGAGGCTAAAATTGTTCACTCTACGTATTTGAAAAGTGCAAATAGTATCAGTTCCCCTGCAGGCCACTTAGCCTCCTTTCCCTGCAGGCACCAAAACACAGGACAGTTTTTGTTCACTAGTACTCCCCTTTCCTTAATTCTCCACTGTTCTCCCCACTTTCCCCTGCCCCTTCTTGCCCTGAACTGATGCTAAATGAGCATATGATCTGTACTGACCCTGCCGGTTGCAAAAATAAAGCTGTTTTCAAAACAATAAAACCAATTCTAGATAGGACTTTGCATTTTATTTTTTAAGATGTATTTTCCCTGTACTGTTTGGCAAAAACATCTACTTCCACAGGCTTTTTCTAGTCATAGTCACAGTGATCTCCTTCACAGTTTATTGGGCAGGGAACACACACAGTTACCTTTCTAACCCTTCTAATTTGTGTTGGATTCTAAGCTCCCACATCTTGGCCCTCGGGCATTTTCCTTGATAAAGCCCTCCTACCTTACAGTCCAAGGAAGACCAAAGACTTTGGATATGAAATTTTTAAAGTAACCACTGAAGAAGAGGCTTCAATTGTATTGGCCCAACTGGCAATCTATGGAAGGCCACATGAATTGCTTAGAGATAATACTCTCGCCTTTCACCTTGCAGTCACCAGTTTGAATCAAGCAGAGATTAACAGTGTCCAAGGGTTGTTATCATCTGGTGATGCCTTGGGAGCTGATATGAAATAAATTACTAGTATCTTGCATCTACTTACCGGAGGTCACCCAGTTCAGACTATTTTGGGGACCAGATCCAAATCTTAGCTACAATGGTTACTCTAAATGGAAGCCTCTGCACAAGGATCAAATGCTAAATAAACGCATAGATTATGCTACCTCTTGCACTAATGGAAGATATCCTCCCAGACAAGGGTGGAAGCCAGGGAGTGATGGGTGGGAGCAATGGGCAAAATGTGTGTATTCTGAACAACAGGCTTCTGAATATTTAGTTAAAATTCTACCCTGTCTCTCTTAAAGGTGATTTTACCATCTGATCTTGATTTCCTCACCTGATGGTACAGCCATGCTCTCCTTCTGACTCAGAGCTCTCACCTCTTTTACCTATTGTTTCATCCACGTTTTTTTTTTTTTTTTTTTTTTTTTTAAATGCGGTCTTGTTCTGTTGCCCAGGCTGGAGTGCAGTCATGTGATCTTGGCTCACTGCAACCTCCACTTCCTGCGTTCAAGAGATTCTCCTGCCTCAGCTTCCTGAGTAGGTGGGATTACAGGCACGCACCACCACACCCAGCTAATTTTTGTATTTTTAGTAAAGATGGGATTTCCCCATGTTGACCAGGCTGGTCTCAAACTCCTGGACTCAAATGCTGCCTGCCTCGACCTCCCGAAGTGCTGGGATTACAGGTGTAAGCCACCGCGCCCAGCCAATAAATTTTCTTAAGCTTTTAATTAGAGCCAGGTAATTGCTTTTGTTGTTATTTTGGCTAAAGAGGGTTTTTAGTCTGAATCATTAAAATACTTGTTTAAATTTTCTACATTGCATTTCATGTGTAGATACTGTTCAAAATCATTCTTGTTTAGTTCTTTTACTAATTTTAAATTTGTCATACATAAACAGCTTCTTTAAAAATAATTCAAATTAGGTCTCATTGGGTAAAATTTAGAAATAAAAGTCTCTGGGGATTAATTTATTTAAATGAAATCAAAGTCTCAAAAAGTATAGGGTAGATTTACATTTTATGGGGCTGCCATCTTTCACAGTTTTTGTTTTTTTGTCTTGTTTTGTTTTTGAGACAAGGTCTCTGTTGCTCAAGCTGGAGTGCAGTGGCACCATCTTGGCTCACTGCAGCCTCCAACTCCTGGGCTCAAGCCATCCTCCAGCCTCAGCCTCTTGAGTAGGTGGGACTACAGGTGCTGCGTCACCACACGAAGCCAGTTTTTTATAGAGACCAGTTTTGCCATGTTGCTCAGGCTGGTCTCCAACTCCTGGGCTCAAGCCATCCTCCCGCCTCAGCCTCTCAAAGTGCTGGGATCACAGGCGTGAGCCCCCACGCCTGGCTCTTTTCCAGTTGTCACCAAGAACTACAAAGTTGCTATCTCCAAGTTCACCCAACATAAGTATCATAAAGACAATGGCTCTTAATTCTGGGTTGTTACCAGTCTCTTTGTGAATTTGATGAAAACTGTGGATCTTCTGCCTGGGAAGACTACACTGCAGAAATAGAGAAAACAATTTTTTTCCATACAATTGAAAGAATTCACCCATCCTATAGAACCTATTCATGGACAACTATCTTCAAAGGACGCCTGAACCACAGGTTAAGAATCTCTGAAAAAATATCAACTCAAGGATCTTGTGTTAAAAATGTGTACATAATCCACATTCTTATCAATACATATGAAGGAAAAAAGGAGACAAAACAAGGTGCCTGCCCAAAATGGGCAGGAATCAAGCGTAGTGGTTTAATCAGCTAAAATCATCGGTGAAAATGAAGATGGTGAATGCATGTTTCTCCCAAGTTTTCCACTTCTCCCCACCTTAAAATCAGAGGGCAGGAGTGAACGGACTGTTTTAAGACTAAATGAAAGCTATGTTTTTGGTTAAAGGTAATTAACAAATAGACTGAGAGCTTGTTAGCTTTCTAAAGCTTCAAGTGGTCAAATTAGACTAGAATTAAAAATAGAACCAATTTAATCAGCAAGAAGAGCAGTTGAAAGATGCATTTCAATTAGACTTGCATCAATTTAAATGTAAAAATAATGTGATTCCTCTATCCAAAATTGCCCAATTTCATCTTAGACTTCAATTTAAATACCTATTTGTTACATATATTTTATATCTATATATGTTTCTTTTTTATTTCTGCCCATATATCTGCCTCTCAAAAAAATTCCCTAGCATTAAGCAATAGCAATAAGGTTGGTTGGAAATCTCGAACCAAATGTAACTCAAAGGTCATGAAACTAACTCGGATTAGTGGCCATGAAGGACTTGCGGGGGTGGGGTGGGGTGTGAAGTGAGCTTTATGTGTGCAACCGTAGTGTTCAAAAGCTCTAACTCAAAATTCATTTTAGGCCAATTCGTTAAACCAGCCGTCTAAACGGGCCCTGGCACTGGGTATCCGACCGCTCCACGCGCCAGCTGGTGAGGCCTGGAGTTGGAACCGGAAGCCGTCTCCAGCCGGCCTCCTAGGCCCTAGGTGCCCGGGTGGGCACACTTCCGCGAGGGCCCGGGGACAGCGCCGGCCAAGTCTTGCGGGCAACTGCACACTCGGTTCCGGGAGGCAGGTACTCCAGGTCGGGAGCCCTGAGGCCAAGCCTGTCTCAGTTCCCACGTCAAGAGGAAGCCTGGGCTTCGGAGCCCACCCTGCCTGGGGCCGCGGTCCCGGAGCGCGGCGGGAAGAACGCCCACGTCACCTCCCGGTGTTGTTACACCCACAATCACCACACTCTGACCCCCGCAAAGACCACAGAGGAGTAGGAAGAGGGCTGCCCTCGTACTCCCCAAGCCACCCCCGCCTCTGAGCGCGGAGGCACGATGTTCTGGGGCTCGAGCCTTCGCATCCACCGGGCCAGCGCTAACCACCGGCCGCCGCCCTGGAGGGGACCCGGCGGCCCCGCCACGTGCGGCTGCGAGTTTCAGACCCGCTTCCGGGGGGCGGCGGCCGTCGGAGGCCTGGGTTGGGGGGTCGTGAGCCGGATGTTCCCCGCAGCTGGCCAGAAAGCTGCCTCTGAGCCTCTTGAGCAACTCCCTGCCTCCTCCGGTAGTCTCTCTGGACTCTCCAAGTGACTTGCTGGGGGCACCGGGCGCGGGGAGGGCAGGCCCCCGGGGTGACGCAGGTGTGTACTTTACAGCCAGAGAAGGCCTAGCTTTCAGGGACATTGGCTTAGTTTGTTGGGTGAGACGTGGGGGTGGAGAATGGGAGCACTGTCTCTTTGCCAAATTTTCCAGAGAAACCCCGGGACTAGCTCTGTCCCTGGTGCCCCGGCTACTGCCAGCGGGTCCTTAGCGCTGTCGATTGCGCGCACCGGAGCCCGAAGTCTTCCCCACCGCTGGCAGGAGAGCCCCGCGAGCTCTCCCGGACGTGTCGGGTCCTAAAGGGGAGAGCTGAGCAGCCACTTCAGGGATTGCACTCCGAGGTGGCCGAGGCAGGGAGGAGCGCTGGCCCCGCGAAGGAGGCCTCAACCTTAGGACAACCCGGGCGTCCCGGGCGAAGGTCTCGATCTGCCGGAGCCACTGCCTTTCAGGCATCGCTCCATTAAAGCCAGGGAGGAGAGGGTCATTGGCCAGCGACCCGCCCTCCTTACGTCCGGAGGTCACCCCACGCCTACAGGCAGGTTTTTCTGTCTCCTTTGCAGAACACTATGCGTTTGTTACAACGATTAAATGAAGAACACAGAAGTCTCTGGCTCTGCCGGGCAGAACGCCTCTTAAGAGTATCGCAGCTAAAAAGTGGGTTGGCTGTAAGCTGATAATCAGGTAGCTGTGGTCAGACACCCACTCCAGAACCTCTGCTACTCAGAGACCATGTTATCACACGCGACGTCCATTAGGCCCCAGTAATCCGCTATCAACGCATTTTAGAGCCATTTGAATGTTAAGGAGATTTTTATTAATGGTCCATGATCCTAAAATGTGACTATTGGTTCTAGGAACAGATTTTAACAACTCAAGGCTGTGATGAGTGATTTTCTGATTTCTGTGCAGCCTAAGGCCTCAGGAGATTTCATCTGGGAGATTGGGGGCAAGACCTAAGCCCTCACCCCACCAAGGACCTGTCTCTAAAGGGTACTTTCCAGCTTTTACCTGGGGAAACTGAGATAGAGGGGGAGCAGGCCTGTGGCTCCTAAAGGCAGCATTTGAAGGTCCTTTAATGGGGAGACCAGGGGGACAAAAAAAGCAATCAACAATTGTATGGCTACTAGAAACTGGCATCTTATTTTTAAAGAAGCCCTCAGCTGGAAATGTCACCTAGTGATGTCAAGTAGACTAAGAAATTCTTAATCAAAAGGCCCCCTTTGCACACCTGCAGTAGGCAAACTGAGGCAGGAGCAGTAGAGGTAGCAGGTAGCAGAGGATTCTGATTCTTGAATACCTTTTTTTCCTTGTGGTGCTGAAACAGAAGTCAATCCAAACTTTGCCCACTTACCATTATATTTTCAGTGGGATTCTTTTTTGTTTTCTTTGTTGTTGCTGTTGTTTTTTCTTTCAAAATACCGTGTTTCCACTAAGAATTAAAAGAAAAGGGGTGGGGAGATTAAGGAATAAAAGTGAGTCATAGACCTCATGCTGTTTGACTTTCCCTCTAGGAGAAAAACAAAATTTGAAGCGACCCTCCCCCTAGTGATAGCCTGGCTTCCCTGGCACCTGCAGTTATCTTTGACCAAATGGGTTGGACTTGGTAGGGATCCTTTATTTGAATTTGCTTACTGTTTGTTTGCAGTTGACAGCAGGTTGGTTTTTAAACATAAAACACACTGCTTGCAAGAGAGGAAGTCTGGCTGTTTCTCTTTAGCATTGGGGGGCCTCCCTTGGTTGTAAGGACTGCTGCTTAGTAGAAGGCCTTTCAAACGCACGTCTGCTCCCTCCTTTACAGCCACTTCAGTATACAGAAACTTCCTCTAGTTTCTCATTTGGTTCCGTTTCCTTCCATCTGCTGCCATCAGAAAAACTACCTTTTCCAAATAGTGCCTAGATTTTGTTTCCATCAGGTAAAAAACAACCCCCCCCCCAACACATTATCATTGAAGGTCTCATGATACTATTAACAGGCAGTTTGAAAGAGATGGTCCAAGCAATCCTATACAACGTGTCTCAATACACCAGAGCACTACAGTTTCACATGTAATGTTAATTCTGTCCAAGACAAATCCTATAATCTGTGCAGTTTCAGAGCCTAATACCAAAAAACATGGGGATGGGTTTTGTTTGGGGTTTTGCTCTCCCCATTCCAGGGGAAAGTCCCAGGGGCTCCCAGTCTTTTCTGTCACACCAACCCAAGGGCGGAAACGGGGCGACTAGGGGAATCAGGTTTTATCAGAGCACCCTGCGCTGACAGGCTCGGGCGGTTTAGAAGAGAAAATCAGAGGTGCTCAGGGCACCTGGTCACAAACCTGGGCATGCAGATGCCTGATGGGGGCTTGGACCCTTTCGTGGCACGAAAAGGAGAGAGACTGCTGTTCATCTTAAAAGTCTCGAAGGAGGCAAAAACCCAGGCGGAAGTCATGGCTGACTCTGATCCTGCATCTTCTCATTCTGGTTGTTTTCCACCGCGTCTGCTCCCATTTGCGTGGGATGCGCTGGTCTCCTGCCCGACTCTTTTGTGTTCCTCTTTTGCATGATTAAAAACACGTTTCTATATGCACTAAACCATCACCTAGCACTGGCACGCCTGGTTTTGGGTTACAGCTTTGTCCGTATAATAACAGCGAAGTTCTCCCTGGGTGTGAGATGCGGGTTCGAACATGTGGTGTGCGCGCCAGGGCTGGCCGCTTCCGGTTAAGTGGACGCGGGGACTTGACTGCGTCCCCTGCCTTGCAGGTAACTGGAATGGGTTGCCTGGCAAGTTGGCCCTGCCCGGGACGCCGAAGGGACCGCTTCCCCATTCCAGAGCCTGCCTCTGGCCTTCAGGGCCGCTGACAGGTCCGAAAAGAAAGAGAAGGCACTCAGTTTTAAAAAAAAGAGATCTAGAGGACTGGGGAAAAGGGGATGAGCCAAGGCAAACTGGGAATTGCTCGGGCTTCCCCCGAAAGCCTCAGCTCAGTGCCGGGGGAGACCCCAACGGAGGGCCAGACTCCCCCAAATCCAGTGGCCGAAGACCTGGATTTCCTGGGAGGATCCCCGGGGGCCCGAGGCAGGCCCAGCTGGGCCCCGTCTGCTCGGGACGCGGGAGGCCTCAGCCGTGGCGGGAGCCCCCGCTGTGGCGGCCTCGCCCTTCGAGGCCAGGAGAAGCGGCCCCCTCCTAAGCCGTCAGCGGCTCATCCTACCGGGAGACCTGGAAAACCAGCAGCCGCGGGCCCTGCTGGGCTTGCTTTCGCCGCCCCGGCCCCTTCTCCCCGGCCAGTGGACCCCGCTCGCCGTCCCGTCTGTCAGTCTCGGTTTTAGCTCCTTCGGGCGCAGGGCGCTCGCCTCCCGGCCGGGCCACCCCACCCTCCAATCCCCGAGGCCGACCCGACCCCTGCACTCCGCCAGGCCGCGAGGTTTCCCAGCGACCGGCGCCCCGGCCCGCGGCCGACCTGGAGGCCTGACTGCAGGGCTCGGGCGGGGCCCTCTCTCGGCTCTGGCTGGCGGCCCACTCCCGCGGGCGTACAGGCCTCGCCACCGGGCCTCGGCCTTGCCGCGGCCCACAGCGCCCTGGGACCGGCGCCCCCGAGGCCTGAGAACTACGCCCGGGGGGCGCGGGCTGAGGCTCAAGAGAGGTCCTAGGTGCGGGCCAGGGATGGAGCCAGCCCAGAGAGAAAGGGGAAAACCCGGCAAGGCAAGAGCCTCAGTCTCGCCCCTGCCTGGCCCGCCAGGCTGTGAGTGGGGCCCATTGGGCAGCGCCAACCTGGGGAGTCCGGCGTCTGCCCCAGCTGGGGGCCCTCGGGGCAGAGATGTGAGTGCTGTTCCCAGGTAACTCCGACTGGGCACTGGGGAGTTAGAAAAGCCAGCTCTTTAGCCAGAGCGCCTAGGGCGCGGCGGAGAGCGGGCCGCCCGGCACCACGTTCCTTCTGGCAGTTCCGCCCCAGCCTCCCAGCGTCTTGCGCCTGTGGCGGCGGCAGTACGGGCCTGGGGGGTCACCCACAGGAAAGGTGAGATTAGCAGCACCATGTGGGAGAGGGGTTGAGGAAACCCACCATTATCTAAAACTTGGAGGTTTCCAAAGCCGGAACTTAATTGAGTTGATTGAATTTCTCTTCTTATCTAGGAAGGAAAGAAACACTCCCAAGGTGAAATACAAAGGGCCAAGAATCCCTGTGGGAAAGATAAAGATTTGGGGCAACAGATCTTTGTAAAGCAAACTACCCCCACCCTCATCAGGACCTGACCTCCAAACCGAAGCTTATACTGCCGGCTCACTTCTTGTTAATTGCCGATACGCAGCTGAAGTAGCTCCCTGACCTCTTTGGAGGACGGCGTCATTTCAGTACCAAGTATCACCATTATTGGGCTTATTAACTTCATTAAAACCGGTCTTGACTAGGAGTGGAGATCGGAACTCTCTGGATGTCTTTAAGCCAGTGTTCGCTCCCCGCCTCCTTCCCTCCCTCCGTTGCCTTCGGTCAGAGGAATTCATTTCTACTTCGCCTTTGATTCAAAGGGATTTAACTGCGTGGTCTTAGTTAAGAGAAGTTGTGCAGAGGTGATGGAAAAATTAGTTTCAGAGGGTGCTCAGTGCCTCTTCTTTCTGACCTTTTTTTTAAAGTTTCAGGAGAGAAACTGCCAACTGCGTTATTTGCTGAGTAGCCCAATGTTTATCGTCATTATTGTTTTTAAAGAAGGGGTAATCTTTCCCTGCCCCTTGCGGGACATCCTGAAAACTGAAGGCAATGGTAGAAAATGGTTATTTTGATTCTGCATTACTGTTGCAGAAGAAAAGCTGGGAGATTAAGACACTGAATCTGGGTAAACCTCAGGCCCCAATTTAACTTCGTGTAAACTACAGTATGTTGAAGGTTATCAATAGGTGCTGAAAACTCTTGCCATCAAATTTGGCCTCAAATTTTGGTTGCAAACTATTGCATTTCCTTTACCAGCGAACCAATTTACTTATTAGGAAAAATTACAGAGTTCAAGAGAGCATGCGCAGCCAGGGACCGGAAAAATGAAATAGCCAGAAAACAAAATGGTTGCAACTGCTAACCTTCATTTAAAACGTTACAATCAAGAGTCACTTAATTTTGGTCAGCTGTAAGAGCTTAAGCAGCTTAAAATGAAATTAAATATTGCTTTTACCTGAGGAGCACCATGATCATTGGCCCATTTGTCTTTTCTGGTGACTGGTTTACAAAATGCAGGTACAACTGAAAAGGGACCCATTTTTTCCCCCTCGGCACTTTCTTAAACACATACACACAAACTGACCAGGGTGCCTTATGTTCAACTACTGAAATTATAGGTTTTAAAACTTTTCTGAAACTCTTTTGTTCAGGAATCATTTCTGCCTGAATTACTTTCAGATTCTGATTACACTCCCTCTCATGTTTACCTCAGTTTTTGGAAGTTAAAAAAAAAAAATCCCCTTAATCAAATAAGAGAATAGTAACAAGAAATTCTTGTCATTCTCATGTTTTCAGAGATACTCCAATTCTCCTCCTCCCTCTTAAAAACTTGATATATTTTAAAACATTCTAATAAAGTGCCTAAGAAATCGTTCAGGTTTGAAGTAGGGAGGGAAAAGCAAGGAAAACAAGATCTTGTTGTTAGGCTCTCCAAACTCAATTTCAGAGCAATCCTGATGAAAGTCACAAAAAGTCTACCTACCACTGTCATTCATATCTATTTTATGCATAGATTAGCAAAAAAAAAAAGTAAAAATAAGTTTGCTAATTTACTCTCTGTCCTAAGAAAAACGTGTTTTGGGGAGGAAAGGCTGAATGTAGGCTTCTTATTCATAAATAGCGGTGTAAAATTAAACTGGACCCAATGTTGTGCTAGAACCATTTTAATATAATTATACATATCTGCCAAATCCAGGAAGAAAAGGTTTATGCATATATAACTTTTCCATTTAACATCTGCAAGCATAAACGACAATGATCTCAGTTTAATAATTCATCAGGGTCAGAGCAATTGACCAATGTCTCTTTACTGCTAGGCTTACCAACAGTAAATTACAGATGAATTAGTGTCCTTTTGCTTCTCTTCTCTGACTCTCTTTGTCCAGAGACATTTTGTCGTAAAGTTTCAGTGCAGCTCACCTCCAGCCAAAGGTAATCTTTTTAGATCAGTACTCAGTTGCTCTGAATTTTGCTTATAATTATAACCTATTTAATCACAGAAGAACCCCTGCAGAGGTGGAGTTCAAGGTTGCATACAATAACAGGAGATCACAGTTTTGAAGTCTAGCACAGATTAAAAACCACAGATGTACCATTTATAAGACACACACTGATTGTCTCTTAAACTACATATTGACTCCTTATGAACATTATTTTTTAAATAAAGTAGTGCATCTAGGACAATCAGTCACACAATTCACACAGCCCTGAAAAGTTTTTTCAGTGCCAACTACCAGTTGGTCATGAAACGTGAATGAGCTTGAGACACTGTTCATTCCTAAGATTCAACCAAGGATTGGCTAAAACAATGGAACACCTCTGCTTAAGAAGGCTATGACCTTCCCTCCCTTCCTTCACAACTTAGTTTTGTTTGATTTTATTTTTGGTGGTGTTTGGTTGCACATGGCTAGAATGCTTTTGATCACTTTGCAAATCAGGATAACCAATGATCTAAAACTATGACAGGATCTTAAGCAGATTGGTTTGTCCATTTCATGTTGCTGGTTTGTAGGCCCCTCTAAGGCCCTTCGTTTTTCCTTCTATGCCTCTCGGAACTTTGATCAGATGAGTCTGAGCATCATCCCATCTAACTCTTTTAACCAATGCCTGGCTAAAACTGGAATGTCCAGCCCAGTATATTTAAAAATCACCCACAAAAAGAGGTTCTACAGGTCTTCACAAAACCTGGAATTTCCACGAGGATGTCTGATCTTTATAATCCAAGCAGTCAGCATTGAAGTTAAGCTTCCAGGAGGCAGTTTGGTCCTTATAATCCAAGCAATCAGTGGTTGAGTTAAAACCCAAGCTTGAAGCTCCATATCCCTGGGTGGAAAGAGAAGCTGGGGACTGATTGAGATGGCTGGTGACTGCATTGGTACCCATGGGACTGAGTGTGGCCCCTGGTCCGGGAAGCTGGTGATGCATAGGGGTCAAATATGATCCACAGTCCATGCCCCCAAAGTAGGAAGTTGAGCCAGCATATCCTTGACTATAACCTGAAGCCTGAGTATAGGTCATGGGATAGGACCTCTGCATGCAGGAAGAGGAGGTGGACAAGGGATCTGACAGTGGGGAGATGGAAGCTGGGCTCCAGATAGACACAGGAGCACTGCTGCTGGCAATGGTCGGGACTGAGGTGCTAGAGGGGGGAGTGAATTGGCCACTTGTTCCACTCTCTGAACTCACTTCCCGAGCTGGAGATGTCTTCTTTTTGGCAGGTCTCACTTTGTTTTGACCTCCATTCTGCTGTTGTTGCTGTTGTTGGCGGCACTTAGCTCTTCGATTCTTAAACCATACCTTGGAAGGGAAAGAAAATTCTTTAACTCGGTTTTGATAGTTCCTTAAGGACAAGAATGGCTCCCGTATTATAAATCTATCCTACATGGGCAGATCAGCTAAACACACAATTTCCCCTGCCACTGAAGACCTATTATGTGGTACTCTCATATAAACTCCTGGACTTGTAAGAAAGTTGGGGAGGCTCTGTCTAAAAACACTTGACACTGTCTTATTTCTTGCCCAGAATAACATTTAAGATAATCCCCCAAATCATATAGCTAAAAACTCTCCACATCACTTTCCTATCTTATTTCGCCTCTAACACACACATACACATAGACCCAGCTATATTTTGGAACACTCTCACAGAGGAATAGAATGTATCTCTGTCTTTTGGAGGGAAATACATGAGAAGTGAGAGAAAGCAATTCTGTTGTTACAGGCTAACAGGAACAGCCTAAATTCATTTACAGTTCATCTTCCAGGAAGCAACTGCTAATATAGAGGTTGGTTGGTTCCATCACCCTTCTGTCTCTCTTAGAAAGACTCACAGAACAAAGCTCCAAGGGGAAGACATGATCTTGTTGAAGAAAGAGGTCTGAAAGCCACTATTTGCTAAAAGCTTCTTTGTGGTAAAAGGAGTGACTTACATGCACTCTGCTTTGAGCTGGAGCACAGACCTGCTAGTCTCTGGGACTCGAGTCTGTGTTGTTAGAGTAGTGCCACTCAGCACATAGACTCAGTCTCCTGTGCTGTGTTTACTGACTTACCACTTCAACCCCCTGCTGCAATCTTGACAATTCTCTTTACCAGCCCTGTTCATGTTCTGCAATGAAGGAGCTATGATTGGTGTACGAGGGGGCTTAGAAGAGGAACTACTGGCATTTTCTGGAGGACAAATCCTTAGCTGAACTTTTGAATGAGCTCTCTGTATGGGTGCCGTAACTGTGGTAAAAGTGAGGCCACCAAGGCCAAGCTCAAGACCACCAACCATTTGGAGCCATTTGTTTTCTCCTAGTGAGGACTTTGGTTCAAGCCTTGCAAGTGCTAAAACTTCCTCTAACCTACTTTGAAAAAGCCCCTTTCCCAATTTGCAGCTGACACTGATGTCTGTCGCTTTCATAAACATATTCTAGCCGAAGGAGAGGCCCAGGTGTGTATGTGGTTTATGTGCTAAACACTTTGCAGAGAATTCTGTACAGGGCTCACTCACAAGGCAAGCTGGAGTTGACCTTCCCTCTCCAGTTTAAGGTCAAGTTTAGGGGAACTAAAACAAGAGGGGTGTCACTAGAGACATTATGTAGATATTTTATCTGTTAAATGGCTCAGAACTAGAAAATTCTCTTCAATCCCTAAGAAGTCAAGGAAAATACATTCTTTTTGTGTTGATTTATTTGGTAAAAGCACCAGCTGCGTCTATACCCTGACTCTGCCACCAAACTTAGTTATGACCTTGAGCAAGTCATTTACTCTATTTTTTCATCTGTAAAAATACTTGGACTGTCCAAGAGCTAAGCTGCTTTCACACGTACAAGTCCATGAGAATAGGAGAGGATTTCTATACAGAGGAAGGGAAGGGTTACAACACCACGTGACTACTCTTGAAACCTGCTCAAGGATGGGTCTCTCTCCACCAGCAACCCGGGCCTTGAAGACCCTTGCTTACGGGATTAAGTGGTGACGGGCAGGCAAAAAAGGGCAGAAGGAGAATAGTTTCCTGGCCCCTTAGTGAGTGAAGGAGAATTTCAAGCCTTCCTTCAGTCCTCTGAAAGACCTGGGGCTCTCCACAGTCCCATACTCGGGAAGGGTGGCATGATCAGGAAGGATGGTTCTGCCTGCATCTGCCCTACCTGCACCCTCGACTCGGGCAAGTTGATTTTCAGTGCCACCTCCTCTCGCATGAAGATGTCTGGGTACCGGGTCTTGGCAAACAGTGCTTCCAGCACATCTAGCTGCGCCCGAGTGAACGTCGTCCTCTCCCGGCGCTGTTTCCGGGGGGTGGCTGCGGGACAAGAAGCCCAGGGCCCTTTAGGGTGGGGGAGCAGTTTCTCAGTCATAGGCGTTTCCGCGGGTTCTCCGACGCCCCTGCCCTCCACCCCGCAGCAGTCCCCCGTTCCTCACAGCCCTTCAGCCGGGAGCCTACCAATGCTCTCCCCACCGTCTCCCCAGCCTTGCTCCCCGGGGACCCAGGACACACGCTGCTTCTTTCCCTACTCTTCTTGGTGTTGAGATTGCTCCAATCAGAGCATCACTTGGAAAGTTAACAAATGAAACATTTTTTAAAAGACACACAAAAAAGTTCTCCAAGATCAACCCCCAAACCACAACACAAAAAGGCTATTCCAAGAAGTCAAAGGATCTCCGAGGACAGACTGGCAGCTCGAATTGATGGGGGAAATCTGGATCCTGTTCCCATGGTTTTTAGCACACCATGGGCCTTTGTTCCTCCATCTTTAAAATGGGGACATAGTTCATACTCCTGGGAGGATTTTTAAACATATCTGATTGGAAAGGAAAGCACCCGCATTTGGAGGAAGTCACGCCTCTTGGGATTAAAGCAGGCTCTGGAGGTCATAGGGGAAGGCCTGGGCATGGAGGGAACAACTGCGAAGCCCGAGAGTGCTAAGGACTTACGGAGGGAAAACTCAGCTTCTCCAAGAGGACACTTCTGAGGAATTGGTCATTGAGATATGGGTAGGGGTCTTTTGCCCAAATGACAAGGACAGTAACCTTCCTCATCCCACTCTGATGCCAATCCTTATTTACTCGAATTAAGAATAAAGTGATGTGATTGTAACGGTTGCAGACCCACCTACTCACTTTTCCCAACCCCTGTTCTCTGCTTGGTCAGTAAATGCCCTGGGACTGCTTCCTCAGAAGGCAAACCTAGAGGAGACCAAGCCTGAAGCTGGGTGGGGACAGTGTGACTGCCAACCCCCGTGTTCCATGGGAACAGGGTGTTGCATCCCCGGAGGGTGGGCATGGGGAAGAGGGGTGCGGGAGTGCAGCAGGGCTCACTTACCCGGGTAGCCCACGGAGGGGTGCAGCAAGTCCATACCCGAAGTGGTCAGACTCAGCCCATTGACTGCGTAAGGCGGTTGCTTAAGATAAGACATCATGCTAAGGTTGTTTGGAGGTGCAAAGTCGGCCCAAATCGGGGGTACCCAGCTGGAAGATCTTGATGCGCCCGGGGTGGACAGGTTCAGAGTCCTTGGTGGGTGGGTTTGGAGCAGTGGAACTAAGGGCAAAGCAAACAAACAAACAGAGGGGCTGGTTTACTGCTTCGGAGGCAGCAGCTCTTCCACGTTCCAGCACTAACTTAAAAAGAGCACGGACTAGGCGAGGCAGAGGCTTTTAAAGGACTTGCAGACACTCCCCCCACCCCCATCCCCACCCCCACCCCCAGCTGCTCTGGAACTAGAGGGGATGGAAGGAGACCAGATAAACCTGTCTTCCCCACCCCCACCCTAAACTTAAAAAAAAAAAAAAAGTACCCGAAGAAAGCAATTACAATCTGCCTTCCCCAAGAACAAAAACCCGTGCCTTCAAATGCACACATTGCATTCCTATCCCTACATTTGCATAGGACTCATTGGCTGGCACTAGCTAATTGTCTCAAACAAAACTTGATTGGGGCCATTTGCAGAGACAAAGAACTCTTTGGCTAAATAAATAATGCTGATAACAAAGCCCATTGGTGAGAAACAAAGAAACAATTCAAGAAATCTACCTCTCCCCAGACTGTTGCCTTTCCATGGCAGAGATTTTAATTATCTTAGCTTTTTACCACTTTCAACTGCTGCGAACCTAAAATGTCAGTGCGTTTAACATCTAAAATACCAACTCACTAAACCACAAACTTGGAAAAACCGCTCAACCACTATTATTCCACATTTGAAGTCATTTCCGGTAATCATTTTCACCTAATTAGTAGTCTGGGTAATTAGATTTCGAGGTAAGTAACAGATTTATTAGGGTTTTGGAGAATCTTGATTATATGTGTCTAAGGAACGAAAGCTAAACAAACAAGTATTTAACTTTTAATAGACACCCATCAAATATTTAAGCATATTCCAAAAAAGTCTTCAAGATTGGCACAGGGCTTGCCAGAAATTGTGAAGTAAAGTTAGAATCCCACCAATCAGATAATGACGGGACCCCACATTTGTAGTGCAAGCTGCTTCCATGTTGATTTTGATGTGTGGAGGCTGCAGATCCTGCGGGAGGCAAATTTTCAGACATTTGGGTCCTCGGCAGCTGCAGCAGAGTTTCCTGTTAACTCTAACTGCCTTTTGCACATTTTAGTTTTGAAGAAAGTAGATACACAAACACCCAAAGTTGTGAAACTAGTAGAATTTCTCCCTACCTTTCAAGTTTCCTACAATCCTATAAGAAAAAGAGCTCAAGGGGGAAAAGAAAGGAAGAAAAAGAAAAGTTATTTACTTTCTTCAGCTGAGCTCCCCGCCTCCACCCCAGCAAAGAGATTCAAAGTAGATGTTAATATAGACTGGCAGTTTGCAAGTCTGGCCTTTATTTTCCTAAAATGTGGCACTTATATGCAAGGATCTCTACTTTGAAACTTTGACACCATGAGAGATTGCTTCAAAATGGCGGATACAAGATAAAGGTCTCACTGACTTTAAAGGACTCCGGGTTTTCATATTTACGTTGCTTAAGACAGCAAGGCACAAAAGTCCATAAATGAAACTTAGTAACTGCAACTTCTTTCTGATTTAAATTCAGAGCACAAAAGTCATGCTTTTCTACCCTAAGATCTAACTTAATATAATTTTATAAATGTCTTTCTTGGAGGAGTTTGTATTATCCTCAGTACAACTAATTTAGTTGCCCCTACAATACAGACTTTATGTTTTTGTATTGTCTTTTCTTTTCAAAATGCTGTTCTTTGGAGGCTGCGAAAATAAACAAAAATCTCCAGCTTAGAGGCTGTTTAAACACATATGCGACAGCTTTAAAATACAGTTGTATATGTGTTTAAACAGCCTCTAAACTGGAGATTGGAGATTTTTTGTTTAATCGTACTACCTTGCAAAATTCTGAACTACAGTGCTATAGAGAATCGTAAAATCATATCAGATGTACCCTTGAGAAATATGGAAATGTTCTTACATGTAGAGCTCTCACCCAATTAGAAATGCCTGACACATCATACAATAAAGTAGCACATTCCAACATAAAAAGCCAGTAACACACAGAAAGCACCAGGGCCGAGATCCTTCCAGGGGCTCCTTTGCCCTTACCATTGCAAAATGGCTAAAATTCTCAAAATAGACTATTTTCACTTTTGCTCCTGGATCCACCTTTAAAAGGAAAAGAGGAAAACCAAAACCCAAAACTAAGAGATTCTCTCCACAACCGGCCTAGGTATGCACTCTGCATAGAAGGCATGGGCCCTTCAATCTAACTTTCAAAGCTCTTTTCCTCTCGAAGCAGGGTCCAGAACGGGGAAAAGAAATAACTTTTGAAAAATCCACGCCTCACTATGACTGCTCACGAGGTGGCCTCTGGAGAACTCATACCTAGAAGCTGACCGCGGTCGCGCGGCGAGTTCCGGCAGCCGGTCGGCGACCGCACCTCCGGGCGCGAGTGCCTGGGTCCCGCGTTCCTGCCCGGCAGCCCCGCAGCCCCGCAGCCCCGCAGCCCCGCAGCCCCGCAGGCCTGGCGCCCGAGGTCCCGCTCCACTGCCCGCGCCCCCCGCGCAGCCTTATATCTAACGGTCAATTCGTGCAATCTGTCGCTTCTCCCTCCCCCACGCCTTGTTTTTTTTTTCTTCCAAGAAGCCCATCTACCAGTTGCTGTGTCCTCGCTCAACAATAATTACCTCGTCCGAGAATTAATTATAATAAATGTTTTCTTGATAAACTAACGAGATAATCCGAGGGGCACACGTCCCTTAATTACAGGCCGCCATGCTCCTCTCTGCTTCTCGTCCGGGCTGATTAATTTTCTGCATGATGGAAAGGAAACAAAACTACGCGGACTGGCGACTGGCCTGCGGCTGGGAAGACGACGAAGAGGAGGAAAGAAAGAAAAAGGAGACGTGTGGGCACCGCGGAAAACGGCCGGCGCTGGCCTCTCTCCGGCGAACTCGAGTGAAAGTTTCTGGCCTCGGGGAATCAAATAACTCTGCCACCCGCGAGGGAGGGAGGAAGAAACGTGCCAAAAGGGTTGGCCTTGACTATTAATTATCGTTGGGAGAAAGCCCCGGTGTTAGCGCTGAGGTCTGGGTGTCTACCTTACTCTGGGGGGAGGAGTTCCCTCTCCTACTCCCCTCTGTTGCTAATAACTTTTGGTGCCTGTAAAAAGTCCCGAGCTGAGCAGGAGAAATCCTGACCCCGAAGCTCTAGGATGGAGGGGAGAATTTCTAGGAGCGACTTCCCCGTCCCCTCCCCAAGCAATCCACCACCGCAGGGTCGGCGCCGCTCGGCCTTCGCTCCCCGCGCACCAGTTCTATCTGTGAAGGAAGCAAAAGCCAACTCGGTGGAATCCTGACAGGGGACTTGGGTTTCCAAAAATATGTCCCGAAATCGGGCATCGATTTCAAGAGTCACTTGAACGCAACAACGCGAAGACTTCTTGGGAGTTTGCAGAGCGACCCGTCGCCCGCGCCCGGCGCTGGCAGGGACCTTCGGATGGTTCTTACTGGGCCGATCCATGGCACAGGCTGGGCCTCGGCGAACCCCTCGGCCCCCGCCCGGCCCCGAGCCACGACACCTCATTGTCCTGGAGCCTGGGAAGGGGGTGCGCGAGCGCGCGGGCGAGCCCTGCCTCTCCCCGCCAGAGAACAGCTGAGGGGCCGCGGTCCCAGCGGGAGGATTCCGGTCCCTGGCCCGGCCGCGGCCTTGGGCGGAGCAGGGGCCACTAGCTGCCACTTCTGCCCGCCCCAGGTGCGCGCGGAGGGCTACGTGGGGCGGGCCGCGACCCGGCAAAGTCATGTTGAAAAAACACTCTTCACGTTCGCTCGGCCTGGTGACCAGGGTCGGGGACCACGACAACCGGGGGTTGGGAGGCTGCGTAATTACAACCCAGGGTGGTTTGGATTTTGGGGGGTGGTGGATATTTAAAAACAAAAAGGAGATCTGGAAGCTTTTGGGAGAAACAGACAACCGAGCTGTGCTAGGCTGAGGGAGAGGAGGCCAAAGAGAGCGAGCAGTGAGCGCCGGGGCGGACGAGAAGCCAGCGCTCCCAGCCTCCTCGGTTATCCGCTCCGGTTTCCGCTCACGTTCAACAGGGGCCGACAGGGGCTCGAGCGGCGGCCCCCGGCCCAGGCCGACCCGCAAGCGAACCGAGCTTCCGGCGCGCGGGCCCAAGGAGGCGCCTGGCTTTTTATTATTGTTGTTTCAATCCATCCATCTAGTTACATCTGCATCTTTTTGTCTCGGACTCTAAAAAGGTCCCTGGGATCCATCCAAACGACCCCAACCAAATCTGGGGGCCAAAACGCAAAGATCGCGGGAGAAGCCCAGAACGGCGTTGACATAAAAACAAAACCACAAACAAAACCTTCCAAAACACCCCAGATTACATTCGCAGCGTTTCGACGACGTTTTGCAGAAGCGACGACCCCCAGGAGCACGCTCTCTGCCTCTCTCCCACTACCGCTCTCATCTCTAGATCACATTTTTCTTTTTGCAACGATCGTTATTACACCTCAAAATTTGTAAGAGAAAAAATACATCCGCCTACAGAACTCCACGTTCGCAGAGGGGCATCGGTCGGTCTATTGGAGGTACTGGGGTGATGGCCGACAGACACGGGGACACGTAGATATGGATATAGACAAGACAGACGGACACTTACCTTACAGCCTCATGGGAGGTTAGAAAAAGTCAAATATCCTTTAAATTCCAAATAGCCAGCTATCCTAAAAGAAATCAAGAGTATTGAGTTAGAAACCTTGCAGTCTTCACCCTTCCATGAAAAGTCAAACACAACCAAAAAAAATTTTTTTTAAAGAACGAAAATGAGGAAGGCGGCTAGAGTTCTAAACACGCGTGGGCCCCTCTGCAATACATACAAAGTAGATGTGGCGAGTGAGGGCTGCTCTAGCAATTTTTATTTTTAATCACAGTGGAGGCTGTGTTGGAGCTGAGGCCGGTCCCGCTCTCAGGGAGATTTGCTGAGAAAGCGCCTCTCTGGCAACTTTTTGACGCAAACTCTCCAACCAATGGCAGGGAGAGAATGATTGACACATCTAAGCCAGAGGGAAAATAATAAAAACACACAACAGGGGGAGGAAAACAGGCCGCTGCTGCACGGGGGGACGAGCAGGCAACAAATCCAGGCCTCCGACATTACCAGAATGTTCTTTAAAGACACTGGGCTTTGCTTAAAATATACATTATGGGCCGGAGCATGTGAACTAATTGTATAATTAAAATGATGGACAGGGAGTTCTTCTCTTACCCTCTTTTCCCCTGCTTCCTTTACTCCGAAATTTCCTTTCCTCTCTTTTTTTTTTTTTTTTTTTTGTTGTTGTTGTTTTTAGGGAAGGGAAGAAAGGAAACCCATGCAATGTAAGATGGAAGATAAAAATATTTAAGTAAATGCTGGAGAATGGCGGGTTAGGGAGTGACTGGGTTATCACATTCAACCCCAGCAATAAGTGTGTGGATGACAGGCAGAAAGCAAGTCAGACTGAAACTCAAAAACACCACTATGCCGTCTCAGACAGGGCCAGAGCACGCTGACGGCCAGAAAGGGTAAAGGAGGGAGGCCTGGGAGTGCGATGTGGGCATGTAGGGAAAACAGAGAGAGAAAGATACACAAGTCCAAGAACAAACTATTTTCTAAAACTCAGTGTCTTCTCTATTCCCTACGCCCTTATAAATATCCTTACACATATAAATAAATGATCCCCGAGTGAGAGACCCCGGCTTCTGGTAGGTTCCTGGGGTTTTTTGGAATTGAGAAGCCCACGACAGACTGCAGGGAACACGAACCCCGGAATCTAATCTCAGGGCCCATTTAGGAGAAGTAGCTGGGACCACATCGGGCCTCGAGGATGCGAGTGTGAGGTCGACAAGATATCGTGGAAGAGAGCGAACGAGGGAGGCCCCCGTTGGAAACAGTTTCTGTGTTAGAACAAACGCCACCAAACGACCGACACTGCGAGGCCTGGAGCTACCTGGGCTGGCGCCGCCCGAGCCCCGGGCTGCGAGCCCAGAGGCTGGGAAGTGATGGGACCTGGGGGCCCGAGCCGGAGAGTGCGACCCCCAGCCCAACTTTTTTGCCTGGCATAGAAAGCAGGGACCGGACAGGTTTCAAACGGATCCGAGTCCCTAGAAAAGCAAAAACAGACTGGGCGGAGTGTGGGGTGGGGGGTGGCTAGTGGAACTGGTGAGTGTGTGTGAATAAGCTGGGTGGGGGTGGGAGCAGAAGACAGCTCTTGCTTCACAACACCCAGTGCAGGAAAAGAAAAATAAAATCTCTTCCTAAATACCCCACCCCCCGCCACCCACCCACCACCAACTACCATCACCACCACGGCCAGTGGGCCCAAAGAAACAGCTCGCTGCCTTTAATTTGGGGACCTATGTTAATGAAGTTGGTAATTAATTCGTCGCTTTGTTGTCGGTTCTTATACTGTATGTGTACTCAAATGTGGCCGTCCTTGGGATTTACAGCAATTAACGAATTACGGGAGTGCGCACGAGGCAGCAAGCTCTCGGCAGCCGGGCTCCGGCTCGGGCTCGGCCTGGGGCTGGGGACTCCGCGGCAGCGGCCCCTGTCACAGGTGTCCCTAGAGCTTTGGGCCCTGGCGGCCCCTCGAGCCCCCGAGGGGCCCGGAGCCCGCCCAGCTCCTTCCCGGCCCTCTGCAGCAGCTCCAGTCCGGAGACCCGCTGGCTGTCGCGTTCCCAGGAGTCAAGAGTTTCTAGGGGCCCGGGCGGGGGGGAGGGTGAGTACCGACCTTTTTTCTCACCCCACCCCCACTGTACTGAAACACCTGGCGGCCGCCCCCGAAGCCTTTAATGGGGATGGTGGTGAGGAGGGGGTAACAAATGCCCCGGGCGTTATGACCCTCGTGGCGCTGGCTGTCGGAGGCACTGGTTGGGTGCGCTTGGTCAGAGTCATGATGCTTTCGATGAAGGAAAGGCAAATCCACCTCGATCACCTGAAGCAGAGTCTCCTTCCTACCCCTAGAAAAGACAACGTTTCCCCCAGTTTGATCACAATGATGTTTAAAGCATAAAAGAGCCGAAAAAGAAAAATGGACGTTGTGAATCTGGCAGAGGGGAAGGCCGGAGGAAGGCCTTGGGGACAGTGGGCATGGGGTGGGATGGAGAATGATCAGAACATGCGCTTGTGAGCTAAACCAAGTAAACCATTTTGGACTGGGAGATCCATCTGCCGTAGGGTCCAGTGTCCAGGGTAACCTTTCAAGCCCGATGTAGAGGTTTGCGATGTCCTCCCAGATGGCGGGGGCAGCTGAATCTCCCTAAAAATCCCCCTGTTCTATTCGACAGGGGCAGATTTATGCATGGTGGGGCGTGAGAGGGTTTTGCCCTTCCAGCGGCCGGCAGCAGACAGCTCCCGCTTCTCCTTTGCCCTCTAGTCTAATAACTTCGCAGAAATACAGGGCCAATAAACTACGAGTTGGAAATGGACAGTGTTAAATAAACAAGGGTCTCTTTAAAATTCTCATCCACTTCAGATGTCTAAAGTAAGATTGTGATGATTTTGTCACGGTTTGGTAAATTTACCCCTTTAAGAGGCTTTCATAAATCCCAGAACACACCTTCAGCCAGATTTGAATATAGATTTAGGTTTTAAAACCCAGAAGCTGGAAACACCGCTTTATCAAAGAGAATTTCCCTTTAGCTTAGCAATGTGCTGAAGCTCTTAAAAGATTGGATCTGAGAGAGAGAGACAGAGAGGAGAAAGAGAACTAGAGACAGAGAGAGGCAGACAAGGAAGGGGGGGGGGGGTGAAAGACTTTCTTTTTCTTTCTAGAGGAATTCTGCCCAGACTCTGCAGCAGTTGGTAGCAGGCAAGCTTTCTCCTGGGTGTCGCCTTGAAAAGTTGCAAAATTGCTCTTCACCTGTAAGAACATGCTCTTTATCTTCCAGTCTCTTCTTGTCAATTTGGAAATTGCAGACTGCCCGGCTCAGGTACAGTCCCCACAAACCCTATTCTAGGTCAGGACAAAAGCCACTGGCTTTGGGGGAAGGGGGCTGGGCTCTTTTACTGAAAACCTTAGATGCTTGGTGGGAGAAAAAGACTCTTTGGATGAAAAGTCTAACTCTTGATTTTCAGTAAGTTCTTGAACTTCCAATTTACCTAGTATCTGTTCATTGTATTTCTGTGTTTAACTTTTTTTCTGTGTCCTGTGTCGTTAACATTTTTTTTCTATGAATCTGACTTATGGTAGCATGCTTTGTGTTTTTAAATAATTTTCATTAAAAAGTGGATGGTTTTTAATTGCCACTTGTACAATTATTTTGCTACGCATATGAGATATAAGCATTCAGAAGCTAAATTAAGAAAGCCAATACGAAGGGAATCAAATTATTTGTCAGAGCTTGTGTGCAGTTTCTAGAATATGTCTAATATGCATATTTTGAAATCAAGATTCATGTGTGGCACTAACTAGGCTCAATTTCTCCACCGCACAAGCCAGGCCAGTTTAAAATATTCCAAACTTTCCTCCAAGTTTATTAACTTTGGTGGGGGGAGTGGGGGAGGGGGAGGGGAGAGAAGACATCCCGGGATTCTTCCAGGCTAATTAAAAAAGAAGAACAAAACCCATATTCCGTGAGAACATAGCCTTTTGGGGGAAAGGAGCCAGTTAGACTTCCTTAACACTGAATTCAGAAATATGAACATTAATTTCCAATCTTTTCAGCAATTCACTGGACAGTGAGGGACTACATTTTGCCTTAGAAGCACCATAATACCTAGAAAGAAGTCATTTTTTCATTAGGTTTTTAGATATATCTTTATTATAAACTTTGAGGAGATTAACCTTAATTTTTTTAACAAGGATTTAAGACTGGAAATGCAGACAAAATTTAGGGGAAAAAATAAGGCAACAGATCACTTATAAATTAAGCTTGGGTCTCTCACTCCCTGCATTGCGGTTGCCTCAAAAAAGAGGGTAAGGGAGAAAGAAACAACTTCAAAGATAGGATTGGGCTGTCTCGATAAAAGAGTAGGGAGGCAAACTCCAAATGCGAAAAAGAGGAAAAGAGGACCATGTTGTTCCGGAATGAAACGGATTAAGATTGTGTGACAAGTGCGAGATGTGGTGCTGTGAGACATTTATGAGCGGAGTGTGAGCCGGGAGCTGTGCCTCTGTCCCTGAGAGTGTGGGGACCAAGGGTGTGTGCAGAGCAAGGTTAGGGTGAGGGATAGGAAGGGCATGTGTGGATGTGAGACAGAGAGAAGTGTGAGGCAGAGTGTGTGTGTGTGTGTGTGTGTGTGTGTGTGTTAGAAGGGTGTGGACGGGAATGTGGATGGATTGATGAAGGGTGGTAGCTGTCAGTTTACATAATTTTCATCTCCTGGTCCTGAAGTTTCCTTGAAATCAATTCTACTGCAGGCAGCAGCCTTGAGCTTACAGAGCTGATATAAAACAACCATTACAGTCCAATATCTTGCCTGTTTGCAAACTTCATTTAAAACTGGGGAAAAAAAAGACCCAGGAATGGTTTTGTAAGAAAGGAAAAAAGAAGAAAAGAAAACCACAGTGAAGCTTTAAACTAGTTTGGATAAATCTCTAATCTTTTATTTGTAACCTTTTACAAGCTTTATTTCCCGTATATGAAAAGCTTCTTTTATATGGGCACGACAGACTTTTCCTTTGGATTTTTAATTAGAGTCCATCAATTGTAGCCATATTTAAGAATCAATATAAAGTAATCCTTCGAGATGGGATAAGGTTTTAATCGAAAATCTAATTTCCCACTCTTTGCAGATCATTTTAAGAGGCTGGTTGATAAAAAAAAAAAAAAGAGTTCAATTTTTAAAAGACATAACACCTAAAACCTGGAAAAGATCATGTCTACAAGAAACCAACTGATGTTGCCTTACAAAGAAAAAGTCTGGCTGTTGTTGGGAACTTTTTTTTTTTTCTACTTGGAAGAATTTGACTTATTTTTCTCTCAAACAATATTCCCTAATGTGGCTCCTATGAGAGTATTCACATTGAATGGAGAAAGAAAAAGACAGACATTGTTTGTCTGAAACAGTATTTCATATGCAAAAGATAGCAACCTTAATTTTTTATTAACAAAGAAAACATAAATCTTGACAGATCCCCTTCACTACATGCTCCCAAATTCTCAAGATTAGAGAATAAATAACACATACTTTTTCTTTTTTGTGCATGAATGCAAACTTTCCATTTTCGGATTCAGGAATGAATATTTCTGTCCAATTTTAAAACTTCAAAATTAGAATTTTGCAATTTTTAATTTTTTTGCAACAATGGAAAAGTTGCTTATCTCAAAGGCATAGAATTTTAAACAGTTCTACCAGGGTCACTGGCTTTCAGTTTGTCTTAAAAGAGAAAAGAAAAGAAAATGAAAGCAAGGAAGAAAGGAAATAAACAAACAAAAAAATGAAAACTAATTGTAGGTGCACAGTCCAGACCGTTTGTGCTGCTGAACGATTAATCTGAGATATTTGTTCAAAGGCCGAACATTATATAAATGTGCATAGTGCATTTCCAACATTCACCGCTTAGTTTAAGATCTGCAAATCATCCGTAAACTAGAAGGGACCCCCCCACAAAAAAGTTTATAATGTATTTTCAGGCAGTCACTGTACTTTTAAAAACTGTTGTATCTGTTAAGCTCATTTGGAAAAACGAACTCATGATGTTTGCTTTTAAAAATCTGAATGAAGCGTGTTTCAACATATTTGATAGCCATGCTTTTCTTTTATCTACAGAAATTTCAATTTATTTAAAAGCCTGGCGTTTAATGCACTACATGACCGCATGAATTTTAGAGGAGCCCTCTTGTATTTCTCTGTAATCGTGTCTAATGAAAACCTGGGATTTTCCATTATTTTTTAAAAAAGTGAAAATATAATGCATCTTCATTAGGAAAATTGACTGCTGTGCTCACGACAGTTCTTAATTGAAAAGGCAACCTATTTTAATGGTGTGGTTGAGAAGAAGATTACATACTTTATCCAAACACAAAGACAATTAATAATGAGAAGCAGGCTGCTGCCATTAACTCTAATGCAGTTGCATCAACGTCAGTGAAAAGTGCTCATACCTGAGATACACGGTGCAAACGCCCCCGGCTCCCTCCTTTCCCAATTCACCCACTTCTTAATTTGAGTTTCTTAATGTGCAAGCGCCAGGGCCGGCTGTGGTCAGGCGGGCTATTTTCTGGCAAGTGTGGCGCGGGGCTGGACGCCCCTGCCGGCGGGTCGCCGGGTCTCGAGCTGCGCCGCCCCGCTGGAGGCGCCGGGGCTGCCTGGCTCTCCGCGCAAACCTCGCGCCCTTCCGTTTGCGCGCATGGAGCCGGGTGAGGGCGGCCGCGGCCACCGCGCGATGGAGGATTTGGAAGCTCAGAGCCAGCTGGTACATTTTGAGAAATTTAGCAAACCAGACTGGGCTGCCTCGGAAACTGGGTTCTGTTCTGACTCATTTGCAGAAAAGTTATGGGGAAAAACATCTTGTAAAATTAAGGTTATGTTTGGCGGGTACAGTCTTGAGCGCACATGGTCATCCGGCGAATCAGCCAAGTTTTCCAAAGCGCCCCCTCTCCAGCTCTCAGGCCAGGGGAGCAAAGCGTAGGTGTGTGCGTGTGCGTGTGCGCGCGCGCGTGTCTCTGTGTCTGCGTGTGTGCTCGCAAGCGCGTGTGGGTTTGGGGTGGGGGGACATCCTGACCTTTCTACACCCTAGTGCGTCCCAACTCCAGACTGGGAGGAGACGTCTGCGGCCTCTGGTCTTTTCCCTTCTTGGACGAGGTGCGGCCAGCTGAGACCTCACACCGGCCACCTCGGACCCAGTGCGCCGAGCTAGGGGAGACGGCGCGGGACTGGGGGACCCCTGGGATCCCGCCCTCGTAGCGGAAGGAGTGGCAGCCCTTGGTGCCGGGCCTGGTCCTTGAGGCTGCCGGCCCTCCGGGGCGCCAGGACTCGAGGACGCGGTTTGCCCCCGCAGTCCTAAGATCCCCGGGGCCGTGACAGCTTGGGGAAGGGGCAAACTCTGTTTGGTCTCCACGAAGTGCTTCGATGTTCGCAAAAGGGTAGGCCCCTCTTGCTTGGGGTCCTACACCCCTCGGAACTGGCTCTGCCCCTGCCTCTTCCCCAGCACAGTCTCCCAGCTAAGGCTCAGACAGCCGGGGAAAGGGGCGCCCCCATCACTATTCCCCACAACCCGCCCCAGTGTGAGCCAGGGCGCGGCTGCAGGCTGACAGGCGCACCGTGACCACGCCGTCACTTCCCTTCACCAAAGGTTAGATGGGAGGCGTGCACCCTCTGGGGAGTTCGCAAAGCTTCTCGCTTTGATCAGCCGCGCGCAGTGCCAGGGAGAGATATTGCTGGGGTCTGAGTCCGTCGGAAGTGTCTAGAAAAGAAGAGAGAGGAGCAGGTAATCAGACTTTGGCGGCTGCCCTGGAGACACTTTCACACATCCAGCCTCGTGGAGGAGGAAGGACCCTGTTCTCCAAGGGCCAACTGAATACACTCTCCTCCCTTGAGGCATAGCCTCACAGGAAAGCTCCTTCCACAAATGCACGCTTCCCTTTGCAGCCCTCAGTATGCTGGGGCCAGCTCTGCTGTCCCTCAATCAAGCATACCCCACTTTCTTCCCTGCTTCCATCGATTTATCTACAAATTTCCTGTAGACTTGCCACTTCTGTGATTTTGCCCACGGGCTAGGTAGCCTCTTCAAGGCTCTGAAGACAAGCAGGCCTGGAGATTTCCACGAAGCCCCAGGTGGCTCCTCTCCCTCCCTTAGGGCAGGTGAGTCTCTAGAACACTGTAACCTCCCTTTGGTGAGAGCCAACTATCAGCTACTTGGTGTGGTCTAGGAATCTTCTAGCCTCCTTTCCAGCTTCAATGTTAGATAAGCCTCCTTGCATGATGTATCCAGAGTTTCACTTGTTCCTTTTAAATACCTTTTTCAGATCGCAAACGTTGAAGTACTCAGTTACTATTTATCAACCAAGCCCTGGTTTCTGCTTTTGGTGAGGCCATGTGTGTCGGCTGGAATAAGGAGGGCACCAGGTCTCCTAGGGATAGCTTGAAGTCTAGATGTCTTACTTGCCCAACAACATAAGAGCAAAAACAGACTTGCTTCCATTTGTGGATCTGTTTCTTAGCATTTAACCTATGGATGCTTGGAGGCATCTTTATTAGCAAGTGTCTGACTTTGGATAGCCACTCAATAATGACATTCCTAATCATTTATTGAATACCATTTAAGCTAGTTCAACCACAGACAGTAACTCTTAGTCTAAATGGCAGTTTTCTGGCAGCTTATTCAACTACTGAACATGCAAAAAGTGAAAGATATCATTGCTTCCAATACTTAGCTCCCAAATATGACAATGAAAGCCATCACTTAAGGGACACACAGATCACCCCAAGTGTAGATAGTGTATTCTGGGTTACTGGAAGAGCAGTAACCCTTTTGATTATGCTCTCTTGTATTTGATGGACAAAATATGTCAGATAAGCACAGAAGAAATAGGCATGGGATAGAGACCTTGAGTATCAACAGAATCATGGGCTTAAGTCTACCCTGACCTTTTCCTACTGTTTCAACCAAAAAGCAGAAGTAGTGGTTGAAGTGGTTGAAGTCTTTCTCTAACAAAAAGACATTCTCTACATGAGATATTCACCAAGGAATTGGAGGGACACCAAACAATTTCATTATCATCAAGAAATATTTTTATTATCCTGGTAGTTGGCATTGGGTAGATATAACTTCAGTCAACTCTAGAGTCTTAATGAAAACATTTCAGTAAAAGCAAACATTTTACATTAGACCATATATTCTTAATCCAATCGCACATTTGAATCAATTTGGTTTATTACCCAATTTGTGCACACATGGTGGGATGGATAAATTTGTTTATTTTTCATATGCAAAAATATTTACTGAAGCCTCTGATTTGTCTAAAGATTTGTGATTATCAAGCCAGGACGTCTCTAGAGCATAAGTACTTTTTTGAAAGTTTTTTGTAACATGAACTCACATTCATTCATTAATTCATGTATGCATTCAACAAGCATATCTGGGCACCTACTATGTAGTAGGCAATTGTCAGGAATTGATTATGTCTAGAGGTTCGAATTTTTCTCATTTCAAATAATCCAATAGTTATAATAAACATTTGATCTAAAAGTTTTCATTGCTCTCTTTTTGCCGAAAATTAAGCCTGGAGAGATTTGTCCATTGCTCTAGGGTGTAAGGACTTGTATTGCTCATCCACAGCAGTGCTCCTAGGGAAAACTGTAGGAGTTGTTTGCATGAATTGACAAAAGTATATGACTCTTAATGTTCAAATCTAATTCGTTTCTAAAAAATAAAATCACAAGGCAGCTGAGTGTATGGTTTATTATGTGTTTAGATTATGTGCTCCTCAGTAAAAAATACTTTTTTTTGGATTAGGAATAAAAACAAACTTTAGATTTAACTCTGTATTCTTTTAGTTCATCTCTAAAAGATAGAGACTATATGTGCATGTATGCCATCATTACATTCTTATCTTATTTCAAAGAGAATGCAAAAAAAGTATTCAAATAATTATAAATACAATTTATTTTTTTAAAACCCCCTTTCTGGGCTAGTAGTAGTTACTGTTATTTATTTTTGTCCATTTTAGCTTCAACTACTTGCCAGTCCTAGAAATTAATGGGTTTAATTTCCCCTCGAATTTAGGACTTTTCTAGTAACAACTTACACTCAAATGTAGTCTTTCTTATAAAGATTCTCCCCCTCTCTATTTTATTTGCTTTCCATTCATAACACAGACATTACCATGAAAGTTTTCATTGGTTATCGATGGAGTTATTGAATGTGGTAATCAAACAACAGATTAAAACTGAGTCTCCATGAGGTGACCAGTGCATGAAGGTTTCTTTTTTTCTGAAGAAATCTCACAGGAAGAATTAAATGCTACCTCTTACAAATCAGTCCTACTGATCTAGTGTGTGTCTGGACACACCAGAGTCTTTGAGACACATCCTCACCAATAGTACTTTACCTTCTGGGTATGAATTGTGGGTCATGGTGCCTGTGCATAGCCTGTGGTCTGTAGAGAAGCCATATTGATTAATACTTTTCATGCAAATTATTCAGAAGGTTGAGGGTTTTTTTTTTAATCCCCAAACCTCTAAAAACTCATTCTTTATTTTTCAAATTTGGTCTTTTTAATTTCCTTCACAGCTAAGAGGATATGAGAGCCCCTTTGTTCTGGAGCTGCTGATTCTGGTATTCAAGGTGTTTGTTTGTTCCAAGGACTGCACTTACGATTTTAAAGTGCCATAAATTCTTCGTACTAAGCTCCTATGGTCTTTATACCACCTTACCAGTTTAGATTATGTGATCTGAAGAATGAAAAAAAAGTTTTTATGAGACTAGGTAGCTATTCGTATTATAAATATGAATTTATTAAATTTAACTGGCAAAAAGATCTATTATGAGTAAAGAAGGTGAAAATACAAGCTTAAAATATTCAGGACTGAGAATAGAGCATTTAATTTCTGATTCTCTCTGTAGGTGGGGTGTGAAATAGAATGCTAGTGTTGCTGATGCCAGAATGCTTGCCTATTTTTACACTTCCGTAAGAGATGTGGGCAATGGAAAGGGATACTTATGGAAGTACAACAGGGTTTACGTAAAAGTTCATTAGGCTTCAGGAGGGTAGCATTTGCCTTATGGAAGAGAGTGGGTCTCTTGATGCCCAAAATATATATGAGAAAGACAGCGAAGTGAAAAGGAGATGAGAATCCAGACACTCCATCAGCAGCCTTACTCTGTGACAGACCCAGAGGCAACTCCAAAGCCACGAGGGCAACTGCCTGTTCAGTTTGCCAAAGAGCCAGATGCTGTTGCTTGGAAGAATCTCTTCCACAGCTTGATGTCTGGGTCCTGTGATTGCCATCCAAAGAACAGTGGTGGGGCATGCTGGGATGAATGCAATCCCGGCATCCCACTACAGTGTTTTCTTTTTTAAAAAGAGTCATTTTAAATTAAACAAGTTTTAAAACTCACATATTATTTTCGAAAATGTAAAAAGGAAATTGGAGGATAATAGTACAAGGCAAGGCTGTCTATTTGAAAAAAAATCCTCTTGAAACTTAACTTTGCTTATGGGTCATTTTAAATTATCCCATGAGGAATGGGACATTTAGAAGAGACAAAAGACCATCCACCATTCACAGTGATGACATAAAAATCACTACAATACAGAAGAATGGTGATACGAATAATACTTATTATGTTATTCACTATGATCATTTACAATATTTATTTAAATAAAATAAAAGTAAGATATTCGATACTGTGTTTTGTAATAGAATTTTGATTGTGAGTGCCACTGAACATGTGCCTAAATAAAAAAGGCAGTAAGAAAAATTATTAGTGACATTTAAGGGGAAAAATCATGACTGCCTGAGTGTCTGATGAGTCACTGACATCTCTTCTTAAATATTATCAGTATTGTCACATGAAGCAACATCTCTCTTTTTCAAAATATGTGTTAATATTTGCTGTGTTGTAGCTAAGTGAATAATAGCTGCTGTATGTCTTTGAGTCACTCAGACTACTTCAACAAATGAATGTCATTTGATCCTAGCATACAGCCAACACCTTTGCTCTTTCCGTGTAATCTTTTATTTTTTTTAATTATGGGATTTTTTTTCCCCTTATATTCCCAGACTTTGTCTAATAGCCTAATGGTAAGTGCCTGAGCACCATAGTAAATCTATAATTTCTTTAATCATTGTGATCAATGTGAATCATGGCATGATTAATGTGGCCGGGGTAATAGGTAATGGTTAAACAGATAATCAAAATATTTGGATAGTGATAACTCACTATACAGCAGTGTTTCTCAACCAGCGACAATTTTGTCCCCCCAGGGGACATTTGGCAATGTCTGGAGACGTTTTTAGTCATCACAACTCTTATCTACTGGGTAGAGACCAGGAATGCTGCTAAACATCCTGCACTACAGAGGACAGCACCCTACAACAGAAAATTGGCCCAAAGTGTTAATAGTTCCAAGGTTGAAAAATCCTGGTGTAGAGAATGGATAACACGTATAATGATATTGACATTTTAAAAAGTTTGGTGACTACCAAAATATAGATAGCTCTGTAGTGTCGTTAATCTAGATGAAAAGAAAAAAAAATCAGTAACGAATATTTTCAAATATCTTCACATTTGGGATCATATTGACAAAGTATAAAGGCATAATATTGTTGTCACTTTCTGTAAAATATATTTCTCATCCTCACTTCACTAAGCACATAGTTAGCTACGACTGGATGACATCAACAGCAGCTTGGGGATATCATGTTCCTATTTCATAAACAGAATAATAATTCAAGAGGAAAAATATATAAAAGAATTTTCAGTTTTTAAACTTTTTTTCAATTCCAAAATTTCTTTCCAAATAATTTGAAAAATGCATAAACTTATAAAGAGGAAAATGAAAGACATCTTTAATCCAGACATCTTAAGTTTTTAGTTTCTTGAAACTTAAACTTGTGTCTATGGACATTGATTTCTTAATATAGGACCAAATACTGTTCAGCAAAATATTTTGTTATGGTTAAGTTTTCATGATATTAACTCCTTTGTCTAGCACATGTAAAGTGAAATTTATCGTTGTTTTCCTAATTGTTCTGTCCATACCAATTTGCCTCCTTTTTTCTGAGTGCAGATTTATTGGAATTTTTTCTTTCTTTTCTTTCTTTCTTTTGTAATGTATTCAGTTATATTAAGTGGAAGACATCTCCCCATAGAGAAACGGGCTTGGACCTCATCTGCCTTATCTGTTTATATCTTGTAGGACTAGTATTCTCCAACACTATGTGTGACTTGTCTCCTAGTCATTTTTTAAGTCAGATGTTTAGAACTAGTATTCTCCAACACTATGTATGACTTGTGTACTAGTAATTTTTTCTTAACTTGGGTGTTTATGCTGCAGAGCTAAAGTTGTTTAACAGGTAATAGTTTTGCCTCAGTTAAATCTATGGGTGAAGATACTGCCACTGGGCAAGACTAAGGTGGTAGTTACAATTTGGGCAGGGAGACAGGCACAGAGCCCTTGTTAGGGAATGAAACCCAGAAAGAAGGGAGGGGAGAACTGCCAGAAGATACAGCAGGCTAATATGGACAAATTACAGAAGGAAAAAGGACAAGTGGAAGATAATGCAATAATGCACAGCCTTTAAATAACACATTGAACAACAATGACTTTGCATTTAGCATTTGCGCAGTGCTATCATCCGAATGTTTGTGTCCCTCCAAAATTCATGTTAAAATCCTAACCCCTAAGGTGATGCTGTTACGAGATGGGGACTTTGGGAAGTGATTAGGTAATGAGGAAGGAGCCCTCGTGAATGGGATTAGTGTCCTTATAAAAGAGACCCCAGAGAGACCCTTACCCCTTCCATCTTGCTGTGAGGACACAGCAAGAAGGTGCCCTCTATAAACCAGAAAGCAGGCCATCACCAGTAAGGCAATCAGCAAATCTGCCTTGATTTTGCACTTCCCAGTCTTCAGAATGGTGAGCAATAAATTTCTGTTGTTTTAAAGATACCCAGTTTCTGGTATTTTGTTATAGCAGCCCAAGTAGTCTAAGAAGGGCAGTTATATGACAAGACTTTTACTTTATTTGAGGCATTAATCTTTGGTTTCCTCCTCGGACCCATATTATTAGGTTGATGCAAAAGTAGTTGCAGTTTTTGTCATTACTTTTAATGGCAAAAACTGCAATTTCTTTTGCACCAATAACTCTTGTCAGGGAAGCAGAGAAAAAATTGGAAATGGTCCCACAATTTTCAGGGTTTATGTTTTCCAGGATTTTTTTTTTAATAAGATACCATGTTTTCCAGGTTGGAATGCAATGGCTGTTCACAGGTGTGATCCCACTACCGATCAGCACTGGAGTTTTGGCCTGCTCCATTTTTGCTCTGAGCTGGTTCACCCCTCCTTGGGCAACCTGTTGGGTCTCTTGCTCTCAGGAGGTCACCATATTGATGCTGAACTTAGTGCGAACATCCGATTGCTGTAGCACAACTCCTGGGCTCAAGCCATCCTCCCACCTCAGCTTCCCAAGTAGCTGGGACTACAGGTGCATGCCACCACATCTGGCTTTTTCAGGAATTTAAAACAGTGACTAGCTCTCAAGCTACCACAAGTTCTGCCTTGGGCAGTTGACAATGCCAGTTTTATGGAAACCTCCCCACTGTATTCCTCCCTAACCTGCAGTATAAAACAAAAGCTTCACTGAACAGTTTCCAGAGCAGAACTTCTTTTCTTCTTCACAAAATAGGTCTCACCCTTGGGTAAATAATAGGTGGCACATGCAAACAGTTGTCTGGGGAAGCTGTTTATTTGTTTGTTTTTATGTACTCTGAGCAACAGAATTTAGAAGCCAGCTCTCTTGTGTCCACCAAGTTCAGGCACATGAAAGGGAACATAGTGCTTGCTTTGGCAGCGTGTACACTAAAATTGGAACAACAGAGAGAAGATTAGTATAGCCCCTGCATGAGGATGACATGCAAATTTGTGGATCGTTCCACATTTTTTAAATTACAAAAATAAAAAAAAAGAAAGAGAACATAAGTAGGGATTTTTTAAAGGATTGCAAAAGGTTCGGTGAAGAGAAATGAAATATACCACAGAATGAATAATATGCTAGTTAGTAAAAAATATATGAGTGTTCAACTGAAGTATGGATCCTTTCCACAATAATGGACAGACAAACCCTTTTGTCCTTAAGACTACACAATCCTTTGTTCTGATTCTGTGGTCTTTCTCCTCATCAACTAGCTGATTATGGGTCTCTGCTGGGCCTCCTTTAGGTCCTGTTCATATCTAAAGTTGGCCTATGCCAACCCGGTCACTTCTTTGAATCAGGGCTGACTTAGGAATTACAGAAAAATCTTGGTCTATAGGTGTTACTTGAAGTTTGAAATTTAATGTCAAGTGTCTTCATCAACTTTATGTCTACAGGTCTAGACATTTCTGTTCCTATTATTATACAAATATCAGAGGTAGCTCCTCCTTTAATTCTGTAGTTGTCTGTAAATTCTTATGACTGCCAATTATAAAACTCATTTTATTTTGTTCTGCTGCTGTAGAGGAAGGGGTCTATATATCCACCCCAGTGTTGATAGGAAGGGAATGGTAACTACTCTGGCTACTGCCTGGAGTTTTCTTTTCTTTTTTTTTTAGAGACGGCGTCTCGCTCTGTCGCCCAGGCTGGAGTGCGGTGGCGCGATCTCGGCTCACTGCAAGCTCCGCCTTCCGGGTTCACACCATTCTCCTGCCTCAGCCTCCCGAGTAGCTGGGACTACAGGCGCCCGCCACCACGCCTGGTTAGTTTTTGTATTTTTAGTAGAGACGGGGTTTCACCGTGTTAGCCAGGGTGGTCTCGATCTGCTGATCTCATGATCCACCCGCCTCAGCCTCCCAAAGTGCTGGGATTACAGGCACGAGCCACTGCGCCAGGCCTGGAGTTTTCTTTTTATTTCAGTCACTTACTTGTACATCCTTGGCTGAAGGATACTCTTTTTTCATATTCTTACATGCACTTCCATTATTAACTAAAAAATTAACTAAAGAACCATGTGCTTCTTTACTGGTTTTTGTGTTTTATATGAGGACATTTGTATGTGGTTCGTATATACAACACATTCTTCTCCCAAGAATGCCAAAAACAAAGAAAAGGAAAGGAAGGAAGGAAGGAAGGAAGGAAGGAAGGAAGGAAGGAAAAGAAAGAAAGAGAAACGTAACAGGCATGGCCGAAGAAGCACTCTAGCACTCTACTCTTGAGACTTGGGCTGAATACAGGGCCTACTTTGGTCACTGTTCTTTAAAACACAAAGGATGGAAACAACCGAAAGTGAAGAGAAGGAGCTATTATGATAGAAATGTTTTATGGGCATCTCTATGAGCATAGCACATCAAGGGCAGGTTTGTTAACCTTGAAGAAGAATGGCTAAAGAGATCATCTAATTAATGTCTTGAAAAGCGTGGATATTTTCTAGAAGAGGAATTTTTATAGTAGTTCTCCATGCCTTGAGAGATCCAAGATGATGAAAGAACTTAACATAGGAGCTGTTTCAGCAGAAACACACAGACTCACATCCCCAGCTTAGCTATCCTAGTGCTAAAACATGAGAATATGTTCATTGGTGGCCATTGTGGAATCTCTGTGTTTGGAGATCTCTGAGAAGAGATTTGTAAGTTTTGGTTAAATACCTTTGTGTACACCTGCCTGAAGGTAATCAAATGACTCTTTAAGTTTCCTTCCAGTTCTTATTCTATGAAGCAAACACAATTTTACAATTATTTTTATTAATTGCTGAGCAAAATATTTATTGCCAACTAGTAAATCCTAGGAAAGCTGTCTCATCTTTTGAGGTTGTAAGAAGTTTATGTTGTGAAGATTTGCTAGCCTTGAAATTCTCCCTTATAAAAGCTCAGAGTCCCAGATTGCATCTGTGATAGATTGTTTTGTGATATTTGGGGGGATATACTTTAAAATCTTTTTTCTTGTTCTTTATAGTCTTAGCATTATTTATACTTTAAAAAAATGTTTATTTTATGCCATAGGTTATATTTTATCCTTCAGAGCCCAGCACAAACATTTAAAAAACTAAACTATTTATTACATCTTGAATATTAGTTTTGACTGGGCGTGGTAGTGCAATGTAGCTGGGCAATGTGATGAAGACACCCAATGCAAAAAAAAAAAAAGAGACAGTTAATTTTATTATTTGAATTATCATACAGTAAAATGGACTTCTTTTGGTGTACTATTCTGTGAATATTTTAATGTACATATAGATTCATGTAACCACCACTACAATCTGGATACACCGAACTCTTTTAACATAAGATACTCTCCATATTTTAATAGCTTTGTCACTGAAATCCATTGTCTAATATAACTGCTCAATGAGCAAAATACATAGTAGAATATATAATACTTACTACAAAATGTAAAGTAGTGTTATGTACAATAAAGTGCTTTACTGAAGATATTCTTAACAGATCCAAGTTGCTGAATCAGACCCATTGTGTTCAAATGAATTTTATGCAATTCCTTGTTATTGTAACAGCTGTCATTATTAACAGACAATAGCATATGCACATAAATGTATCAATATGAATATCAATTCTCCATAATTTTGAAGATTTAATAGTGTCTCATAAGGTTTTTTAGTTTTTAAAATCTAATTTAAACTATGACATGGATTTACAATCAGACTATAACTTATAGAACTTTCTGATTTACAATCAGATTAAAACTTATAGTACTTTCACTCAATTACTTCTTGTAGAATCTACCCTGATTATGTTTTGTTTTATTTTTTCTTTAAAAGTTGCTTAGAGGCCGGGCGCGGTGGCTCATGCATATATTCCTAGCACTTTGGGAGGCCAAGGCGGGCAGATCACGAGATCAGGATATCGGGACTATCCTGGCTAACATGGTGAAACCCGTCTCTACTAAAAGTATAAAAAATTAGATGGGCATTGTGGCGGGCGCTGGTATTCCCAGCTACTCGGGAAGCTGAGGCAGGAGAATGGCATAAACCCGGGAGGCAGAGCTTGCAGTGAGCCGAGATCTCGCCATGCCACGCCACTGCACTCCAGCCCAGGAGACAGAACAACACTCATCTCAAAAAAAAAAAAAAAAAAAGTTGCTTAGAACAGATTGCAGAAAATATGACTTCCATCATAAGCCATCAAAACAAAGCAAACTCTTTGCAACACCAGATTTTTGTATCCTAAAAATATTACACTCAAGATTAAAGAAATAGGTTTGGAGGTTTTTTTATTTTTTTGAGATGGCATCTCACTCTGTCATCCAGGCTGGAGTGCAGTGGTGCAATCTTGGATCACTGCGACCTCTGCCTCCCGGGTTCCAGCGATTCTCCTGTCTCAGCCTCCCAAGTAGGTGGGATTACAGGTGTGCACCACCACGCCTGGCGAGTTTTTGTATTTTTAGTAGGGACAGGATTTCACCATGTTGTCCAGGCTGGTTTCGAACTCCTGACCTCAAGTGATCCGACTGCCTTGGCTTCCCAAAGTGCTGGGATTACAGGCATGAGCCACTGTACCCAGCCCAAGATTTGGAGATTCTACGCAACTTTTATGACTGAATTGGACACAATAAAAAGCTTGGGTCATTCTGACTTGTCTAAACTTCCTAAGAGGAATTAATACTATAGACAAGAGTCTTTTTGATACACCATTATGAGTCAGATCTTTCAGCAGTGTCAAATTTGCCTACCTGTTTGTAGATATATAGCATGTTAATAATTTACTGTAAGCCAAGTTTGTATATATGCAGGTAAATAATATAGGTAAGATAGCATTGATTTTTGGTTATGTTGTCTCTATAGATAGAAGAAAAGATAGGTTTGTAATTTTTAAGTAGCTAAGTTGAAAAAGTCAAGAATTTGTGCTCCAATAATTACAGTCAACACACTGAATCGTATTCTGTTAAACATGGCCGTTTCTTTCCACCTCTTCTTCAGAAAGGGGGTTTATTATAATAATCGTAAACAGAATACGATTAAAAGTACCTGGAAATTTAGTACCTAGTGTCAGAGAAGGTACCACAATAGTCCAATGTAATGAGGTTGGATCGCGTGTATTCTTCCAATTTTAGTCATTTGCTTTCAAAGCTATTATTTCACCCTTACTGATAACCTCTCTTCAGTTTAAAAAAAAATTACCATTAACATTCACTCACTTTTTGCAGGTTTTGAGCAGTTTTTTAATCCAACAAACTATTTTACCTTACACAATAGATGCGGTCTTAGCCAATAATCTTCATTGTTAATAACATTCAATGGCTTTTTAACAATTATATGACATCCATTGTGTTCCATTTTCTTTCTATGTCAGTAATGCCCTGTAAAGCATTCCAACTAGTAAGGTACACAAGTATCGCTTTCATAAAGCTATGCTAGCTGTCTCTAATTCAATTACTTACCTCAAAGACTTCCTTCAATGCTGCAAATTTGTCCGGACACTTCCACATTTCTGATGTTCACAGGAGCTGTTTGCAGTTGCTTGGATTGTAAAATGTTTCTTTATCTATTTTCCCTTTTTTTATATACCATTTCACTTGTCATGAAGAAATAAATGGTTTCAGATTTTTTTGATTCCTAAAGGATGATCTAGAAGTTATAGTAGTTATAGTAGTTACATAGTATAGTAGTTTAAGTGTGAAGAAGAGCATCTTGGAGGAAAAATATCAGTATCTCTACCCATGAAGAAAGCCACAGTGTTAAAGTTCAAACTGTACCACCCATGCCACTGCTCATTGCTGCTCACCACTCTTCATCTCCTTATTTCTAAGAGGAAAGCTTATTTTGGATATTTGATTACTTACTTATTATGTCTAGAGGGTGGGCAGTGGGTGGTGCTGCTCAAATGAGTGTGATTCAAGGAGCAGACCTCCAAATACACTTGAAATGCAATAAAGATCAGAAACGACAGTATCTCCCTTAATTCACAGTGGTTATGTTCCATGATCTCCACTGGATGTCTGAAACTTTGGATAATACTGAACTCTATGTATACTATGGATAATACTGAACTTTGGATAATACTGAACTCTATATATACTATGTTTTTTCCTATACATACATACCTATGACAAAATTTAATTATTAGTCATGCTAAGACATTGACTATAACATCTAATATTATAGAGCAATTATTAACAATATACTGTAATTGGCCGGGCGCGGTGGCTTATGCCTATAATCCCAGCACTTTGGGAGGCCGAGGCGGGTGGATCACCTGAGGTCGGGAGTTCGAGACCAGCCTGACCAATATGGTGAAACCCTGTATCTACTAAAAATACAAAAATTAGCCAGGCATGGTGGTGGGCGCCTATAGTCCCAGCTACTTGGGAGGCTGAGACAGAAGAATTGCTTGAACCTAGGAGGCAGAGATTGCATTGAGCCGAGATGGTGCCACTGCACTCCAGCCTGGGCAACACAGTGAGACTCTGTCTGAAAACAAAACAAAACAAAACAAAACAAAACAACAACAACAACAAAACAAAAACCAACATACTGTAATCGAAGTTTTGTGAATGTGATTTCTCTTTTTCTCTGGAATTTTCCATTTAATGTTTTTGAACCCTGGTTGATCTCAGATAACTGAAATCACCACAGGTAAGAGGGAATTGCTGTAGAGAGGATTAAACCCCTCTACATTTTGCAGTGATTGCTAAATTTATCTTTTGAAAACCCATTGGCTTTACCCCACAATTTCATCCTGGGAGAAAGTAGAAATAATGTTGAATACCTTTTCAGAAGAGTCAGTATGTAGTTCTTTGCCACTAACTAATCACGAATCATTTCTCTTATAAAATAAAAATTTGAAGTTAGTTTGTGATAGTTTTTTTTTTCTTTCTCTCTGAATTTTTAGTTATGGAAACCATAGATGCAAAATCTCTCATAGGTTTAATACCGTGGTGACTGAAATGATTAAACATTTGGCTGAAATAATTTTGCCTTTTTTTCTTAATCCCTCAATGTTAATGGTTATAACTCTCAATCCACCTATACCACTGTTAGGATTTTGAATAGTAGGACCTTGGTATTCCCACCACAATCAACCTGCTATTGCTGTTCATTGACCTAGCAAACTACCAAACGGTTATTTCTTCATGGAATATTGGCTATAAATGCATTAGTTGCAATATTATTCTTGGTGAACAATCATAGTGATGCTAAAAGGGTACTAATCAGATAGTGGTACTGCTCAAACCA
The DNA here is from genome assembly GCF_000001405.40 of Homo sapiens. Lineage (NCBI taxonomy): Eukaryota > Metazoa > Chordata > Mammalia > Primates > Hominidae > Homo > Homo sapiens. The sequence goes on from NC_000014.9 coordinate 56,831,312, forward strand.
GTATGGTTCAAGGAGCATGTATTTTGTGGTCACAGGCCATCCTCTGACTCTGAAAGACAAGGCAGAAGAGCTTGAGGGTTGCTTAAGAAAGACCACTGAGGAAGGAAGACCAGGCTGCAGGTATCTGAGTTTACCTTCGAGAGGTGACAGCCTCTCGAAAGATCACTGCTCAAGGAGTCATTTTACCTGTTCTCCAGGTTATCTATGTACACCTATCTTTTCATCTCCACTGCACAGAACTAACGTACTTCTTTTCTCACCCATATGTGATAGGCATGTGTCAGGTGGCACCTAGGATATTCAGTAGAACAGGGTGTAGATAAGCAGGTGAAAAAATTGAGACTTTCTCAAATGATTGACAGCTTATGTATGCATCAGATCTATTTAATTTTTACCCATTAGATTGAGATATGCAAAAACATGTCCAGAAAAAGGACTGAAAATAGCAGGGCAAAGTCTGGTATGACTGGGTCATCAGTAAAGAAACTCCATTTAAAAAAGTGAAAAGCAAAGAAGGAGAAAAATAGAAGTTTCATTTCAACTAACCCAATTTATTGGAGTCCAACTAATTTTTTCCCCAGAATAAGTGGGACTAAATATGTAAACTATTTTAATATAGGTTAATTAATATCATAAATACAGATTCAAGAAGAAACACTATGAGAAAAAAAGAAATAGCACTATGTTTGGTTATGTATAGGTACTAGGTGAAGGTGAATCTTCTCGTTAGTTGAGGAACCATAGTGCATAGAGATTCTTTTTCTTCTGTGAATTATCCATTGTTAATTCAAGTATGGTAGTCCACCCATGGTTCTATTCCTTCCTTCAGCAAATGCTTATTAAGCTCCACAGTGAGCTAGATGTTGTGGGGGCTATATGGAAGCATAACCCATGGGAATACATAGAAGCAAAATCCAAGTTGCTACCCTAGCAGTCAGGATCCTGGCACTCAAGGATGGTAATTGATGGTGTACTCAAGCATGGCAGTTGAGGAGATAGTAATGAAGGGAGTATTGTTGGCAGGGTTAAGGGAAACCACAAGGGGTGGTGAAGCACATGAGACTAACAACACTGGGGAGCCATTACCACCCATAAGCCTGAAGAGGTCAAGGAAAGGGCTGGGAACTGGAACCCAAGGCTAGCCGGAGCTGTGGTTGTGGCTGTAGCTGGAGGAAAGGGCCACCTGATGAATGCGGTGGCCTTCAGGAAATAAATGCTGACCCGGTGCATCCCAGCCTGGTGGGCACTGGGCAGCAAATGCTACACACCCTCTCCTCCCACCCACTGATTCCTGCTGGTGGCTTGCACTGTTTAAACTCAACCAAGAGCCAGAAAACAAGGGAACTCATTGACATAATTCAGAAGGTCGGTGTCCTGCTATACAGAGCAGGGTAGAGAAAGGTAGAAGATGGTTCTAGAGGGGCAAGTGGCATTTGCAGCATGCTGCCTTGAGACATACATGGGAAAAACCATAGCCACAAAATAAAGCTGTGATACAAAAGATGTCACAAGATGACAGTGAGTGGTATAGACAATAGGTCCAGGTTAAGGATGTAATATAACTTAGGGAAGATCCCTAGAAGAAAGGAATACTTTTTTGGGTTGGGCCTTTAAGAATGAGTAAGAATTAGATTAGCAGAGAGGAATATGGAGGACAGGGAGAACAGTGGAACAAAGACATGGAAATAGAAATAAATATATAGTATGGCTGAGAGGCTGTATCCAATTGGCTGAAGCACAGAATAGGCAGATGCAGGCATGAGTTCGAGACCAGCCTGGCCAACATGGCAAAACCCCATCTCCACTAAAAATACAAAAATTAGCTGGCCATGGTGTGCGCCTGTAGTCCCAGCTACTTGGGAGGCTGAGGCAGGAGAATTGCTTGAACCTGGGAGGTGAAGGTTGCAGTGAGCTGAGATCGCGCCATTGCACTCCAGTCTGGGTGACAAGAGTGAAACTCCATCTCAAAAAAAAAAAAAAAAAAAAAGATTCAGTTTCTTGGGAGTGATCCAGTTCCAGAAGGCAATAATTGAGAGTTTGACTCAGCCTGAACCTCATCTAGTTTAGACAGGAAGAAAGTGAACTGTGCTCTTCCAAAGCAGTTCTGATGAATCCACAACAGGTGGTCACTAAATATTTGTTGACCAAATGAATAAGTAATTAAAATTAAGTACTAGAAATTTCTATGTTTTGAAACAGTGCATAAGATGACCGTTTATATTGATTTCCAAAATCTAATCATCAAGCCAGGCACGGTGGTTCATGCACCGTTCATGCATGGTGGTTCATGCACTTTGGGAAGCTGAGGTGGGTGGATCATGAGGTCAGGAGTTCGAGACCAGCCTGACCAAGGTAGTGAAACCCCATCTCTACTAAAAATAAAATAAAAAAAAATTAGCCGGGTGTGGTGGCAGGCACCTGTAATCCCAGCTACTCTGGAGGCTGAGGCAGGAGAATCACTTGAACCCGGGAGGCAGGGGTTGCAGTGAGCAGAGGTCATGCCATTGCACTCCAGCTAATCATCATGCAGACCCACTGTGAAAGCAGGAACCTGGTCTACCTTGTTCTTAAGATAATCCCATCTCCCAGCACAGAGCCCAGCTCAGAGCTACAGCACCATCCTATATCTGTTGAATAAATGCTGGGATACATTAATAAATGAATGCATACTTGAATGCATTTATCCTTTTACAGTCGGGTTTCTTGGGGTGGTGATCCCTCCCTACCCTTTTCAGGTATAGTTACTGTTAAGGTACATTAAGTAGTCTGTCAGCCTTTTAATGACTACTTGTTTTTTGTTTTGTTATTCTTTTTCTTTTCTTTTTTCTTTTTTTTCGGAGATGGAGTTTCACTCTTTTTGCCCAGGTTGGAGTGCAATGGCAGGATCTTGGCTCCCTGCAACCTCCGCCTCCCGGGTTCAAGTGATTCTCCTGCCTCAGCCTCTCAAGTAGCTGGGATTACAGGTGTCCGCCACCATGCCTGGCTAATTTGATATTTTTAGTAGAGATGGGGTTTCACCATGTTGGCCAGGCTGGTCTCGAACTCCTGACCTCAGGTGATCTGCCTGCCTCGGCCTCCCAACGTGCTGGGATTACAGGTGTGAGCCACTGCACCCAGCCGACTACTTGTAAGTGCTTCTTAATTTTTCCTCACTTTAATTTCTTGTGAGTCTCAGATGTACAGTTGTTTAAATAGCTTAAATATAAGAGTGGGTAAAAAAACTCAGGCCCTGAATCACCTTTGAGAGGCAACCCACGAGAACAACCCATTTCAGATGCAGGGCTTCTGTCTCCAGCCTCCAGCCCAGGGTGTGCGCACCTGCAGCTGGCCTCAGTGACACTCGCTGCAGCGGAGGTGGCTCCGGGGCTCCTTTTACCTTTGTTCCTTTCTTTAAGCATTCAACTTCTTTTCCCACTGCCATTAAAATCATATTAAGTAATTCTGAAGTGCTTCCCATAAACACCAAATGAGAAGTACAACCGTGAGAACAATTACCTACCTGTGTGGAATAGGTTATTATTTTAATTTGTAATCTGAGTGACATTCATTTTAGAGAAGAGAGTATTGGGGTGTGCACCCTCCCCACATGCCCCATTTACTGAACAAAGAGTGAGCCACTTTTTTCGTCTTCCTTAATAGGTAGCTTTAACCTCACTGCCTTGTTAATTATGATACCTGAGGGTAAATTCCTGTTTACTGGCTTTTAAACATTACAATTTTTATCTGCCATCGGACACAAAGAGAGAGCTAAGTTCAAACTTATTTTATGGCTTATAGAAGCTGAAAGTCAGACAAGGTTAATATTGTCAGATGATGATAAATATGTGGTAATTTTAACTTTAAAGTGGACAGCCCTACTTTGACGGTGAATTACATTTGCACAACTGAATTTCTCATTGAGTTGAATTTCACTTTAACAATTCCTGCCTCTGTGAGGACATCCAAGGCTTTCAGGTGTCTCTAAAATCTGGGAAAACCTACTGCAATCCAATTGTGGGTGACCTCACAACAATTTGTTGCTCTGTGCAACAAATCCTTGTGTTTATATTTAGAAAGAAATAGAAAATGACTATTAGTGCCGATAGCACCCTGCTGACCTGAAGAGGGAGTTTGTGATGGAGGGGGTTTTCAGAATCTTGTGCCTGAGATAGGATGAATTCTTTTCACTTGAACAAAAGATTATTTATGATGAAAACCTTAACCTATACACTGTAAGACAGACTGAAATGTAAAAAAGGTGAAAGGACTCTGAAACACATGGATAAAAAAATGTTTTAAACATGTGTGCTAGGAATACAATTATGCATGATACCTTCAGTACTGAGTATTTGTTCTAATTTGTGAATTTTTTTCTTGTTTCAAAGATTTTCCCTCTGCTAAATATACTTAGATCTCAATGTGCAGATGTCTTTGCCAGCATTCAGTTTCTAATGTATACGTAATATTCTAAGCAAGTTTTTAGTAGAGATTATGAAATTAAACTGATACATTTAGTTTTTTTCCCCAATAATAATTATTGTGGATGCTACATAGAAATAACACAATAGTACATATTTTGAACAGAGTTGAGACCACTGTAGCATTCCAATTGGTGGATTTTCTTTTTCTTTTTAGAAGTTCATGAAGAAACGAAAAAAAAATCTGCTTTGGTCTGAAATATGAGACATGAAATCTCAGTTGAGGAGTATAATTTGGAATTATTTAAACATTTTTCAAATGTCTTCTGAACCCTAACAAATTTCAAATTGACAAACAATAAAATTAACTAGGATTTTGTTATTTCCCATCACCTCTTTCAGTAAGTAAGAAACAAAGATGGTCTACTTTTTCACTGTATTGGGCAAGCTGTAGGCATTTTAGCAAATAAGAAAAAAAAAAGACATGGTGATTTAGGATTTTTAAATTTAATTGATGGGCTATAATTATTTAATTTAATTAATTAATTTATTTATTTTTGAGACAGAGTCTTTCTCTGTTGCCCAGGGTGGAGTGCAGTGGCGCAATCTCGGCTCACTGCAACCTCCACCTCCCAGGTTCAAGCTATTCTCATGCCTCAGCCTCCAAAGTAGCTGGGACTACAGGCACACACCACCATGCCCAGCTAATTTTTGTGTTTTTAGTAGAGACGGGGTTTCGCCAGGTTGGCCAGGCTGGTCTTGAACTCCTGACCTCGTGATCCACCACTGCCCCCACCGGCCTCCCAAAGTGCCGGAATTACAGACGTGAGCCACCGTGCCCAGCCAATAATGTTAAATAAAAACATTTAAAATAAATCATCTGTAATTCCATGTCTGATAGGGTAGGCAAGGCTGCAGGAACAAAGACACCCAAACAAGTCATGGCTCAGGACAATGGAAGTTTAGTTCTTGCTCGTGTTAGAGTCCTGGGAATATAAACAGAATCGCCAGCAGCTCTCCTTTACACACTCATTTAGGGTACCAGGCTGACAGAGACTTTGCCGTCTTCAAATTATGGCTTCTATAGTCACTATGGTTATTTCCATCACAGCCAGGTGGAAGGGAGAAAGAGTACAGAGGAGTGAGAATGGGAGGGCATTATGGGCCAGGCCTGGGAGTGGCACACAAGACTTCTGTTCCCATTCCATGTGGCTGGAACTTAGTCACATGTCCACCTAACTGCAAATGTATTCTAGCTCTGTGCCTAAGAAAAAGGGTATATAGATTTTGGTCAGTAGCCAATAGCCTCTGCCACAGTCTAGCACCCTCCCGGCCTAGCAGAGTGTGTGATATATAGTATTCCATTATCATTTGTTGAATTGAGTATGTATATACTGCTTTCCAAAAACATGTATGTTTCTATGACGACACAATAGGATAGTCATGCTATTTCCTGTTTTGCTACTGTGACTTCATAGTTTATTACTTGTTTAGGTAGTTACTTATGTCCCAATTTGTTATAAAAAGAATTAAAGATACAATAATGTGGCAACATAAAATAACTTGTTATTAACTAATAAATATTTTTCTATGCTTCTGAATAGGCTTAATAATTGCAATGCTACAATTAAATTTATTAAGGCTTATTCCAAATGTTGACATATTTTTGCTTTTATACATATGATTTTTTCTTTTCTTTTCTTTTTTTTTGAGATGGAGTCTCGCTCTGTCGCCCAGGCTGGAGTGCAGTGGCACTATCTCTGCTCACTGCAAGCTCCGCCTCCTGGGTTCACGCCATTCTCCCACCTCAACCTCCCGAATAGCTGAGACTACAAGCGCCCGCTACCACACCCGGCTAATTTTTTATATTTTTAGTAGAGACAGGGTTTCACCATTCGCAGGATGGTCTCTATCTCCTGACCTTGTGATCTGCCCAACTCGGCCTCCCAAAGTGCTGGGATTACAGGCGTGAGCCACTGTGCCCGGCTACACATATGATTTAACATAACTGTAAAGGGATTATTTTTGTGCACATATATATTTATGTTGGTTGAAGTAGTTGCTTACAATAAATACTAGAAGTGAAAATATCAGATCAAAAGAAATAAACATTTTCATGATTTTTGTGAGGTATTTACAGTATTGGCAGAAATGAGTGCAAAGTTCAGTGAGGCCGCAACCTCATTAGTCTGAATGGCATTTGAAACGCATTTCAATGCCTAAAATGTGCAAAAATGATACCAATTGTTTTAATTTCTATTTCTTTGATTGTTAGTGAAATTTCCTTACTACTTTTCCCCTCTTTGGGGAAGTAATTCTTATCTCTTTAGATTTGATGACTTATTGAGTGCTATCATTAAACATGCTACTTGGAAATAAAATTTATTTTTAAAATTTTGCCAGGGCACGGGAAGTGGAAAAAATGGGGAGATGTTGGTCAAAAGGTATGAACTTTGAGTAATAAGATTAATAAGTATCTAATTTACAGTGTAATGACTATAATTAATGCTGTATTGTATACCTGAAATGTTCTAAGAGAGTAGATCTTAAGTGTTCTCACCCCACACCCCACCACACAATGGTAACTATGTGTGGTGATGGACGTGTCAACTAATTTGATTGTGGCAATCATTTTACAATGAATATGAATATCAAACCATCAGGTTGTACAGCTTGAATATATACAATTTTTATTTGTCAGTTATACCTCAATAAAGCTGGAAAATAATTTGTTTTAAATGGGATATAAATAATGTCTGTACGTTTTGCTTGGTTGGGAAACAAAAAAACACTAGTTAATTGGGAGCCCTTTTTTCTTTTTCTTTTTCTTTTTTTTTCTTTTTTTTTTTTTTTTTTGAGACACTCTTGTTGCCCAGGCTGGAGTACAATGGTACGATCTCAGCTCACTGCAACCTCTGCCTCCTGGGTTCAAGCAATTCTCCTGCCTCAGCCTCCCGAGTAGCTGGGATTATAGGCGCGCCACCACGCCCGGCTAATTTTGTATTTTTAGTAGAGACGGGGTTTCTCCATGTTGGTCAGGCTGATCTCAAACTCCCGACCTCAGGTGATCCGCCCGCCTCAGCCTCCCAAAGTGTTAGGATTACAGATGTGAGCCACTGCACCTGGCAAGAAGCTCTTCCTCTTAATTTTATGTTATTAAGAATCTATGGCTCTATGATTCATAGATACTAGCTGTATGTGACTAATATTTCTTAGTTTTAGGAACTTTGTACAAAAGATTAAACAATAATGTGTTGTTATTTTTTAAGAATATTTCAAATATCAGAAGATACAGAAAAAAATAGTGGGAAAAGTGAAAAAACCAATAAAAATAACAAGAGAAAGCCCTGGGTTCATGGTAAAGTTGAGAATTAAACTGAATTACAGCGGGAAACAGAAGTAAAGAAGAGGCAGAAACACGAAGTAACATGGGAGAAAGATGAATAGTTTTGGTCCTATACTTATAATAAATGAGGATGTGAATTATTATATAGTGATTTTCATCTCTTAAGTAGACATACATTCCACTAGAATGCAAGCTCTGTGGTGACAGTAATCTTGCCTGTTCTTGACTGTATTCCCAGCACTTAGAAGGGTGCCCATTATAGTGGTGGGCGTTTAATGATAATTTATTAAAATAGATTTGTAAGCCAAATAATTTCCAAATGGGAAAAATATACACCTTGAAATCTCATTGGAAAGGTGGCAAAAAAATAATACAAGATGGTACAGTGACCAGTGATTGTTTGATTCAAACACTGTATTAGGTCCATGCAAGTACTGTAACCACCTGGTTACAAACGGCTCACAGCCTTTTAAGTTGAGTGGCCATACCAAAAGAAGCCTTGGAAGGGGAGGGAGAATTTCACCCCACTATAATCTCAATGCCATCTCTTCTTCAAATAAGTGTGCTCTAATAAGGAGAACTGATGCTTTTATTAGTCTTAAAATATGAATAAGGCCGGGCGCGGTGGTTCACGCCTATAATCCCAGCTCTTTGGGAAGCTGAGGAGGGTGGATCAGGAGGTCAGGAGATCAAGATCAGCCTGGCCAAGATGGTGAAACCCCATCTCTACTAAAAATACAAAAATTAGCCAGGCATGGAGGTGTGCGCCTGTAGTCCCACCTACTCGGGAGGTTGAGGCAGGAGAATCGCTTGAACCTGGGAGACGGAGGTTGCAGTGAGTCGAATTCATACCACTGCACTCCAGCCTGGGTGACAGAGCAAGACTCTGCCAAAAAAAAAACAAGAAAAAAAAAACAAGAATAAAGGCATCTTTACAAGACTTTATTCTCTCATGATTTTAAACACACAGTCTAAATAAAAAGAAAACCCTTATTTTAATAAGGAGTAATGATAATTCCCTTATACTTTTCTCCTTCCACTCTGATTGCTCTTTCTGGATAGAATTCTGGAACTGCCATTGTGTAAGACAAAGAAAATAATGACATGAATAACTATTATACAAGGTTGGAAATGTTAAGGGCCCTAAGAAATGTTTAGGTAAAGTATTATGAGGGTTTGGGAAAAGGAATGATCATCCCTTCTATCAGTCAGCATCTTTGGTTGCAAACAATAGAAACTCGTAGTGGCTAATTTTACAAAGAACTTCAATGGACGGGTAAGGAGTTCTTCGTGAAATTAAACTGTAGGTCAAAGAACCCAACACTTGCAAGAACTAGAGTAGGGCAGCTACAGGGATCCACAGGTAGGAGTCATTGCTGGCCTCTTCGGGGCATCAGTGAGCTCCAGCCACTTTCTATGCTCACAAAACGAGTCAAGAGTCAAATTGCAGTGAGAGACAGAGAGAGAGAGAGAGTCCTAGCAAGTGCACAAGTACAATTCTGATTGGCCTAGCGAATCTCATATCTCCATCCCCTCACCAGAAAGCCTGGGACATTTTGAGTTATAATTCTATCAAGACTGCATGCATCCCCAAGATTGATTGTATTCTCAAAGCAAAACCAATGCATCCTAGAAGAATCCAAATCATTCTGAAAGAATGGTGAATGAATAATGTCAGGCAAGAAAAAAGCCATTGGTGTCCACAATACTTATTGGGCTTGGGATAGAGGAGTCAGAGAAACCATCATGAAAGAGTTAATATTGGAATTAGGTCTTAAAAATACACAGCATTTGAATATGTAGGGATGAAGAGGAAGGGTTAGGTTTGAAGACAAGAGATCATGGTATAAACAGAGGTACAGATGATGGACCAGAGAACAAAGTCTGTCCTACAGAGGTATACAGGGAAGAGAAAATGGTTCAGTTAGGATAGAGTATAGAGTAAGAACAAGCCATGAAGAATCATGAATACTAGCCTAAAGAGTTTGGATTTTATTCTGTAAGCAACTGATGGGCTGATATTTTTGAGATGGGAGATGTAGCTATGTAATTAGATATTGGAAGTAGTTATGTAGTTTTTTAAAGGGAAGATATCTTTGGTGACAAGGGATGGAAGGGAGGAGAAGAGATTAGATGCAAGAAAACCATTTCAGACATATTGCAAAAGTTTGGCCTTGAATTACTAAGGAGCTGAATGAGTATCATGACTGTAGGAATACAGTTGAAAAGAGAGGCACAAGAAACATTATAAAGGCAACATATAGCAACAGGGCTTGCTGTCAACCAATACCATATGAAGTGAAGCTGAATGTGGGACCGAAGACTCTATCATTAAAATTCCAGGAAATATCGTGACTGAGAAACACTAACAATGTGGCCGGGCATGGTGGCTTATACCTGTAATCCCAACACTTTGGGAGGCCAAAGTGTGCCGATCACTTGAGGACAGGAGTTCCAGACCAGCCTGGCCAACATAGCGAAACCCCAACTCTACTAAAAAATACAAAAAATTAGCCGAGTGTGGTGGCACCTGCCTGTCATCCTAGCTACTTGGGAGGCTGAGGCATGACAATCGCTTGAACCTGGGAGTGGGAGATTGCAGTGAGCCGAGATCACATCACTGCACTCCAGCCTGGGCAACAGAGTGAGACAACAACAACAAACAAACAAACAAAACAACTAGCAATGCAATTCAGCCACTGTTGCATTCCAAGTTCTTTATCAGTTAATCAAATATTCTTCATGATTACAATCAAGCTATTTGAAAAAAATTCTTAAATGCATGAATACGATCCTATAGCTTGAAACTTCAAAGTGAAGGGAACCAATTCTGACAATATATATCTACCTTTCATTAAAAACAACAGGAAAGACACTCCAGGACTGGATTGGCAAACTTCTTCTGTAAAAGGTCATATGGTAAACATTTTAGGCTTTCTGGGCCATACAGTCTCTGCTGTAGTTACTCAACTGCATGAAAGCAGCTGTGAATAATATTTAAATGAATGAATGTGGTTGTGTTCCAATAAAACTTCATCTGTGGACACTGCAATTTGAATTTTATATAATTTTCATATGCTGTGAAATATTCTTTTGTTTTTTTCCTACCATTACAAAATATAAAAACTATTCTTGGCTCATAGGCCATGAAAAAAGAGAAAGTGGGCTGGACTTGTCACTTACTGTTAGTGTCATTGTCCACTACGACAGCACTGGAAATCAGGACCAACCTATCTTTCATGAGTCAATAATAATATGAACCTATTCTGAAAGTAGTAGTTGAACTAAGAGAAGGAAAATATGAGAACAGATTAATATCTCAATAATTTATTCTGTTCTACTTGTTTTTGTTTCAAATGAATGGAGTTCTTTTTAAACTTTCTTTCCTAATGTAGCAAGTTTTTTTTTTTTTTTTTTTTTACTTTCCTTTCTAATGTAGCAAGTTTCTTTTTTTTTTTTTAAACTTTCCTTTCTAATGATGTCTGTATTGTTAAAATACAGGTTAGGCTACAGTAACAGAGGCATTCTAAAATACAATGGTTTGAACAGGATAGAAATTTATTTATCTCTCAAGTAACAGTTTGAGTATAAGTAGTCTGAGGCTTGCAGGTAGGCTTGGGGGTGTCAGAGGTGCAAGCTGCTTCTGTCTTTTGCTCCATCATCCTCAACCCACAACTCTGAACTCAAAGTCATGATGGCTGCTCCGGCACCTACCATCACATTTGCATCCCAACCAGCGGTAAGAGGAGAAAGAAGCAGCAAAGGCCACACTCCTTTCCTTCAAGTGCCAGCTTGGAAGTTGTATATATTACTTCTGTTCATATTTCGTTGGTCAGAAGTTAGCGATGTACCTACATCTAGCTGCAGAGGAGGTAGGGGTTTGGAAATATAATCTTCATCTGGGAAGCCATGTACCCAACTAAAATGGGGGCGTCTATCCTTTTCTTTCTTTTTTTTTTTTTTAGACGGAGTCTCGCTCTGTCGCCCAGGCTGGAGTGCAGTGGCACAATCTCGGCTCACTGCAAGCTCCGCCTCCCGGGTTCACGCCATTCTCCTGCCTCAGCCTCCCTCAGCTGGGACTACAGGCGCCCGCCACCACACCCGGCTAATTTTTTGTATTTTTAGTAGAGACGGGGTTTCACCGTGTTAGCCAGGATTGTCTCGATCTCCTGACCTCGTGATCCGCCCGCCTCGGCCTCCCAAAGTGCTGGGATTACAGGCGTGAGCCACTGCGCCCGGCCATGGGGGCGTCTATCCTTAAAGAGATGGATAGAATAGATATTGTTAAAAATCGGAAGACAGTAGGTGATCTCTGCCAAGCGTCGCATATTACTAAACAATTTCTATACTCTATACAGAGATCATTTTAATTGCTTCAATCGGGGGAAAGAAGTTATTCAAAATATGTTTAATGATTACCTTAAATCCTAAAAATCAGAAGGAGTTATTCTGGTGGCAGCCTCTTTTCCAAGGCTTTTACCTTGGAAAAGGTAAAAGCTTCCATAAAATCAGAAATTTATTCAGCAAATATCTTTGAGCACCTATTGTGCCAGGCATTTTTCAAGGCAAATAAATGTCCCCGTTTCCCACACCACAAACAACGTTTACTCTAACACATCATCTTTGTTGAAGACATTACCTTGATTGTGTAGTAAAGGCTCCTAAAAGCATGGGGAATGAAAGATGGGAGTCCTGGTGTTAGACTACAAAGTGAGGGGTGCTTTGAGGTGGTGAGGGGCAGGGGTTGGGAGTGGTCTCCAGCCCTTCAAACTCTCCATTAGCCCTACAATTTCACCCCCAGTAAACATGGACTCCAAACAACAGACTGTTTTCTGTGTAAACATATATATATGTTGTTTTTTTTTTGAGACAGAGTCTTCCTCTGTTGCCCAGGCTGGAGTGCGGTGGCACCATCTCGGCTCACTGCAACCTCCGCCTCCTGGGTTCAAGCGATTCTCCTGCCTCAGCCACCCAAGTAGCTGGGACCGCAGGTGTGCGCCACCACACCAGGGCAATTTTTGCATTTTTAGTAAAGACAGGATTTCGCCATGCTGGCCAGGCTGATCTCGAACGCCTAACTTCAAGTTATCCGCCCGCCTCTGCCTCCCAAAGCGCTGGGATTATAGGCGTGAGTGACAGCGCCCAGTCGTGCAAACATAATTTCAAGAGAAGTTCTCTGTCTCCCTTTTCTCCCAGATTGCACCTATTCGTTTTAGAAATTCTAGACCCCTCCTGGTGGGGGGATTGGGACTGATATTTAGGTAGCTCGCTCCCAATGTTCCCAATGGGAAAATAACAGCGGATCCTCAAATAAGAGCCTACCTGCATGTGCTTGCATCTTTCCCAAGTTGTATTCTCTAAAAAGAAAGAAAAGCAAGCTGGCAAACACTAAGCACTCCACTGGCATGACTTCAGAATGCTTGTGATTAAGATATTCTGCTTATTGTTAGTCAAAGATCTAGGCCTGCCTTGCTCCACATAAATAGAAGCTCCGTTTCTCAGCTGCCTGCGCGCATCCTCTTACATGTCCTTAGGGTGCTAGAACAGCAGGACTTCTCTAAATGGTTCTTAGACTCGAAGAACATGAAAAGAAGCAGTGAAGGGCTCCTGAAAGCATTTACATTGACAAGTAATATGTATCGACAGTACCTTTTTCCTTTTCCTGCTATAAAGTGAAAGTCTTTGTGTGCCGCTTTCCGTTGTTAACTCCAAGGGTAATTGAGGCGGCAGCAGCGTGGCCAGCAGGAGGAGTTGGCTGAAATTAATTAAGTGAGGCGGTTTGGACTGCACCGTCCTCACTCCCCGGCCACTCCCTTGTACTTTAACTGGTTGGGATTCAAGGGGCATGGAGCAGGAGGGAAGAGTGACGGGGCCATGCAACGTAGAAAGAACCAGAAGTATTTGTTTGGAGTTCGGTCATTTGTTTCAGGTGGTTGGAAAAGCCACGGATTTAAAGAAAAAGCCCCTTTGGTTTCTATAGCATGAGTCAAAGCAATTAAGTACCAATAACAGCTAACACTTATTGAACCCCTTTTATATGCCAGACACTGGTTTTTGTTGTTGTTGTTGTTGTTTGTTTGTTTGTTTGTTTGTTTTTAGATAGAGTCTCACTTTGTCACTCACCCATGCTGGAGTGCAGTGGTGCGATCTCGGCTTACTGTAGCCTCGACCTCCTGGGCTCAGGTGATCCTCTGCCTCAGCCTCCCAAGTAGCTGGGATTATAGGTGCATGCCACCATGCTCAACTAAATTTTTTTGTATTTTTTGTAGAGACAGGGTTTCTCTATGTTGCCCAGGCTGGTCTCAAACTCCTGGACTCAAGTGATCTGCCTGCCTTGGCCTCTCAATGTGCTAGGATTACAGGCTTGATCCACTGCTCCCGGCCCAGACACTGTTCTAAGAGCTTTATATATCATTATCTTATTTGATTCCAATAACTCTCTGTGGTAGGTGCTCTTATTGTTTCCATCTTTCAGCTAATGAAACTGAGGCTGGAAGAGGTTAAGGTTTTCAGCAGCAGGCCCAGAATTCTATCGTTGGCAGTCTGACTCCAGAGAAGGAAGCCATCCACTGTGCAGGGCAGTGATGCCTCAGAGATAGTCGAATGCCTGATTGTTATTTCCCTCTAGATTTACATCCTTGATTTTTGTGCCAGATGAGGGTATAGATTTGTATGTCTTAGTTGAAGAGGAAATAAAGTTAAATCATAAAGAAGAAAATGCTAGAAAAGTATGATGTTCGAAAAACTGCAAAGAGTTTGTGCCTTTTTTTCCCCCAACTGGCTGCTAACACATTTCTTGCTGTAGAGAAGTACATACAGTACAACAGTACTAGATTCTATATAAAGCAATTTATTATTTTTTGAAAAGTGATAATGGCCTTGTTTTCATCTTAAGAGTTGAGAGTGGCAAAAGACTGATAGCACCCTCAGAAGCATGCACTCAGCAAGATTCCCTAAATAGTTCTTTCCTCTCCAGTCCTGACCAAGTAACCTCTGGGCCATTCTATTCCCGGGAATCTCCTGTATAGGGCCCTGAAGAGTATGCTGATGCCTGCAACATCCTTTTAGGGTTTGAAGACCTGTAGACAAATGGCTCCTGGGGACAGGGAACATATCAAAACATAATCCTCACTCATAACAGAATTGAGTTTGGTTTGAACCCAGCAATCAAGGAATGAAAGGTGAGTGCATTAACCTACCATGTTATCTGTATAGGAGTTTTATATCTTAAATGGAACAGACATCCCTGCAAAACAATAATGGACTGAGATTAATGAGTTACAGGTGACCCTCAGACACGGGAAGGTTGACTTTGGATAAGCACCCACAAAGGTCAAGTGCTTATCTGAATTAACCACAAGTCTTGGATCTGGGGTAAAAATAAAGGACGAGAAATACCCCAGGGAGAGGCTTTCTTTAACCTGAGTTTTGTGTTCTTTCTTACCTTCTGCTAAATTCTGCATTGGATTGGACAAGCCCTTTTCTTGTGCCGTTTCCACACACATCTCTGGCCTACACTAGATCTTAGCATTGTGGAAACAGCATGAAAACCCAGAGCAATGCTTTTCAGACATCCAGGGTCTCAGGATGTATGTTGTAGATCAAATATTTTTGTTAACATAGCATTGGGTCTTTTTGACAGAGAGTTTATGACAGCAGGATGGAATCTTTGTAACTATAGTCACTTTTGCCTGGTACTGACGGGAGGATTTGCATATGTCTCATCGTACAGTACAAATATGGAGGGGTAACGATGACTTTCTCTATTGATTACTCTTGCCCTTAGGCTAGTTTTAATGTTTCCATTTAAGACAATAACTCATCCCCAGAGCAGTGCTGTATTTTGGGTTATTGAAAAACACACCTGACCACCTACCTCCATTAAATGGAGTTATATAGCAACCTAGTGTATTCTCTGGAGAGAGTATCTGCTGGGCCCTATCTTAGGAGACGAGAGGGAACAGATTGGTAGAGACTGGGGATGGAGTTGAGGGGGCTAGGGACAGACCTAGATCAGCCTTTAGAAGTTCAGTGTAGAAGGTGGAGTGTTCCCTTGGCAAGGTGAGCAGACACTCACTTAAATACAAAACACCAGGGAGTCTCCACTGCCAGATAGAATCCTGGTCCAGGTGTGTTGTCAATAATAGAGAGACACAATGAGACAACCCTCATCCACCCGCCCCTGCCAGAACTTGGAAATAAGGGAAATAAGACACCTACCGAGAGCAAAACTTTAAAAACAACGTGAACTAAAACAGAGCATAGATATGCAAAGTTTTCTTAGGGCCCTAAGAAACCTCATCAAATTCGTTAACACATGCAAAGAAAGAATGTGTTAATCAGAAGGGGGTTGGTGAACCCTGGGAGGTAGGGGGAAAAAAAAGAGCCCGTAAATCAAAGGCAGTGGAGCTGGTCCAGGCTTGTCCCTGGAAGGCCAGATCTGGCCAAAGTGTTTCAGACTGGGTTAAGCATCCACTAAACATTTACCCAACAAATCGGTATGGAGTGCCTACAATGAGTCAGGCATATATCAGACTCTGGGAAAAAGTGCCAAGCCTGGAGATGACCTCTAGAGGTTGAAGACTGACCTGAGCCAGGCACAAACTGGAAGGAGAACACACCAACATAATGAAGGAAACTTGAGACTGAGAACTTGCGGGTCTCAGGAGGAGATTTGCCTGAGGAAGTAATACTAGATCTGAGAGACAAGGGCGTGTGGGAGTGAAACGGTGCAAAGAGGTGGGTATAAGGACAGTAACTTGAACAGAGCAGCATCTGCTCAGGCAACCAGGCTGGAAAGATCTTGGTTTGCAGCCTATCTGGGGGATGGAAAGAAGGCAGGCGTGACTGGACCCACAGTGGTTTTCAAGAATAACAGATAATATTTATTGAGTTTTTGGTAGTTGCCAGACATGGTTGAAAGAAGTTTACTCTTTTAATTTTCATTATAATCCTATGAGATAAGCACTATCTTTATTCCTATTTTATTAAGGAAGAAACTATTGCACAATATAAGTAAAGAAATCACCTGAGCTGGGAATGAGAGGAACAAGGATTTGAACCATTGAGGTGTGGTCCCAGAGCCCACACTGCTATCCAGTTCTTATACTGAAGACAGGGGCTGAAGTGGCCAGACCATTGTAGGACTAGTAGGTTGAGGATTTTGTCTTCTTTTAAGAACAATATACAGTTTTAGGCCAGGCACAGTGGCTCACGCCTGTAATCCCAGCACTTTGGGAGGCCAAGGCGGGTGGATCACTTGACGTCAGGAGTTTGAAATCAGCCTGGCCAACAGGGTGAAACTCTGTCTCTACTAAAAATACAAGAATTAGCTGGGCGTGGTGGCAGGCGCCTGTAATCCCAGCTACTTGGGAAGCTGAGGCAGGAGAATCGCCTGAACCCGGGAGGCAGAGGTTGCAGTGAGCAGAGATCGCGCCACTGCACTCCAGCCTGGGTGACAGAGCAAGACTCTGTCTCAAAAGAAAGAAGAAGAGGAAAAAAACAAAAAGGAAGAATATACAGTTTTAAAGGAGTGGCCTGCTAGGATGTGTGCTCCAAAAATTATCACTCTGGCTGCAATGTGGAGAAAGAGTCACTTAGCTACCATGTCTCTAAAGCCCGACTGTGATTTTTCTTCCTGTGTAAGTCTGCTGAGAAAGACAGGATGCACAGATCATATACACTTCAAGAATTTTGCTCAGCAAGTCAATTCTTGACTGCAGGGAGAGAAGATGTAGCTCGTGTGTGTGTGTGTGTGTGTGTGTGTGTGTGTGTGTGTGTGTGTTTTGTTGTTTGTTTGTTTGTTTGTTTGTTTGAGACAGAGTCTTACTCTGTCACCCAGGCTGGAGTGCAGTGGTGCAATCTTGGCTCACTGCAACCTCCACCTCCCGGGTTCAAGCTATTCTCATGCCTCAGCCTCCAAAGTAGCTGGGACTACAGGCACACACCACCATGCCCAGCTAATGTTTGTGTTTTTAGTAGAGACGGGGTTTTGCCAGGTTGGCCAGGCTGGTGTCAAACTCCTGACCTCAGGTGATCTGTCTGCCTTGGCCTCCCAAATTACTGGGATTACAGGTGTTAGCCACTGCGCCCAGCCAATCATGTGGCTTTTGAGCTTCCAGGTCTTGTAACATTTATTTCTCAATGTAAATTAACAAAATGGTACTCTGATTTGGTACATTAGACTTAGGAGAAAGATTAGGCAGTCTGCCCTAGGACGATTGATTTACTTTCTAAAAATATGAAGTTTCTGGTTTGCTATATTAAGAATTGGGCCTTTTCTAGACCACAGTAAATTCAACACAGCAATAACTTTGCCTGTGGCTGCTCAGGAGGGAGCCTGCTCTGCTGCCTTTTCCCCAAGAGTGGCAACTGACAACCCACACCACTCAATTTCTCTGGGCTGTGCACAATAACCACAAGTCATCCTTGTCTTCTTGTTCTTCCTCTTTCTCTTCATTCTCCTCCTCTTTCTCCTCTTCTTTTTTCTTCCTCCTCCTCCTCCCTACAAGGTTTTCAGAAACCTAGGCAGGTAGGCAGTACTAGGAAAGTCTGTCAGCAGTTTTCAGATACAGAGCACTTAAATGGAAACCAATAAGAACAATATAGGATCTCAGACCTCAAAGAATTGTGGTATTAGACAGGGAAAGAAGAGAGAAATTCATGTAACATAACTGGGGAGCCAGAGAGAACCTAGATTTTGGTTTCACAATAGAAGCTTAGGGTAAGAGCCATACAGACTGGAGAAGGAAATCTGGATAACACTGTAGAGATGGTATTTAAAGCTGTGGGACTGACAACATCGTCTAGGAATCAAATGTTGTTAGGGAGAAGAGGTCTGAGCCCTAAGTTCTGGATCACTCCAACTCAGAGTCAGGGAGATGAAGAAATATAGCCTAAGACACCAGAGAAAACTCAGGAGAGCACAGCATCCTGGAAGGCAAGTGAAAAAGTGTTTGGGGGGCAGAGAGAGGAGGAGAGCGCTTAGATACATGAGATGCTTAAGTACAAATAAGATGAGGACTGAGAACTGGCCAATGGATTTGTCAATGTCCTTAGTAAACTGAACACAGGACATTTTGATGGAATATTTGCTGTGGAGAGGGAAGAAGTAGTGGGGAACTGATTGAATTGGGTTCAAGAGAGAGTAAGAGGAGAAAAATTACCAGTGAATATAAACAATTTCATGGAGAAGTTTTGCTGTCAAGAGGTTCAGAGAAATGGAGCAGTAGTTGGAGGGAGATATGGCATCAAAAGATTTTTGTTTTTATTTTATTTTAATTTAAAAAGTTTTTTTTTTTTTGAGACAGGTCTTTCTCTGTCACCCCCAACTGGAGTGCAGTAGCATGATTCTGCCTCACTGCTGCAGCCTTGAACTCAAAGGCTCAAGCGATCCTCCTGCCTCTGCCTCTGGAGTAGCTGGAACTAGAGATGCACACCACTACGCCCGGCTAGTCTTTAAAAAAATTTTTTTTTTTTCTGGAGACTGAGTCTTGCTTTTTTGCCTAGGCTGGTGTTGAACTCCTGGCCTCAAGGGATCCTCCCACCTCAGCCTCCCAAAATGCTGGGATGATAAGCATGAGCCACTGTGCCCAGGCTGTTTTATTTTTATTTTTATTTTTTGAGACAGAGTTTCACTCTTGTAGCTCAGACTGGAGTGCAGTGGTGCAATCTTGGCTCACTGCAACCTCCGCCTCCCAGGTTCAAGTGATTCTCCTGCCTCAGCCTCCCAAGTAGCTGGAACTACAGGTGGGTGCCAACATGCCCGGCTAATTTTTTGTATTTTTGTTAGAGATGGGGTTTCACCATGTTGGCCAGGGTGGTCTGAAACTCCTGACCTCAGGTGATCCACCTGCCTTGGGTTCCCAAAGTGTTGGGATTACAGGTGTGAGCCACCGCATCCGGCTTATTTTATTTTTAATGAAAGAAACAAGAGCCTGTTTATATGTTATTGCAACAGTCCAGCAAAATGAGGGAAATTCATGATGCAGGAGAGAGGGGAGGGATCTAGTATGTGAGTCGGAGACTGGTCTTGATTGGCCTCAATAATCCATCCAAAGTCACAGAAGGAATGGTGGGGTATACAGGCTCTGATGCTAGTAGCTAGGGAGATGTAATGGTGGGACATGAAGAAGATTGTCCTGGGCGCTTCTATTTTCTTGGTGAAACAGGAAGCCAGTGAATGATGATGGGTGGGCAGGTTGTGAAGGACTGAGGAGAGAAGTGATGAAAGAGTTGTTGAGAAGGGTGGAAGAGGGAATGGACGAGGACAATGGATGACAGCTGGGCAGCATTCATGGCTCACAGGAGGTTATAATGACCATGATTTAGCCTGAGACCAACAAGCATGGTTGTGTGTTTTTCTCCAGCACATTTAGTGGCAGGGATGCAGACACAGAATGGGCAGGAAGTCGGATTGAATTGGGGTGAGAATTTGCCAGTACAGTACAGTGAGAGAGGAGCAAGGGAGTTGAGGGAGCTTGGAAAAGAAAGGCTGGGCACGACGGCTCACACCTGTAATTCCAGTGTTTTGGGAGGCTGAGGTGGGTGGATTATGAGGTCAGGAGTTCAAGACCAGCCTGGCCAACATGGTAAAACCCTCTCTCTACTAAAAATACAAAAATTAGCTGAAAGTTTTGGCGCACGCCTGTAGTCGCAGTTACTTGGGAGGCTGAGGCAGGAGAATCACTTGAACCCAGGAGGCGGAGGTTGCAGTGAGCCAAGATCACGCCCCTGCACTCCAGCCTGGGCAACAGAACGAGATTCTGTCTCAAAAAAATAAATAAATAAATAAATAAATAATAAAAATAATGATGACTTTTGGAATTTAAGCAGGGTAAGAAGGAGGAAAGTGAGGATGTGTGAGGGGTGCTGACAGAGACAGGCGGTAGGATCCACCTCGTAGGGCTCTAAATTCCAGTGGAGTCAAAAAAATATGTGCTCCAAATGGCATTTCTGGCCCTTGTGCTAACAAATCTGTCCAAATCCTAGTGTTCAAATTTATTTAAATATTGATGGAGATAATAATAACAAACATATACACAAATTGTTCATATTTTTCTTCTTTACCAGAAAATTAGGATAGTGCCCCAACCTCAGGTTTATAGTCTGTCAGTGATTCTTCAAAGGTTTTTAGAGAATAAGAGGAAGACCACAGAAAGGCCAAGATAAGACGAAATGTCAGAAAAGGAAAGGTCTGGAGAAAAAGCCTTTTAAATACAATGTTTGGCCAGGCACAGGGGCTCACGCCCATAATCCCAACACTTTGGGAGGCTGAGGCAGGAGGATGACTTGAAGCCTGGAGTTCAAGACCAGCCTGGACAAAAAGTGAGAGCCTGGCTCTACAAAAATTTTTTAAACATAGCCAGGTATGGTGCCGTGCATGTGTACTCCCAGCTACTCAGGAGGCTGAGGCAGGAGGATTGCTTGAGTTTAGGAGTTCAAGGCTGTAGTGAGCTATGGTCATCCCAGTGCTCTCCAGCCTGGGTGACGGAGTGAGACCCCATCTCTTAAAAACAAAAAGACAATGTTTTACCTGAGAACTTAGTTTATGGATGATATCAAGAAATATCACTGTGGGAAATATGTGCTAGAAACTTGATAATCACTTCACTGAGGAATATGGCTCTGAAATGCTGGCAGATGTCTTTGTGCAGTGACCACAAGATAGGTAGTTACCTGAAGCTTATCCTGTGGGAATTCTCATGTTTATGACCCTCTGGTCATCAGCCAAGGGTTATTTGGTAGTTTAGACTTTTAAATCAGAAATGGGACTTTTACATCATTTGGACCAATCCTTTCCAACTGTAAATTTTATCAGTTTATAGTTGATAAAATTGGGCCCTAGCAAGGTGAAATCTGTTTTCTATATTCTGTGGTAATACAGGAGATACATTCTGGCCTCTGGCTGGGATCAAAGTATCCCCTTCTTCCAAGCTTCTGTGTGCGACTCGTTTCCTGTCATGGCCTCCCTTGTCCTGTATTAAAAGTGTGGCTTGCTCTCAGGATTGAGATGCCCTTCCCATGACCCAGGAAGCACAAACTTCTGGCTTCCTGTACTGTTATGCATGGGATGGAGCAAGAAGTTTTTGTTTCTGTTTTTCAAATTGGATACAAACTTTATTAATGAGAACCATCAAAGACTGAGGGATGAGGAGGGAACAAGGTTTTCATCCCTCTTTAGAATAAATTATATAGAAGAGAAATAAAGATGATAAGTGAACTTTGTTGGAAAGAGTATAGGTTTTGGAGTTCAACAATAACACTAGTCAGTATACACTGAGTGTTTACTTTTTGCTGGCATTGTCCTCTTTCACATCTTGATGTCACTGATTACTAGCAATGTGGTCTTTGGCAGGTTACCTAATTTCTCTGAACTTTATTTATTTATTTATTTATTTATTTTTGAGATGGAGTTTGGCTCTCGTTGCCCAGGCTGGAGTGCAATGGCGTGATCTTGGCTCACTGCAACCTCTGCCTCCCGGGTTCAAGCGATTCTCGTGTCTCAGCCTCCCGAGTAGCTGGGATTAGAGGCATATGCCACCACACCTGACTAATTTTGTATTTGTAGTAGAGATGAGGTTTTTCCATGTTGGTCAGGTTGGTCTTGAACTCCCGACCTCAGGTGATCCCCCCACCTCAGCCTCCCAAAGTGCTGGGATTACAGGCATGAGCCACCACGCCCGGCCTGAACTTTATTTTTTTTTAAACAAAAATATAAGTGCAAATACTTTTTTACCTGGTTTTTATTGTACAATATGAAATTTGATAGGCATGTGAAACTATCTGGCATATAACAGGTGCTCAATAAATGTTCATTGTTCTTTCTACCTTTCCCCTCAAGATTCCTGAGGTTTAAAAATACCTTTTCAGGTTTTGAGCTGTTCAAAAATGTCAACAGCAAGGGTGGAATGGTTATGATTAGAACCGTTTGATAGTGTGTATTCAATTTTGTAATGTGACCTGATATCAACAGCCAAGATCTTTGTCCTGAAGGGAATTTCAATATTCAGCAAAGTGGGGCTGATTTAATAGCCATTATTTCTGAGGGTATGTTCAAGTTCAAAGTCCGTCTGTTTTAAATGCAAATCGCTCTTTTTCATGTATTTTGTATCGGAATTTAGGAACAAATGCTGTCATTTTTCTTTTTCTTTGCATGGTATTGCAGGCACCTTTATTATCACAGAGCCCTATTATTGTGATACCTCACACAGAAAATGCACACTCTGACATTAGGCACCAAAATTGCTGAAATATCCTGTGTTTTCTATTCATTAAAGCCCCAAAGCACTATGTGCAAATTCCCTTACTTTAATTACACACCTCAGGGATGTGCATGCCAAAAAAGAGCCAGTCAGACAAAAAGCCAGACCTTTGCCAAAAAATCCCAGCCCCTTAAACTGGTAAACATTTATTTTCAGCTGGGAAATCTGCTATTAATTCATATAGTGACTTTCCCAGCTGAAATAATGAGTCAAGCCAAGTGAACCAAATGTTCCGCAGTGAGCAAACATGAACAGTAGGGAAGCAGCCCATCTCTTATTTACATATTTGTTCTTTCAGCACTTAAGGAATATGTGTATATTTCCCTTTTACCTGGGAGTGTATCAGTATTTTCCTTTTACCTGGACGTATACCAGTGTTGATGCTTCTAGTGTCTCAGTTTCCAAAAAGAACTTATAGACTCCATTGTAGGTAGGTGCTTTAGGAAGAGGCAAATCACCAAACCAAAGTATTTGTTAGAGTTTAAGAGCAAAACCTTGCCACCAGCCTCACTGACTTTCCTATTTTATTGAAGTTCTTAAAAGAACAGAATTAGAGAAAACATGGGGTTTTGAGGAAAATGCTCTTTCAGAATTATTTCTGAAAAAAAATTAATGAAAATTCTAAACTTATGAATAAGAAAATATATTGTTTCATTAGGCAAAGTAGGGATTAAAATATATTTTAAAAGATTTTTAAATTTTTCAGAGAATTGTTTTTCATTTCCATTTAATTACAAGCTTTGAGGTGTGGAAAATAAGAAAGGAAATAGCTATCCACATAAACTTTATGCATATGACAAGGTAGAGTATTATTTACACTTTCTTTTTAAGGCCTGAATGCACACAAAATACACTCAGATCCTAGAATAGTAAGTTACCCTATGTGTGTAGAACTTAGAATAAAAAGTAGTTTGTATAGAATAGCATGCATGAAGGCTTCATGGACAGCAAAGAAGGAAGGAGAACTCGTTAAATTAACACATGAAATAGCAAGTCAGAGAATCAAAAGGCCAATACATTGATTAATTCCTATGATGATGTAGAGTATCTATTCAGCAGTCAATTAACCGTTTAACATATTCTTGATATAAAGGAAGTTAAAAAAATCTCCAAACTCATATAAAGCTATAATCCATAATTGGAGTTTTAATGCCTCTCTTAATATAAGGTTGAATACAGAGTTTTAATCTATTCTCAAAGAATAAAATGCTTTACATTTTAATGAAGGTGTGGTTTTGATAATAACAAACCTGAGAAAAAGTAGCTTTTAATTCGCAACACTTTAAAATCAAGGAAACTACCTTTGAACCTTTTTTTCTAAATGAAATTTTTAGCAGACACATGTTTTTTTAGCAATGAATAAAATGGATGAGAATTCTTTTTTGTTCTATAAGAAGCAGCAATACCCTATTAATTTTGACAGACAACTTGGCATTAGCCATTTTAAAATCCAACGTGGGATGAAGTTATGCATTACTAGTCTCTCTACATTTTTGTCAAGAGATGAACATTTTGCCAGATTTTTAATAATATGCCAAGAGCTTTGTCAGTCAGTTTATTTAGCTCTGCATGGTTATGCCAGTTTTTGTCCACCACCCCACTGGGTGTAACACTGCCCGCCACAGCTCACATAACTCCTCCCCTGCAATTAGACAAAGTCAACACAGCAATCACTCCCAACCGCCCTTGAGGTACCTGCACTATCAACAGTGCAGATTCCGAGGCTTGAACAAGCTTTGCTTTGTCACTGCCTCCCTACCCCAATTAGGACTTTTTTCAGCCCAGGCAATTTAGCACCAACACCATGGGTGGACCAGATAACTCTTTTAAAAAAGCCCGTTTAAGTCATTCTTCTGCCCTTCCCCCTCCAGCCCAACCCAATCAATTCTTTCTCCTCCCTCTTTTCACTACTTCCTCCACTGCCGTCCCCTCCCTGCACCTCCCCCCAGCCCCCGAGAAAGCACCCTCAGAAAGCAATAGGAGTCGGCCAGAAGGCAACTTGCAGTCCCTAACTAGTTACCATGCCGACTGGAGCCTGTGCTAAGGAATGTGCTGCTGCCACACTGAACTCAATGAAAAGATGAGGAAAATGTGCAGGCAATACTAGTTTGGCTGCGATGCTGGGGAATCTGAGACAGGGCTATTGGTATGGAAGGATCTCACTGCATGCAATTTGCAAACATGCCAACTCAATAGCATGTGATAGGCACTGGATGGAATTTAGAGGTCTTGGGGTCTTAAAGGGCTGGAATGGAATAAGAGAGCTGAATGGGGGGAAATGTGCCCCCATGAAACAACACTTGCCCCTTATATGTGATTTATTAATTTTAATAAGAATCTGTGTAAATTGTTAAAAGAGTTAAACTTGTTATAAACCCACTTCTTCTGAGTCCAATCATTATACCTTCTTGTTAATATTATCTGCATCTTAATTTTGACTGGCCATAAGAAAAAAAATAAATCTGACTTTCTGACTTAAAGAGTCAGCAGTAGAATTCATATGACACCAAGTTTGTGTTTTCAGGAGCTCTGATGGAGTTGTAAACAGCAAAAATATTTTCTGAACAGTTGCACAGAGAAGAGAGTTGCTTTAATTTTGTGTGGGGAAAGGTGGAGGCAGAAGGCAGTCCATGAAGAGCAGAATTTTGAGAAGTGAAGAGTTCCATGGTCTTTCCATCCAGAGGGAGGCAGATTTGGGTTTACACTAGGGTATTTCAAGGGAGTCTCCCTTGGCCTGGAGAACTGGGCTGCCATGAGATTATTCTTAATTTACAGTTGCCTTTGGGATATTGAGGGTAGATACAGGTCTACCACGGGACTAGGTTCACTCCAACAAAATTTCTATCCAAAACCGCTCTTCTAGTTCCATGTTCATGCGAACCAGAGACTAGCTTGGATTTTCTGGAGAGGGTGGGAAGAATTTTCCAAAGTGAACGTGATTCAGGATGACTATACCTCACACTCAGATTAGTAAAATTTCCTTCTTCTTGCCTTTTCTGTCTTCCACATCGATTGACTGCAAACTGTCCTGCACATCGCTGGCAAAATAGTTTTCTATGCTTGCCAATTCGACCCTGTCTTTTCGTTGCCCACAGCCTCCCCATGGCTCTTCATTGCCATGGCAACCACATGTCCTGGATTTTTCAGGACATTTTTTATTTCAAATATTCTGTCATGTGGTCAAACCATGTGTCAGATCATATGCCAAAAGATATGTTCTGATTTGGGTTTTGAAAATATGGTCACTATACCCATTGCTCCCAAGATATGACCGTTGTTTGCCCTTCCCTTGTCTAGTTTACTAAAGCAGACATAGAGTTTCCCTTTTAATATAATAATATCTTTAACTTGGAAATACATAATATTTTGCAGAGTACTTTCACATGATCAATTCAATGGATCCTTTCCTACCTGTGGGGTAGGCAACGTAGGAGACATTTCCATTTTACAGATGAGAAAATTGGGGCACAGAGTGGTTAATTGACTTTCTATCATTCCCAGAGTGGCAAAATGATTGAAATTCCAGCCTTCTGACTCTAATGTCTTTTTTCTCCAACATACGGCTTCCAAATATAAATGTGATGCTTTATACTCTAGGTTTGTTTGCCACTTACATCCCTGAAAGGCTGTCTTTCAGGGGACCATTTGACTGTAGGAGACCAACTCTTTCTTGATATATGCTTCACATCAGCTCATGATGTTGAACAACAGTTGAGGGGAAAGGCTTGAAGGTAGAAGAACTGGGGGACTGAGATGCTAATAATCAACATCATACATAATTTAAAAGAAAGAGAGAGAAAGAAGGAGGAGGAGGGGGAGAAGGGGAGAAGGAAAAGGAAAAAGAAAATAAAAAAGAAAAGAGTTTTAGAGAATCTGCTCAACAGTTACACCAGTGATATTTCCGAAAGTCAGGCTTATTTAGCACATGTCTGCAATGTTTGTAAATATCTGCTTCTTAATGTTATTAGTTCTCAAAAATAGTATCATTGTGTTAAATTCTTCCATGTTGTATGGTGCTAGATGCTATACGTGAGAATAAAAAAGAGGAGAAAATGCGTATTACTAGCCTAGTTATTCATTTATGTATTCAATAATTAATTTGACAGATATCAAGCACCAACTTTGTGCCAGGTGCTATACTAGACACTACAGATACAGTGGTGACGTCTCAGAGCTTATAGCCCGGTGATAATTATTGATTGTAATAAGGGCTACAAAGAAGATAAACAGGAGTATGTGATAAAGAGAACTGCAGGAAGCTAGGGAGGTGCTAGGGAGAGCGACTTCAGATAGAGTGGCCAGGGAAAGCTTCTCTGCGAAGGTGTTGTTTAAACTGACACTGGAAGGATGATAAGGAGCCAGAGACGTGCACAGAGCTGGGGAAAGAGCATTTCAGAAACAGGAAGCAAGAAGCACGAAGCCCTGTGCTTGTTACTCTATGTGCCTATTGCATAGTGACCAAGCTGTCGGGGCGTGGGAGAAAGGTATGAGGTGAGGCTACAGAGTTTTACTGGCCTTGAAGATCATGGTAAGGGGTTGAGGTTATATTCTTTTTTCTTCCCCGCAAAAGACACCATTGTTCCAATTTGTTATTCAGTATAGTCAGAGTTAGTAATCATGAGAGCAGCAGGCGTAGCTAATGTTTATTCCTTTGTGTACTAAGTGCCAGCTATTGCAGATGCATTATCACATTCAATCTGCACAATAAATAATAATAGTAATAATAATTATTATTATTTTTGAGACAGTCTTGCTCTGTTGCCCAGGTTGGAGTTGGAGTGCAGTGGTACGATCTCAGCTCACTGCAACCTCCACCTCCCGGGCTCAAGCGATCCTTGTGCCTCAGCCTCCTGAGTAGCTGAGATTACAGGCATGCACCACCATGTCTGGCTGAATTTTTTTTTTTTTTTTTTTGGTAGAGATAGGGTTTCGCCATGTTGGCCAGGCTGGTCTTGAACTCCTGACCTCAAGTGATCTACCCGCCTCAGCCTCCCAAAGTGTTGGGATTATAGGTGTGAGCCACTGTGCCCAGCCACAGTAAGATTATTATTATTATCCCCATTTTAAAGGTGGAGAAGCCGAGGCTTTGAGAGGATGAGTAGCTAGTGAAGGTCACATAGCTAGGAAGTAGGGGGCCAGAATTCCAACCCAGGCCTAGTCTGACATTAGGGCTAGTGTGTATTTTTGTTCTGTTTAGTTTTTTTCAGTGAACCTAAAAGGACTATTTCATACTGTTTTTGTTGATTAGGAATTAAATTGTTTTGTATGAAATATCATTTGAAATTCCTCAATAACATCTGGGGCTCAGAAATATCTTTTTTGTATATATTTAAGGTGCACAATATGATTTTTTGATACTTAGCTTGATATACATATATGTAGTGAGTGAAGTGGTTACTACAGTCAAGCAAATTAACATACCTATTGTCTTATATACTTACCTGTGTGTGTGTGTGTCTGTGTGTGTGTGTGTGTGTGTGTGTGTGTGTGCGCGTGTGGTAAGAGTACCTAAAATTTACTCTTTTGGCAAATTACCAGGATACAATATGATATTACAAACTAGAGTCCTCATGTTGTGCAATTACGAACTAGAGTCTTCACGTTGTGCAAACAGATCTCTAGACTTATTAATGCTACATTACTGCAACTTTGTACCTTTTGATCTACATCTTCTTATTTCCTCCTGTGCTCCCCACAAATCCTGTTTTCACTGTTTTTATGTATTTGTTTTTTTTTTTAAACTAGAAGACATTATGCTAAGGAAATAGGCCAGACACAGAAAGAAAAATACTAGTTGGGACTAAATTCTAAGAACAATACAAAGTCACAGAAGCCATTGAAGAGAGAGACTTTTAGATAAGATTCTTTTAGGAAAAACCTGCAATATTGCTCCTGAACCCGATTCTTATCCCAAAGGCCAGAGACTACAGAAGCAATGCTATCGGTAGAATATTGAATTCCCAGGAGCTATTTGTGCAACATTATAAAGCTCTTTACCCTCTAAAAATGTTAAGAGCAGAATGTTTATGATAGATTTCAAAATGTAGGTGAGCCACTCATTCATTAGCACCTCTGATATGCCAGGTTCTACATGATCTAGGCTTCTTAACTCAAGATCAATACTATCCAGTCATGGGAATGTAACCAAAGCTAATTTGGGAGGAGAGGACATGAAAATAGAAATAAGCAGGCAGATTGTTTCTGGCTAGACAGGGATGGAGAGGATTTGTTATTAAGCAGAGATGGGTTTACATTCTAATTGATGTTGGTGTCTTCAGTCTTAACGTTTTGCCAGAAAATGAACGGGAGGCGGCAGTGGTAGGTGACAGAAGCTTTTCTGCATAACAGTTTACCATGGAATCCACTCACCAGGCTGGGATTTAAATTTGGCTGTAACTCTCGTCAGGGCAGAATATGAGTGGTGTGTGCTTCTTTCTATTGTGGTCCATGGTTATGTCTGCATAATAACTATTGCAAAGAAAGGTGAAAACTTTTGGTTAATTATCAGATGCTTTGCAATGGTCAGACATAATGCATAATACATGTCTCATGGATTTCAGTTTTTAGTTGGATGTGTTGGCATTAAAGTGAGTGTTTGCTAAGGATGGGCACAGATGAACATGTGACCCTCAAAGGAAGCTGGCTTAATGCATTGTTGCATAATAAAGCCAGGAGTCTCTCTCTATATATACATGTGTGTATGTATATACGTGTGTGTGTGTGTGTGTATTTTTAATCAAATGTTATGGTTCTCATTCTATATGCTTTATTTGTTAGGAATAAAGCATCAAAACAGTTTTAGAAAAGGAGCGATTGTTGGATGATTTATATTTAATTTGCTACACTGTTGGAGAGAAAAAGATTAAAAGCAAATTCCAGCTCAAAATCATAGCTTCTTTCAGTCTTGAAGGTATATATATATATCTTCATATACATACACACATACATATATACATATATATATATACACACACACATACATATTTATGTATGTTTTTAGAGACGGGGTCTCACTATTTGCCTAGATTAGTGTCAAACTCCTGGAGTCAAACTCACTGGGAGGACGTAAGCCATTCTCCCTCTCAGTCTCCTCAAGTATCTGTCTGGAAAGGTATATTTTTAAGAGCAGACATACAGCTAACCCAAACATACCACAGCAGGTCAAGAATCCCTATTCAAGAGGGTTTCCTAATGGAAAAAGTCAGAGAACTAGTTCATTTGAGTAAATGTAGCTTATTTTTATGCTATTTCCAGAATAATCACCTTAAATCTATTTTAATAGTCTCACAACAATGCAAAGATTCCATGTTACAAAGTAAGCCTTAGAATTCTAAACCTGTAATGTCAGGTAGGCCCTAAGATTTATTCATGCAGCAATGATAGGCTAAATATCTAATTACTCATTTGTTAAAACACACAGAGCAAAAATAGATTTTCTTTTAAAAGCATTGGTTTTCCCATTTTGCTCTTTGGATTTGAGTCTTTCAGATTACATAACATGGGGCAAATGCTTAAAAGCTAAAACATACATAAGCTACTTCATACTATATTTTATTGCTTTTTAATTTATTTAACTTAAAAATTAAGTTCTATAGTGCAGTTAATATAAGAAAAAGTATAAATTTTTTTAAAAGAGGCATAGCTATATTCTCCAGCTGTTGGTCTGTACCGTTAAATTACCAGTTTTTAAAATTAAAAAAAAAAACAGTTAAAAATATTTGTTAAATAGGTGACTGGGCCAGATGCGGTGGCTCATGCCTATAATCCCAGCACTCTGGAAGGCCGAAGTGGGAGGATTACCTGAGCTCAGGAGTTCGAGACCAGCCTAGGCAACATAGCAAGACCTCATCTCTTAAAAAGAAAAAATTAGCTAGCATACTTGTGTGCACCTGTAGTCCCAGCTACTGGGAGGCTGAGGTGGAAGCATCACTTGAGCCCAGGATTTTGAGACTGCAGCAAGCTGATTGTGCCAGTGCACTTCAGCCTAGGCAACAGAGCACCACCCTGTCTCGAAAAAAAAAAATTTAATGGGTGACTGAAGTTTTCTCTCTACATTCATTAATAAATAGCTTTCAGTGCCCACTGTGTGCCAGGCACAGGGCCAGGATCTAGGGATACAGCAAGGAGAGCAACCCACTTTATTTTTGGATGGGGTTTAAAGGTGTGGACGTGGGATAGGAGACAAACGAGAAAGGAAAAAGGGCTTTAGAGCAGCCAGTTTTGACAGGTATTCCTGCCAGTGACCTTATGCATCCAGTAACTAAGCATGAACATTCTTCTTATTGGTAGTTGTGACCCTCTGATACTAAAGAGATTTCCCCCAAGTTGTCTTATTACATGTCCCACAATAGATGACATTCACAGCCTTCACATACTTCATCACTGAACTCACAACTAGCAGTAGGCTCCTCTTTTATTTTCCATGAACTGATTTTAATTCGGAGAATATTGTAGTTTTTTTTTTTTCTGTCCCAACGTTTTGGCACGTTTGTGTATTCCTCAGAGTACAGCTTCCTATGAGAACACCCTAAGCTTGAATGCTTTGGGGCAGATGTGGGCGATGGTGAGAGGGGAAATAGGACGGGAGGGCTTGAAATCTTTTTGGAATGTAACTTCTCTCCATGAATGCATTTGCATCCACTAGTCTACATTCCCTTGAATCTGTTCTATTTCTGCCATTTAGTGTAAGCATCACAGAAGATGCTGGCTGCCACCGCGGGAGAACAGAGAGTTTTGGTGACTCAGAAAATAACCATATGGCATTCAAGCTTCTTTATGTTGCCCAAAGAGAGCTCACAATAATCTGATCATGGAGTTCGTGCACTGAGAGAAACACCTCTACCACTGTGAAGCAGATTTAAAGTTGCATTTGTTTTCTTTGTCTCCTATCCAAATGAGTATGACAGAGTTTCTTTTAAGAAAATTTGCAACTCTTCCATTTTGGGTGTGTCCTCTGCCAAATGTTTTGGAGACCTTAAAGCAGGGTGCCTGGGTAGGGTTGCTGGATAAAATACTGGATGTTCAGTTAAATTTGAATTTCAGATAAACAACAAATAATTTTTTAGTATAAATATGTCTCATGCAATGCTTGGGATATGCTCATACTAAAAAAATTATTTGTGCCATCTTACATTTTTATTTGCCATATCTGGCAATGTTATGCCTGAGCAATAGGCACCAGAGTATTCATATTGTGGTATCTATAGATAGAGTATTCATATTGTGGTATGCATAGATAGATCAGATTATGATTTTTATTTATTTATTTATTTTGAGACAAGGTCTTATTCTGTCTCCCACGCTAAAGTGCAAGGGTGCAATCTTGGCTCGCTGCTAACCTCTGCCTCCCAACCTTTAGCAGTCCTCCCACCTCAGCCTCCCGAGTAGCTGGGACCATAGGTGTGTGCCACAACACTGGGCTAAGTTTTGTGGGTTTTTTTTCAGTTTAGTTTGATTTTTGTTTTTGTTTTTCTTTTTGGGTAGAGATGGAGTTTCACCATATTGCCCAGGCTGGTCTCAAACTCCTGGGCTCAAGTGATCCTCCTGCCTCGGCCTCCTAAAGTGCTGGGGTTACAGGCGTGAGGCACAAAACCTGGCCCAGATTATGATTTTATGGCACTGTTGACAGCACAGTTTTGGAGCCTTCCATAGCAGCACCACAAACATTGTCTGTCAAGTGTCTACATGCTCATCAGAGTTGTGCTGGCTGCCATGCCGAGTTAAAGTGGACTTGGTCCTTTCAATCTAGAAAGACAACAAGAACAGGACAATATCAACAGTGAGAGACCAGATAAAAAGAAAAGGAAACATGAAAAATTTGACATACATCAAAGGAGTATGTACAACAAATAAAGTGCATCTATTATGTGGACAACTCATTGTTGGGAACTGACACGAGACCATAAACATTTCACAGAAGTCACTGGGCAACTGTTCATATCTTCTGTTTGGAGACAAAACAATATCTCAGGAGCAAAAGAATCTCTACTTCCTTTAACTCCCAGAATTGCACCAATTCCAGAATCGCACCAATTCCAGAATCACCTCAACATCTCATCTCTGCAAGACATTTCATGGGATGATAAAATTATATGTATATATAAAAAGGCATATGCACATATGTAATTTACACACATATATATCATTAAGGGAAAATGTAGCCATTGATACAATCAGAAAATTCTCACATATTTATGCATAATCTCTCGGATCAATTTGCCATCAGTAATGAATTGGATTGTAAATGTATTCAGATCAATGGTGCAGTGGCCGCTTTGATCACTAAGATGATGGAAATGACCCAGTTTATTGTGCCACAACCTAGTCTTATGGTGAGTACTCACTTGGCAACCAGCTTATCAAACTTTAGAATTTCATTTTAAATGATTGGTCCAGAATGCCCATAGGTAGGATTGGCGTAGCCTGAGAGATTGTCAGGTTATCTGTGCATATTTTCATATTTTTTTCTTATTACAAAAGTTATACATAACCATTATAGAGAGTTTAAGAAAAATAAGATAATAAGAAAAAAAAAGCTTATGCCAGGCATGGTGGCTCATGCCTGTAATCCCAGCACTTTGGGAGGCCAAGGCAGGCATATCACTTGAGGTCAGGAGTTCGAGACCAGCCTGACCAACATGGTGAAACCCTGTCTCTATTAAAAATACAAAAAAATTAGCCAGTCATGGTGGCTCATGCCTGTAATCTCAGCGACCCGGGAGGCTGAGGCAGGAGAATCGCTTGAACCCAGGAGACAGAGGTTTCAGTGAGCTGAGATCGCGCCACTGCACTCCAGCCTGGGCGACACAGTGAGACTTGGTCTCAAAAACAAACACACACACACGCATACACACACACACACAGAAAAAAAAAAAAAAGCAACCATAATCTCAGGTCTCTGAATTCCTCTTTAAAATGACTAATAGTGACACATTTCAAATAACCCCAAAAGAATAGGAATCTGTCACATTTCTATCCATCACCAATACATTTATCATTATTATTATTATTATTATTACTTGGTTTATATTTCTAATTTTAAAAGAATTTTCTATATTTTGAAGGAATAAAATATAACAGATACTGCTAAAAACCCATCTTTTTTCTTTCCTTCCCTTGCCAGGAGCAACCACTGCCTTGAAATTATTGTGTGTCATTCCCATGAATGCTTTTGTCCTTTTACAATCTATGTATGGGTACATAAATTATTGTTTTGTGTATTTAGAAAAAGAAGAACACTGCACATATTCATTGGAATTCATTTTTTTCACTTGCTTCATATTTTGTAGATTAATTTATGTTAATACATGTAGACGTAATGCATTTACTTAAACTGCTGTAAAGTATCCCACTGAATGAATATGTCTATTCCTACAATGAGGGACAGTTAGAATGTTTGCATGGTTTTCTTTGATACAGTGTAGCAATGGGTGCTTCCAAGTACACATATTCAATATATATATATATATATTTTAAATAGAGACAAGGTCTTGCTGTGTTGGCCAGACTGGTCTCCAACTCCTGGCCTCAAGTGATCCTCCTGCTTCAGCCTCCAAAGTGCTGAGATTACAGGAGTGAGCCACAATGCCAGGCCTCAAGAATTTTTTAGGGAGGACATCTAAATGTATACTTTCTTGTAAAATATGAAAACCTTCAGTTTTTCTAAGTTTTGAAATTGCTTTTCAGAGTGAGAGCACCAATTTACACTTCCACTAGAAATGTAAAATAGTTAATTGACCCACATTTTTAAAAACACTTTGTATTGTCAGACATTAATGTTTGCCAATCTGATGATGGTGAAATAGTATCTCATTGATTTATCTTGTATTTCCCTAATTGTTACTGAAGTTGAGGATATTTTTCGTATGTTTATTTACCATTCAAATTTCTTGTTCTATCAATTCGTTATTCATAATAGATAATAAATATCTACTCATATCTATCTTTTACAAATTTTAAAGCAAAAGTTATGAATAACTTTTCACAATATCTATCTATCATAATCCCAGCTACTTAGGAGGCTGAGGCAGGAGAATCACTTGAACCTGGGAGGCAGAGGTTGCAATGAGACAAGATCATGCCACTGCACTCCAGCCTGGGTGACTGAGCAAGACTCTGTCTCAAAAAAAAAAAAAAATGGGAAATATCAAAAGTTAAGAAATGTTGAGAAGAAAATGAGAAGGTCTAACATTCATCTACCTGCACTTCATTCTAAGCATTCTCTCAGATTTATTTTATAGCCGAATGATCCTCACTTTATCTAGATCTAATATTTTAACTTATTTATTTATTTATTTTTGAGACAAAGTCTCACTCTGTTGCCAGGCTGGAGTACAGTGGCGCGATCTTGGCTCACTGCAACCTCCGCCTCCTTGGTTCAAGAGATTCTTGTGCCTCAGCCTCCCGAGTAGCTAGGATTACAGCCGACTGCCACCCCGCCTGGCTAATTTTTGTATTTTTAGTAGAAACGGGGGTTTCACCATGTTGGCCAGGCTGGTCTTGAACTCCTGACCTCAGGTAATCCACCCACCTCAGCCTCCCAAAGTGTTGGGATTACAGGCGTGAGCCACCGCGCCTGGCCTGATTTTTTTAAACAAATGAAAATTTTGTTTCTGGAAGTTTTATTTATTTTTTTCTCAACTCGGTCTATACTTTTTTTTTTTTAATACCGTATCTTGTTTTTGTGATTTTAATTCCTTCTTTATATGATTTATAACATACTTAGGGGCTGGGCATAGTAGCTCATGCCTGTAATCCCAGCACCTTGGAGGCTGAAACAGGAGGATCACTTGAGGCCAGGAGTTTGAGACCAGCCTGGGCAACATGGTGAGAACTCATCTCTACAGAATATTTAAAAAATAGCCAGTCGTGGTGGCACGTGCCTGTGATCCCAGCTACTCACAAGACTGAAGTAGGAGGATCACCTGAGTCCAGGAAGTCGAGAGTGCAGTGAGCCATGGTCATGCTACTGCACTCTAGCCTGGGTGACAGTGAGACACTGTCTCAAAACAATAAATAAAATAAGATATACTTATATCATGGTCACTTGCATTATCTGAATTTCTTGGGGCTCAATTATTGTGGATTTTAAAAAAATTATGTCTGCCTGACTTGTTTATGTAGGATTATTTATGATATGCTTTGACAATGACTGCATCTCCAATGGGAATTTATCTGTGGGAAACCTCTGGGGCCTGGGTTGAGGTATGTCCCTCTGATGCAGGTGCCAGGCACCTGAGTGGTATCACCAGATCATTGAAGGCCATCTCAAAGGTTAGCTACCACTGGCATGGAACCACTTTTTCTTTTCCTTTAGAGATGGGGTCTCACTCTTTCACCCAGGTTAGAGTGCAGTGGAAATTCACAAGCACAATCATAGATTACTGCAGCCTCGAACTCTTGGGCTCAAGTGACCCTTCACCTCAGCCTCCTGAGTAGTTGGGACTACAAGCACATGCCGCTATGCTCAGCTGGAACCACTTTTTATGTTGGTTGCTACATTTATGGGCTCCCCTGACCTTGTAGTATAAATTCCAGAGGGGGTTATTTTCTCACCTAAAGCTGTGGAAGATTCAGATAAATTTCTTGGGGGCCAGGCATGGTGGCTCATGCCTGTGATCCCAGCACTTTGGGAGGCCGAGGCAGGAGAATTGTTTCAGCCCAGGAGTTAGTGAGGCCTCGTCTGTACAAAAATTTAACAAATTAGCCAGGTGTGGTGGGGCACCTATAGTGCCAGCTCTCAGGAAGCTGAGGTGGGAGGATTGCTTGAGCCTAGGAGATCCAGGCTGCGGTTGAGCTATGATTGTGCCACTGCACTCCAGCCTGGGTGACAGTGAGACTCTGTCTTAATCTTTGTGGTTCCCCGCTCCCAGAAAAATCTAGATACATTTCTTTATCATCTCTCAGTAGCATTGGGTAGACTTTTTTTTCCCCCAGTCCTTCCCTTCACTGAAGGTCACAGTCCTGGTTTTATGCCAGGATCTTAGCTTCAATTCCACACTTTATGCTAGCTCAAAGTCTTGTCTTCTGTTTCTAACTGAGCATCAGAACTCAAGTTTCTGTGTTACAAAGGCCTATACTCTCTTTTTCTTTCTTAGATGCTTATCTATTAAAAATATTTGTATGTTTATCTAGTTTTTCTAGGTGTTTATAGGAGGAGGAATTGCAGGTTATCTAGTTTTCCATCTTAACAGCACTTGTCTTTGCTCCTGTTACGCTTTCAAGAAACAGGAGTCAAGTTATCCCTTGTGCCTGAGCTGCTTTGTGTATCTGCTATCCCTCCAGCAGGAAACAGGCAAATGCCTGGGCAAAGCAAAGCTTGAAAATGGTAAAATTCATCTTTAGCGCCTTCTCATCCAGAGCTTTCTCTCCTACCTCTCCAGTCCTCTGGAGCATCTTGTTTGTCCTTCCTCATTGAACCCTGCCCTTCCAGGATGCTCCATAGCCCTTCCAGGACTTGTCATTTGCTGTGCTTTTCCCTCTGCTTTTTGTGGAAATATGCCTCACCAGTATCTCTGCACTGTCCAAAGTGTCCAGGTGACAATTAGCTAATCTGATAAGCTCATTCATGCTAATGTGCTAATGAAAGAGGACTACAGAAGATGGCTGTCCTTCCCCTACCTCCTAATCAGGGGCTCTTCTTCTCCTGCCAGGTAACATATGTGCATAGCAGCAGTGAGCTTCTAGAGACCGCGACCCGGCTTTAGTGGTCTAACCTGGAGGATTGACGTTAATGGAATGAGATTTTTAAGTCAAGTAGGAGGAACAGCCAAGTTGAGGCAGGCAGAAGAGGGTTAGAATCAGGCAAAAATGACCCTCAGATCATTTGTGAGTGCCTACGAAGTAGAGGTTGCATTAACCCTTTCATTTCTAAAATGTAAAGAATAGAGAGTATTTCTTGGAACGTCTCTTTGCTGCATCAAAATTATTCTTATCGGAAATCCCCCTACAAAGCAAGAACCAGAACTAAGCAGAACCGATAATAGATTGGGTACATGACTACACATTCTGATATTTTCATTTTGCTGATTCCATGGGATAAGTCTACACCCCTTTTAGGGGATGGGCAAGAAAGAGATGGGTCCTTAAATTGGAGGCTAGAACATGTTCGTTTTAGACAAAATAGAGAAGGAGTGGTAACTGTTTGTCTCACCTTCTTTCTGGGTCTCATTCTATTGCATCCCAATCTCAGAAGAGTTAGGGTGTCAGCTCTTAGAAGGTGGTATAGAGGTGAGACAGGCTCATGCGGAGCTTCAGTGGGACTGATTGTGCCTTTGAGCCTCAGAGAGAAAGCCACATCTTGTAAGAAAGAGTATACAGGTATATGCATATTTATTTTATTGTTTCCCTATTTTCACAAAACAAATGTTTTGGTCTAGTTGTTACTAACTATGCTATGTGGTCTAATGAGAGGGTAGACTTTGATAACTGTGTATTTGTTACAGCTAATTGATAAATGTAACTGCCTTGAAGACATCTTATTACGGGGATCCCCAATGCCAGGGCCACGGATGGTGCCAGTCTGTGGCCTGTTAGGACCTGGGCCGCACAGCAGGAGGTGAGCGGTGCTGGGCAAGCGAGCATTACCGCCTGAGCTCCCCTTCCTGTCAGATCAGTGGTGGCATTACATTCTTACAGAAGCGCAAACCCTATTGTGAGCTGCCCATGTGAGGGATCTAGGTTGCATGCTCCTTATGAGACTCTAACTAATGCCTGATGATGTGATGTGGAACAGTTTCATCCCAAAACCACTTTCCCCACCCTCAGGTCCGTGGAAAAATTTTCTTCCATGAAACCTCTCTCTGGTGCCAAAAAGGTTGGGGACCACAGCCTTATTAGATAGAATACTGTGGCTGGCATCTTCCTTTTGCACCTTCTCTATCCACTCTCTATGTTCCCCTGCCTTCTCTCTCCTCTGGAGGCTGACCTATATGAATCGTATCAATAGGTTCTCTTGCCATTTGACCTCTGGTTGGGTTTGGCCGATGGGGCATACTGGTAGGAGGCTGGAGAGCAGGATGAGAGTGGTGCGTTGATATTCCGGGTTCCCTTCTTACAGGTTTGTTACAGGCTGGCTTTTCCTCCCTTACCTCCTCTAGAAGCCCCTCTCCACACAGCCTTCCTTTCTTTGGCTTCTGCTCTCTGCTCTTTCCTTCCTAGCCCTGAACACCTTTCTCTCTTTGTGGTTTCCTTATGCTCTGCCCAAACCTTTGTAAAGAGTTCCTTTATGAAACTCCTCAAATTGTCCTAATTTGAGTGTGCCATCTGTTTCCCACTGGGAAGCTGACTGATAAAACTCCTGAATTCTTCTTTTTATTTTTATTTTTTTTCTTAAAGTAAAAGGTGTTTTTTTGTTTTGTTTTGTTTTTCTGTTTTTGTTTTTGTTTTTTTTTTTGAGATGGAGTTTCACTGCTGTTGCCCAGGCTGGAGTGCAGTGGTGCGATGTCCACTCACTGCAACCCACACCTCCCGGGTTCAAGCAATTTTCCTACCTTAGCCTCCTGAGTAGTTGAGATTACTGGTGTATGCCACCACACCTGGCTAATTTTTGGGGTTTTAGTAGAGACAGGGTTTCACCATGTTAGCCAGGCTGGTCTCAAACTCCTGAACTCAGGTGATCCACCGGCCTGGCTTCCCAAAGTGCCAGGATTACAGGCTTGAACCACCACGCCTGGCCAAGTAAAAGGTTTTTTAAAAAATTGTGATAAAATATACATAACATAAAATTTACCATTTTGACCATTTTCAGATGTACAGTTTAGTGGCATTAAGTACATTCACAAAACTTAATGGAGATGGATGGTGGTGATGGTATAACCATTAGTAACTTTTTTTTTTTTTTTTTTTGAGACGGAGTCTTGCTCTATCGCCCAGGCTGGAGTGCAGTGGCGCGATCTCCGCTGACTGCAAACTCCGCCTTCCGGGTTCACGCCATTCTCCTGCCTTAGCCTTAGCCTCCCGAGTAGCTGGAACTTCAGGCATGTGCTACCACGCCCAGCTAATTTTTTGTATTTTAGTAGAGACGGGGTTTCACTATGTTGACCAGGATGGTCTCAATCTCCTGACCTTGTGATCCGCCTGCCTCGGCCTCCCAAAGTGCTGGGATTACAGGCATGGGCCACCGCACCCAGCCAATGTCTTGATTCTTTAGTGGTAAGAAATCATTACTTCCTTAGAAGTAATAATCTAGTTTCTTCCTGAGGGAATTTTATGGAGCAAAGCCAAATATTGACCAATAATACCTTCAAATGATATCAGCTGTGCAATTGTTGTAATATTGAAGAGCGTACTCTAATCTTGATAGTCCTTGAGAGGGCCTTTAAAAATATTGTGAAAGATCTCTTTCTTGCATTCACAGCCATTTATGAATATTGGTGTAAAGACTGAAGAGTCCAGAAGTGTCTTGCCCAGGATCCTCTGAACATGACTCGATTCCTGAGCTAGATGGTCATGGGAATAATAAATATCACTTTTGTCATGTGATGGAGACTGAAAGCATTTTGAGGATTGTATTCTAATGAACTTAGACTGACCATATGCTTTATGGAATTACTGAGCAGAACAAGGACATAACTCCCAATGTCCTGAAGAATATTTGTTCTGTCTTGAGTTTGAGTTTCCCGTTATATGTATTTTACTAATGCTGTGGGCAAAGGTGTTGAGTCAGAGGATGTTCTGGTTATTGATTTTTGCAAAACTAACTGTCCCAAAATTGAGTGGCTTGTTTATTTATTTATTTTAGGGTCAGGGTCCTGCTGCCTCACTCAGGTTGGAATGCAGTGGCATGACCATAGCTAACTGCAGCCTCCAACCCCAGGGCTCAAGCCATCTTCATGCCTCAACCTCCTGAGTAGCTGATCCTGAGTAGCTGAGGCTACAGGTGTGTGTCACCATGCCTGGCGAATTTTTAAGTTTTTGTAGAGACAGGGTCTCACTTTATTGCTCAGGCTGGTCTCAAACTTCTGGCTTCAAGCTGTACTCCCACCTTGGCCTCCCAAAGTGCTGGAATTACAGGCATGAGCCACTGCACCTGGCCAATTTCACGGCTTAAAACCAATTTGTTATTATCCTTCAGTGACTGTGCTGGCTGGGCTTAGCTGTATTGTTCTAGCTTGGGAACTCTTATGAGGCTGCAGTCAAATGGTGGCCAGGGCTGAAGTCATCTGAAGGCTTCACTCCTATATCTGCCATCTGGGCTGGGAGATGGTTAGAACAGCTGAGAGCAGATGAGGTATCCATCTCGTCATGCCACCTTTCCACTGGCTAGATTGAGCTGCTTCATGGCATGGCAGCCTCAGGGGTGTCAGACTCCTTACTGCTGGCTTCCCCTAGAGCAAGGGGTACAAGGGGTCCTAGGCAGAAACTGCAAGACTTCCTATGACCTAGCCTCAGAAGGCCCAGAACATCACTTTAGTCACATCGTATTGCTGAAGCATGTCACTAAGGTCAGGCCAGATTCAAGGGGAGAAGTAGCAAAAAATTTGTGTTCACCTTTAATCTATCCCAAGGAACATGTTTTTTGTTTGTTTGTTTTTTGACAGAGTCTCATTCTGTCACCCAGGCTGGAGAGCAGTGGTGTGATCTTGGCTTACTGCAACCTCCACCTACTAGGTTCAAGCGATTCTCATGCCTCAGCCTCCTGAGTAGCTGGGATTACAGGCATGCACCACCACACCTGGCTAATTTTTGTTTTTCAGTTGAGACAGGGTTTTGCCATGTTGCCCAGGCTGGTTGGTCTTGCACACCTGATCTCAAGTGATCTGCCTGCCTTGGCCTCCCAAAGTACTGGGATTACAGGCATGAGCCACCATGCCCAGCCTGGAACATGGGTCTTAATCTCAATTTTGCAGCTCCCAAACTCTGGGAACTTAGGCTTGTCCATTACCTGCTCTTTCTGAGAATTATTAGTTTATTAAATTATTAATAGTTTCCTCATCTGTACAATTGCAAACATTCCATGGATGATCTTAAAGACTCTTTCACTTCAAAATTATGAGTTCTCTGCCTTCAAAGGACACAGAACATTTGCAATAGAAGCTTTTCTTGAAATTTCTTTGGAGTAGATATCTTATAGTTTTAGTGTCTACCATCTTTTTATTCTATATAAATAGAAAACTTGAGTCAGCCAAAAGATACCAACACAAGATTTCATTATGAATTTTCCATACTTCTTGGCGCTAGCCAAATGGTTTACAAAATGGCAATGTTGAACAGAAGACAGATTTCTGAAATGCAAGGCGCAATGCCCTAATTGCGTTGTAGATTCCAGTTGGAAACACTAGTTCTCTAAACAATGGTGGCTCATGTTGGTGCCTTTTCGGAAATTCAGTGCTCATCAAAAGCTGTTATCTAGTTTTAGGTGAAGCAGGGACAGTGAGAAATATAATTAAGGAAACTGTTTGAACTTGTTAGATAGAGCATACTTGTCTTTGGGACCCTCCATTTTGTTTGTTATGTTTGTTTCAGGGTAGGGTAAAGGTCTCTCAGCATATGAATTCCAGCAATAAGACTGATGCTTCACTTTTCATTGACGCTAAAATTGCTCTTCTAAATAGAGGCCCTCCTCAGGTTTCTAGGTAAAGCCCTTGGCCAATTGTATACCAATTACACCTTAGAGTTGAATTTCATGGCTCACACTGCCCAGATTTTGAAAGCCAGAATCTCAGGGGTGTAAATATTAAAAAAACAAAATACATATAGAACACAAAACAAGAAGTTTACAAGTCTGCTGAAAAACTTCCGTCCAGACGAGCCCATTTTCTGCCCTACTTCTTCCAAAATAAACCACTGTGACAAGTGATATTGAAATATAAAAATATTGAAAATTCTCTGAGCAGATCCTGCTGGTTGCCTATCCAACAGCTTCTCTTCCTTTCTTCCTTGCTTATGGAACGCTGATCTTGCTCCAGAATTTACACCATTCCAAATTTAGGGCAAATACTGATAGTGTAAATCATGATCCCGTTGGCAGTCATTAGTTTAGGGGTGAGTATGTGACCCAAATCTGACCAATAAGATATAAAGGGAGATCTGCTTGAGGGTTCTGCAAAACGTAATTTCTTTCTCAAAATGGCACACAAGAAAAGACATTTATTTTTTGTCCAGTGAATGTTGTGTCAGAATATAATTCCCAGACTGTGGTTACTACAGTCATCTTGTAACCACGAAAGTCCTGTCCTGCAGTCCAAGCCAACACACGGAACATGACAGAGCAGAAAGGTGAAATGAATCTGGGTCCTTGACGATGTTATTGAGTGGAGAATTTGACCAGCTGCAGCGCCACCTACCTCTGAACTTCTCATCCTGTGCCACAGGAATTGTCCCCATTGTTTAGGCCAGCCTAATCCGAGACCTCTACTACCTGAAGCTTAAAATATCTTAATGTATCCCTTTCTCATGCATGGCAAGGAAATATTGGCATACCTAACATCCCCACTTCACCTGTGCTTGGGGCTGATGCTGCTGTTTCCTGAGATCTGAAAAAATAAAAATAGGTAGTGATACAACTCGACGGGATTGTATCCAGGGTTGTTGAAGCATGGCTGTATCCTGACATAGCCCTAATCCCTGAGGGGAGAGTGATATTGATGATAAAATTATAGCCGACACTTTCTGAGTGTTCTCTCTATACACGGATACTGTTTTAAGTACTTTATATGTGTAAGTCATTTCATCCACAAAGAACTCTATGAGATTGGTGCTGCCATTATTCTCCCTTACACATGAGGAAAATGAGGCACAGAGAGGTGAAGGAATATGCCCAAGGCTGCATCTTTTATAAGTGTTCAAGAACCTACTATCTCAGTCATTGCGCTCTTTGGCCTTTCCACTCCTGAAGGCCAAAGGGACACCCCTTTACTATCAGCAGTCCAGGGGGAAGCAGCCAGTTTTTCCTATTTTCTGGTTTCTCTCTCTCTTTCTTTATTCCTTCCTTCCTTCCTTTTTCTTTCTTTCTTCTTTCTTTCTGTTTCTCGCTTGCTTTCTGTCTCTCTCCCCTTCCTTCCTTCCCTCCTTCCTTCCTTCGTCTTTCTTTCTTTCTTCTTTCTTTCTTCTTTCTTTGTCTTTCCTTCTTTCTTTCTTCTTTCTTTGTCTTTCCTTCTTCTTTCTTTCTTTTTCTTTCTTTCTTCTTTCTTTGTCTTTCCTTCTTTTTCTTTCTTTCTTCCTTCCTTCCTTTTCTTTCTTTCTTTTTCTTTTTCTTTCTTTTTTCTTTTCTTTTCTTTTCTTTTCTTGTCTTGTCTTTTCTTTTCTTTCTTTTTTTTGGCGGAGTCTCACTCTGTTGCCCAGGCTGGAGTGCAGAAGTGCAATCTAAGCTCACTGCAAACTCCACCAACTGGATTCAAGCAATTCTCATGCCTCAGCCTCCCAAGTAGCTGGGATTACAAGTGCCCATCACCAGGCCCAGCTAATTTTTGTACTTTTAGTAAAGACTGAGTTTCGCCATGTTGGCCAGGTTGGTCTTGAACTTGGTGATCTGCTTGCCTTGGCCTCCCAAAGTCCTAGGATTACAGGTATAAGCCACTGTGCCCACCCTAGTTTTTCCTATTTTCAAGGGAGCTTTGTGAATAACCTCAGCTGGTTTCACATATGCATTGTTATTTGGGGTCATTCATTCATTCATCAAGCATGTATTCAACACAAACTATGCTGTAGGCCTTGAGTATTTGTTTGTATATTTTTGAGACAAGGTCTTGCTCTGTCACCCAGGCTGGAGTGCAGTGGCATGATCATGGCTCACTGCAGCCATGACCTCCTGGGCATAAGTGATCCTCCCACTTCAGCCTCCCAAGTAG
This sequence comes from Homo sapiens, assembly GCF_000001405.40. Lineage (NCBI taxonomy): Eukaryota > Metazoa > Chordata > Mammalia > Primates > Hominidae > Homo > Homo sapiens. The sequence goes on from NC_000014.9 coordinate 56,876,106, forward strand.
CTAGGATCACAGGCATACCACAACCACACCTGGCTAATATTCTCCTGTGTTGCCCAGGGTGGTCTTGAACTCCTGGGCTCAAGTGATCCTCCTGCCTCGGCCTCCCAATATGCTAAGATTACAGAGATTACAGGCATGAACCACCATGCCTGGCTTGAAACTTTTGATTTTTTTTTTTTTTTTTGTAAAGATGGGCTTTCACCATGTTCCTCAGGCTGGTCTTGAACTCCTGAGCTAGCTCAAGCAATCCACCTGCCTGTTGGGATTACAGGCGTCTGACACCACACCCAGCCAGCCTTGAGTATTTAAAGATGAAGAAAACCTAGTTTCTATCCTCAAGCAACTTAATCTAGTGGGGGTGGGAAAGATCGTTAATTAAACATTGAAAGAGAGAGCACCCTCAATGCTTTAGCTGGCTAAAGTAGTAGCTAGCCTTTGAGTATGGAGGATGTGTTAGTGAGTTTTGAGGATGTAACATGTAGTAACTATTGAATGATCACACATTCCCTATTTTCCTGATAAGGTTACTAAGGAAGAGTTCAGTCCAACATCCCACAGCCGGTCAGTGGCGGAGGTTGAACCTAAGCAACCTTGCTGGTGCTGGAAACCACTGTGCTGGGTGTATATATCCTGGTGGGAGCTGAGGAGCAACTGCTTCCAGCTGGACAGGGCGGTTGCACAAAAGGGCTCTGGCATGCTTCATAGATGAAGTGATTTTTAAACTAAACCTGGAAGAGTAAATGTAATGCAGGTACCATGAAAGGGAAACCAATTGAGAATTAAAAGAAAAAAAGATAATGGAAGAAAGGGCATTCCAGATAGGAAAAAAGCAGCATGTGCAAAGGTAGGAAGGCTTCAGGGAGCCATGGAATACTCACGGAATGGTAAGTTTTGGGGGGCTTCCACGTGGTGTGTGAAGGATGGAATGATGGGAGATGCAGGGGGTGGAAGGCCCTTTTGTATATATGAGGAGTCTACATTTTATTTTGTAAACAATAGGGGGCACACTGAAAATGTTAAGGGCAGAGAGAGACAAGAGCTTCTTTTACAGTGATTTAAATGAAAAGTAAGGAACAGGAGCCTTGGGACTTTAAGATGTCTAATATTGACAGATGAGTGGGGGAGGTCAGAGTGGAGGGACAGTGTAGGTGAACACTTTGGAAGTAAGTAGACCTATTTGGGGGCTGTTGCTGTTATCTGATGACCATCCAGCCTAGGACTCAAGAATGATTTTTAGATTTTTAAAAGGTTATTAAACAAAGAAAAAAAGCATAGAAAAATATGCAGCAGAATAAGACAGAATATGTGGCCTGCAAAACCTAAAATACAGAAGAACAAACATTGTTTGTTCAATGTTGTTTTGTTATAATGTTAATGAGAAAAAAATCAGTTCTAGCCAGGGCCACTGTGTGGAGTTTGCACGTTCTCCCCAGTCTGCATGGATTTTCCCTGGGTACTCTCATTTCCTCTCATGTCCCAAGGATGTGCCTGGTGGGTGAATTTGAAGTGGCGTGTCTAGATGGTCCCAGTCTGAGTGAGTGTGTGTGAGTGTGTCCTGCAGTGGGATGGTGCCCTGTTCAGGGCTGGTTCCTGCCTTGCACCCTGAGTTGCTGGGAGAGGCTCCCACCACCTGCCACCGTAAACTGGAATAAATGGGTAAATAATTATTTCATTTGTTTTTATTAATCTTTCTTAAATGTATGTATAACTCACATTTATTTCAGTATTTAATATTAAAAGTGTTTTAGGCTGGGCATGGTGGCTCACGCCTGTAATCCCAGCCCTTTGGGAGGCCAAGGCTAGTGGATCACTTGAGGTCAGGAGTTCGAGACCAGCCTGGCCAACATGGTGAAACCCCGTCTCTATGAAACATACAAAAAATTAGCTGGGCATGGTGGTTCCTGCTTGTAATCCCAGCTACTCAGGAGGCTGAGGCAGGAGAATCACTTGAACCTCAGAGGCTGAGATCGCATCACTGCACTCCAGCCTGGGTGACAGAGCGAGACTCCAACTCAAAAAAAAAGAAGAGTTTGGTCTTTAGTTAGAAGTTTGGGGACGTTTTTGTGACTGGAAATATGCTGTAGAAACTTAACTCTTGTTTATATCAATTAGCCCATGGTAAAGTGGTTGCAGTTTCCTGGAACTTATCAATGAAGTGAAGTGAGAACTTACTGTATTTATCATCTGTCCCTTTACAGAAAATGTGCTAAGTTAAAGCTGGTGGTGCCCTGCAAGTGGGAAGGGGAGGAAGGGGAGGAAGAGGAGGCCGGTCCTCCTTAAAGCCCTTAGGAATCCTGGCCAGAAAGAGCTGGGGAATGAGAGTGGATGTTAAGGCTGAATCAAGGAATTCTGGTTTGGACAACTGCGTTTTCAGAAGTATCATCACCAACATACAAAATACAGCAGGGAAGATCTGGACAGGGGCAGGAAAGTAGAGAGATTCACTGATTTGGGACCTGACGCTATGAAGTGTCCACAAGACATCCAGGTCAAGATGGTTGGGAGATACGCTACACTGAGCAATCTTCTGTGTCTGCTCCCCTGTGATCTAAAATATAAATTCCTTAAGGGCAAAGATTATACAACTCTTTCATATAGACCCTGGTACATAATAGGCTCTGGATCAAGTGTGTTGAGCTTACTGAACTCTAGACAGTTGAATTTAGGAGACTCAGTGAGATCTAGGTTGGAGAAAGAGTCTTATGTCATTGGCTTGTAGGTGGTAACTAAAGTGTGGAGGTTTATGGCATATTTAATATACACTTAGTGCAATGTGAAGTTGCGTCTTGACATGATTTGTTTGGCTGTCCAATTAAAAGCAAGTCCCTCCTGAGTCAGCATGTATCACTTTTGATTCTATTTGCAGAGAGGCAGGAGAGCACAGCGGTTAGGAGCCAGGGCTTGTGGCCAGGCAGCTTGAGTTTGAAAACCCACCTCCTCTGCTTCCTAGGTGTGAACAAATCATTCAACTTCTTTGTGGCTTAGTAAGTCATCTATAAAATGGAGATAATAATAATACCTGTTAGAGAGTTGTGAAGCTTAATAATACATGTATATGTTTGGAAAGACCTACTATCTGTTCTTCAAACAGCAGCCAGAGTTATCCTTTTAAAAAATAAGTCAGCAGGGTGCAGTGGCTCATGCCTGTAATCCCAGCACTTTGGGAAGCTGAGAAAGATGGATCACTCGAGGCCAGGAGTTCAAGACTAGCCCGGGCAACATGGAAAGACCCCCATGTCTACAAAAAAATACAAAAAATTAGCCAGGCATGGTGGCGTCAGCCTGTAGTCACAGCTACCTGGGAGGCTAAGGGAGGAGAATCACTTGAGCCCAGGAAGCAGAGGCTACAGTGAGCTGAGATTGCACCACTGCACTCCAGCCGGGGCAACAGAGCCAGACCCTGTCTCAAACAAAAACAAAACAAAAAAAACTAAAAACTAAACTAAACTAGGGTTGGGCGTGGTAGCTCACGCCTGTAATCCCAGCATTTTGGGAGGCTGAGGTGGGCGGATCACTTGATGCCAGGAGTTTGAGACCAGCCTGGCCAACATGGTGAAACCCTGTCTCTAATAAAAATATAAAAATTAGCTGGGCGTGGTAGCAGGTGCCTGTAATCCCAGCTACTTGGGAGGCTGAGGCACAAGAAATGCTTGAACCCAGGAGGCAGAGGTTGCAGTGAGCCGAAATCACGCCACTGTACTCCGGCCTGGGTGACAGAGGGAGACTCTGTCTCAAAAACAACAATAACATCGACAACAAAACTAAACTAAAAAATAAGTCATATCATGTCAGGCCACTGATAAAAACTCTCCAATGGCTCAGGTAAAGCCAAAGTCCCATGGCCCACCGCACCTTACCTTCCTGAGCTCATCTCCCTCTGTTCACCTTGCTCCAGCCACTCCAGCCTCCTTGCTACCTTCTCAAACTCACTACAGACACTCCTGCCTCAGGGCCTTTGCACTCACTTTCCTTCTGCCTGGAGCACTCTTCTCCAAGATATCAGCATGTCTTTCTTCCATCTCCTTTGAGCCTCCATTCAAATGTCACCACCCTTTTCTGAACAGCACACACTCTCTCTCCTGAATTCCTTCTATGCTATTTTACCAGAAGAGTTCTCACATGCTAATTACTACATAACTTATTTCATTTATTATCTGCCTTCTCCCACTGGAATGTAAGCTTCATGGGAACTGAAATACCACTGAATTTTTATGAGTGATGCCTACTATATAGTAAGTACTCAATCCATGTTAGCTGTGGTGGTTCCCAAAAATGTCTTGTACTACGTTGTTCTAAGTACAGTTGATGACACACAGCTACCTCTCACTCTGTACCTCCCCCACCATCCCAGCCCCAGCAACACAGAGGGGAGAGTGGTAAGAGCAGGCATCAATGTCTGTTCCCTGACTCCCTCCATCCATAAGCCCCGAGAGGGTCTCCACTTCACCAGTCTTGTACAGCCATTTTTGTTAAATGCAGGGATTTGGAAAAATAGGCAAAATAGACAAATGCTTCAGGAGAGTACAAAACCCATTTGTAGTCTTTCAGAACTGGTTTAACAACCCAAAGAAGAAAATTTGTGTATACACAGTATTGCTGTTCTCTTGATATTAAATTAGTATTAAAATGGGATGGAAACTGCTCTTCTATTGGGCTCCTATGGAGACGGACAAAGCAATTTAAGAGAAAAAGCAGCTGCCCTCAGCAGTAGGCTCAGAAATGTCAATTTTAATTAAAACATTTATTTTCAAATACATTTCATGGTTCATATGTAGTGATATGTGCCTACTTCATGCAAATATTCAAACTGCTGGGCTGAGGAAATTGAAGAAAGGCATTTTGATAAAGAGCAGTATGTTCAAAACAAAGAGATGCAAAGAAAAGAAAATCCACATCATGCTTCCATTTTTCCTTAGTCCACCTGCCACATTGTTTCTCATGGACTTGCCCACTGATATGTAAAGGCCAGGGAACTCCACTGTAGAAATCTGGATGTTAGTGGGTCATCGTGGGCATTGGTAGGACATCCCTTCACTCTTATGTGAGTCCTGCTTTGTGTACAATTCCTGTTTACTTCAGTAGAAGAACCACCCCTCCCCCAGTGTTTCCAGATCAGAAGAAAACAACCAAAATAGCCAACTCCCAATTCAAAATTCTTCCAAACTCTGTCTTTCCCTGAGTACTATTTTAGGTTTGAGTCATTAAAGCTGCAGAGAGGTGTCCAAATTTTACGATTACCTTCTGAGCTCACCTCTCCTCTTGCTCTCTGCCCTGCAGAGCTCACGCACCTGCCAAACTTCTGTTGACTTCCCAGGGAAACCGGTCATGACTTCAACATGGCCAAAAATCACTGAAACAAAAATGTGGCCAGCTTAAATAAGTGGTAATTTAGGCTAAGAATTTCTGAAAATTTTGCTCAAATTTCTGTAAGGATTTTTATGAATACATTTTGATTTACCAGAATTTAGCATTGGAATATTATTAATAATACAATCTGTACATGTGCTATGCTAAAAAAAAATCATTGTCATTAGGTTAAAATCAAAGACAACCAGCAATATTTATCAATGTGATGTGTCTTTTATCTTGTAGTCTGAGGAGTGTGTTTCTGATTAAGGTATATTCTAAAATTTGAGCAAATTATTACATATAAATACAGTTGCATCGATTGCTGCTCTCAATATGCTTTTAACCTCTTCGGAGGAGCCATTAACATCACAGTCAGAAACACATAGTCAAGTCCAGAGAATGTATGCAGGTATCGTAATTGGCTGTGTATGCCAGTGCTAAGCACTTTTACAAATTATCAAATGTTCCAATTTATAAGTTGTGAGAGTTTGATTTTGTATTTAGTGATGTTGATAGTATACTTCCATTTTATTTCTGAGCTCATTTTAAAATGCTTTTGACTTTTGCTCTTTGATTTTAAAAGTATACTAAGTTATAATCAATACTTTATTAAACCCAAGCATTATTCCCTCCCTAGAGTTACAAACACACACACACATACACAGACACATACACACATGCACACATAGCATTTTGATTAAGAGCTCTGATAAAGGAAGGGAGACCCTGGCAACTGTAATCTTTTGGATGGTGAGAAGGGCTATTTGTTCCCTGGGCTATCTGGTGACAACATACATATATTCTGGCAGAGTGAACTGAGTGGTGCATCAATACCACAGAAAAGTACATGGATCAAGTTTAAGAGAATCAACCTGGGATACTTGACATTCACAAATGAAAAGAAGACACTTACTAAATGTTGACCATGTTGAACCAGGTGGTCTTCTAAGAGTTTTACACCTAATCCTACCCATATTACTTTGAGAGAGGTATTATGATGGTTCCCATTTTCCAGATGAGAAAACTATCACAGAAAGGTTGAGTAAGTTGCCTCACATCATATAACTAGTCAAAGATTTGAATCCAGGCAATCTGCTTTTAAATACTCATGTTTAATAAAAACATAGGATGTGTCATTCTACAACATTCCTTTCCATGAGATGGTGTTTGGTTGCTCATAGCATAGTGGTTAAAAGGGCAGGCTTTCAAGCCCACTGCTAGGTTCAACTGTGTGACCTTGAACAAGATACGTAACTTCTCTGTGCCTCAGTTTTCTGCTTGGTAAAATGGGGGTGACGTGAGGATTAAATGAGTTGGTACACAGCAAGCATTTATAGAGGCTAGTTATTGTTGTGACTAGTTCTGCTACTATCAACCTAGTAAGAGAGTAGATTAAGAGCACATTGTACTTACAGAGGCCAGTAAAGCCTAAGGTATTTTTTTTGGTATATACACCACAGAATACTATTTAGCCATATAAAAGAATGAAATTATGTCTTTTGCAGAAACTTCAATGGAACTGGAGGCCATTATATGAAGTGAAATAACTCAGAAACAAATACCACATGTTCTCACTTACAAGTGGGAGCTAAATAATGTGTACGCATGGACATAGAGAGTGGGATAATAGACAATGGAGACTCAGAAAGGTCGGAGAGTGGGAGGGGAGTGAAGGATGGGAAATTACCTAATGGGTACAATGTACACTATTCAGGTGACAATTACACTAGAAGCTAAGACTTCACCTATGCAACATATCCATGGAACAAAACTGCACTTGTACCCTCTAAATCCAGGAAAATAGTTTTTTTTAACCCAAGATATTTTCACAGCTTTTTTTTTTTTTTTTTTTTTTTTGAAACAGAGTCTTGCTCTGTCACCCAGGCTGGAGTGCAGTGGCGCAATCTCAGCTCACTGCAACCTTTGCTTCCTAGGTTCAAGCGATTCTCATGCCTCAGCCTCCAGAATAGCTGGGATTACAGGTGCGTGCCACCACGTCTGGCTAATTTTTGTATTTTTAGTAGAGACGGGGGTTTCACCGTGTTGGCCAGGCTGGTCTCAAACTCCCAGCTTCAGCTGATCCACCTGCCTCGGCCTCCCAAAGTGCCACAGCATTTTTTTTTTTCAGTAATAAAAAAATTGGAAGATAGTTAAATAATGTGGCTTATCCTCTTTTTATAAAAGGAGAGTAGATGTTTTTCAGCCCCTGATTTTTGTATATATCTGGCATCCAAGTTGATGTAACCTATCACTTGCTATGAACTTCAGCCTTCAGATCTCTATTTTTTTGTTCCTTCACCCACATTTTTGTTAGTTCTCTTCCTAACATCTTTGGAAATCCAGTCAGGGTTAAGTTCAGCAAAACCATGTGTCGCAGGAGAAATGGTAAAGGATCAGGTTAGCAGGCTGCCCAGATGAAGCAATAAATTTATCAAGAAAAAAACTGCAAAAATCATGGGTAATGTGCATAGTATTTGCCCTGATAAAGCGTCTGACACAAGCCTGTGGAAAAGCAAACACGTTATGTGCTCCATGTTCATGTGGTTCAGTTAAGCAAAGAAGAGACAGGATCTTCAGAACCAAAGGATGTGAAGAAATGGAGCTTTTTTTCATCACAATTAGCCATCAGGGTGGAAGCCAGTTATTACCAATATAGTAGATAGAATCATTCTCTGCATCAGTAGAAGTCTTTATGCCCTGTACAAGGGGCATTGTGTACTGTAAATAATTCAACCATAATGCAGCCATGGAGAGAGAGCCATCATCAGTAAGAAGGATTCAACCCAGCCAGCTACTGGCTTGTATTAAAAGAAGAAATATAATGAATTGGGAAGATGTTGAAAATTGTAGATGTATTTGCTTACAATTTTTTTTTCATTAGTAGAGGATAATTTTTGTTTTCTGAAGCATTTGATTGAATTAAAGTAGCTCTTGTCATTAAATAATCTTTAAATTAACCTTCAACCATGTATCAGCAGCTGTAAGA